>NC_000004.12:6958495-7264992 GCF_000001405.40 Homo sapiens
TCAGCTTGTGGCAGCTTCTAACTCCTGGGCTCAAGCGATTCCCCCCACTTCAGCCTCCCAAGTAACTGAGACCATAGGTGTGCACTACCACGCCTGGCTTATTTTTATTTTAAATGTTTTGTAGACATGAGGTCTTACTATGTTGCCCAGGCTATTCTCAAACTCCTGGCCTCAAGCGATCCACCCACCTTGGCCTACCAAAGTGCTGGGATTATAGGTGTGAGCCACTGGGCCTGGCTTGAACAGTCTTCTTAATGCCCTTCCCTGGAATGCTCTCACTCTTCAATCTTCTTTCTCTCACCCTCGAAAGCCGGACACTCCTCTTGGTTCTCAAGGTGTCCGTACCCCTGTCTCATTGGCCAGTTTATTGGTCAGCTTCTTGAGGATGGTAGCATTTTTTTTTTTTGAGACGGAGTCTCGCTCTGTCGCCCAGGCTGGAGTGCAGTGGTGGGATCTCGGCTCACTGCAAGCTCCGCCTCCCGGGTTCACGCCATTCTCCTGCCTCAGCCTCCCAAGTAGCTGGGACTACAGGCGCCTGCCACTACGCCCGGCTAATATTTTTTGTATTTTTAGTAGAGGCGGGGTTTCACCGTTTTAGCCGGGATGGTCTGCATCTCCTGACCTTGTGATCCGCCCGCCTCGGCCTCCCAAAGTGCTGGGATTACAGGCGTGAGCCACCGCGCCCGGCCGAGGATGGTAGCATTATTAACTCACCTGTTTGTTTTATAGTTTGAGCCTTGGAGACGATAGGTGCTCACTTAAGAGTGTGTGTCACTGAATGGAATATGCAGGGTGCCAGGCCCTGCAGCAGGTGCTGGGTGCTTTCCTGGCTTTCTTTTTATCATATTTAATCCTGAGAGGTAGAAATGAGGCTCAGAAGCAGTGCCTGCCAAGAGATAAAGTCAAGGGCAGACACAGCTCTGCCTGCTTCTCTGAAGCCCTTGGTCTCTGCTGGGCCTTCCCCCGGGCTGGTGTGAAGGCTGTGGTCCTCCTGCAGGCTCACAGCCGGCTGCTGCTGTTTCCAGCAGGGCCCCCGCCTCTGGGAAGCACAGTGTGGGCAGGGGTTCGTGCAGAGCTGCTGAGTGAGTGGGAACAAGGGGGGATCACAGGCTCAGCGCTCCATGCAGCCCCTTCTCTGGAACCCTCTCAGGATCCATTTTTGAGGCATAGTAGGCATGACGATTGTACTTAGACTGTGGAATAAACATTTTTATGTCTCTTCCAAAGGCCTTGTTTTTTGGTACCAGCAGCGCATCACTGAATACTTGCATTTCTTCTTTGGCCTTTTGCTTGCTGTCACTTCCTACCTAATGCAACAGGAGTGGCCCGATCTTGCCAAGTTGTGTTGCTAGGAGTGCAGAAAAATCCTGTACTTTTTTGGGGTGTGATGAAGTCTTACTGATTTGAAGGATGAGGTGGGAGTGGTACAAAGCATTTCATTTTCTAATGGCAGAAATGCCTAGTTTTGCAGTGGCTTTTAAATTTTTTATGAACTTTTTTCCATCAGCAACACGTTTGCATGGCTCAGAAATCAAAAATTACAAGACAGTATATGGGTGAAAAGTTGGCTTTCTACCCTGTGCCCCTTTTTTTTTTTTTTTTTTGACACAGAGTCTGGCTCTGTCACCCAGGCTGGAGTGCAATGGTGCGATCTCAGCTCACTGCAACCTCCGCCTCCGGGGCTCAAGTGATCTTCCCACCTTAGTCTACCAAGTAGCTGGGACTACAGATGCACATCACCATGCCTGGCTATTTTTTTTTTTTTTTTGTATTTTTTGTAGAGACAAGGTTTTGCCATGTTTCCCAGGCTGATCTCAAACTCCTGAGCTCAAGTGATCCGCCCACCCCTGCCTCCCAACATGCTGGGATAACAGATGTGAGCAACCATGCCTGGCCTACCCCGTGCCTTTTGCTACCCAATATCCTGCTCCAGAAGCAATGAATATAAGCAGTTTTTGTGTTCTTCCAGAGAGTCTGTGGCTGTACAGGCAAATGCAGATGCAGGTGTTACATGGCATGCCTTGTATGATTATGTACCTTGCTTTTTTCCCTTCAAAAAAATGCCTGTTGGCCTCCTGAAAGCTGCCTGTGAGTGTATCAGGAACTCTTGGGTTGTTTCCAGACTTTATCTGACATTAAAAAATAATAATATGTTTTATGTCAGCCAGCATCTTTCAGCATGATGAGCTGCACCTTTGGCGTGTCCAGTGGCTCCTGTATGGGACCGCACAGGCCCCAACCTGTTGTCAGAAGGTGAGGGGTGTTGGAGCCTCCAGGCGGTTTGCTGTTTTCAGCCCCCGCTGCGTCTCTTCAGATGTTGCCCTTCCAGCCTAATCGGGTGCACTGCACAGGCCTGTGAAAGACCCTGGTAACAGTGCGGAGGAGGCCGAGAGAGGCCAGAATCGGTGTCCAACGCGTACCTGACTACTCTTGTTGGGAATGGGGCTTCTGAAGGTCCTTTTGTCCCAGTTAAATGTGTGAGCCGTGGACCTCGCTCCTAATTATTAGGACACCGTGTCCTGGGGTCTGGCACTCGACACTGGACCTGGGAGCTCTGCCTTCACAGAAAAATGGACACGCCATTATTCTTAACATTACTTTGTTGGTGTCCCCTGTCTTTTCCCCATTACTTTGCAAGTCATTGGAGAAACGCCCCAGGGAAGCACTGGGCCCTTTTCCCTGTGCAAAAGTGCTTCTGCCTCTCTCTGGCTTACAGGTAGGCTCTTCACATGGCCGGGTGTGGCCTGATCCCTGACGGCCCCCAGCGTGTTTCCCAGGCTCTGCCATATGGCTTTAAAATGACACTGAGCAGCCTGTGTGGACAAATCCTGATGGGGCCAGCACCTTTCAGGGCACCCTTTGATGGGCACTCCCCATTCTTGTCAACTGTGACCCCCCAAATCTCTCTGTGCCATGGGGGAGCTGAGCTGGCCCTGCTGAGGAGTTGAGTAGGGAAGAATTTCTCTGCAGTGCCCAGTCCACGAGGAGCTGAGCCTGGTGGTGGGGCTGTGTGTGCATGGCCAGGCTGAACCCCCTCATTTAATCCTGAGTCTCCTCTCGGGGGCACTTAATGGGCAGAGGGAGCAGCCTGTGTGGTAGGCCTGAGGTAGGTGATTGGAGCCACGACGCCATTGCCACAAAAACAGGTGCAAGTCCTTGGCAGGATTTGTGGCAGGGCTGGCGTGGTCCACTTGTGCTTACAGAAGATGGCCCTGGTAGAGAGCGTTGCTGGGGTCTGGGGCTTGGTGTGGAGCTGTACCTGCGGGGTGCCTGAAGGAGGGGCAAGGCAGGCACACCTGGGGCGCGACTGGCATCTGTCTGCAGGGTGTATGCAGCCGAAAAAAGGCAGGAGGACAAGGAGGCTGGACAGTGGGGAGTCCTGGTGTTAACCTGGAAGACCAGAGGGTTTAGAGCACATACGACTCCTGTTTCTGTTGTTCAGTGTCTGAATGAATGCGGCCGAGGGCTGTTGAGAAAGCGTCTCGCTCTGGCCTCCTGACTGCAGAGGTGTGTCTGAGCCAAGGCTGATCGATGGGGCTTTTGACACGAGACATCAGCCTTTTAGAAAGAAGAAATGGTTCTCCTCTCATCTTTGCGGACGTTGTCAGGTCTCCTCTCCCACCTGCTGCAGAAGGAGGGATCTGAGTGGGCACCTGGACGAAGGGGCTAGGTAGGAGGTGAGATATGCCAGCACCTAGGCGCTGTGCAGGTATGGATGGTGGCGGGAGAGGCACCACAGCTATGCGCTGGCATGTGTGCATATCGGGGTAGTGGGGCAGGACTCATGAGCTAGAGTCCTGGGCTCTCAGGGAACCCCGCTGCGACGGTGCGGGTGGCACTGACCATGTGTGGGTTGGAGGCAGGGCACCTACAGATATCGATTGTTTACTTGCCGTGCCCTTGATGGTGGGGTTGCGGCAGCTGCAGGTGAGTCTCACCAGGGTTAATGAGTGCTCTGTGTCTGCACAGCAGCTGAGACAGCTTGGAGGCCAACAGCTGCTTGTCCTTAATGCTGCTAGTAGAGTGAGTGCTTTTTCTCCATAGGACAAAGGAGTTTCTTCTTCCCACTGAAGGGCCCTTTGTTGGGGATGCAAAACAAAAGGAGTCCAGCATTCTCTGGGGCAGGGTTGGTAAATGGCCCTCACCCCCTACTGGCCACCCCCCAGCTCTCAGCCTGCTCCAGGGAGGTTGTGGTGGTCTGCCACTCCTTGCCTGCTCTCTCCCAGCCCCCCACTGCCCATTACCCCTTCTTTTCAGAGGGACTCCTTCCTGCTGAGAGGTTACCTCTGTTGAGTTCTCAGTCTCGGGCCTTGATTCGTCTGGGTTGCACTCCCGTTACCTGACCCCTGTGCCTTGCATGTCAGTCCTGCCTCCTCATCGCCCTATACTTGCCTCCCCTGCACACACACACACACGGTGGCTGCTCCATTTGCCAGCAGACGTGTGTAGAACCTACTGCATGCTGGGTAGATCCTGGGGATGCAGAGGTGACTCTACCCTGCCCTCTGGGAGACCCCACCGAAGGTGAAGGCATGTGGAGAGGAGAGGGTATGGATCCATCACATAGGTACAGAATGGAGGGAATGCCCTGTGCCCTGGAAACAGAAGCAGGGGAGCCCAGGCCCGGCAGCTGGTCCGGGAGGGCTCTGCAGAATGCCCCGAGGGCAAGTGCGAGGACTTCCCATGTCGGGGGTGGGACAGGTGCATTTGAAATAGTGAAAAGAGGAAGCTTGGAGCCAGCAGCCCCTCTGTTCTGTCTCCTGTGAGTGTCAGAGATGGTGGCTATGGCCATTGTGTGCTCAGCATCTGAAGGTCAAAGGGTGGGCTGACTCACCGGGCCACACAGCCCATGAAGCAGCAGCTGAGGGACTGCTGGACTCCGGAGCAGCAGCACCAGTGTGGTCTCCCTGTCGGGCAGACAGCACAGATGTTGAAGGGACAGAGCAGATGGGCTCTGCAGTGCCCAGGCTCGCTCCTGCCCAGCTGTGTTCTCTCACTGCACGTGACCTGAGAGTGATGTTTGGTCATGTGACAAGTAGGTGCAGCTCCTTGGCTCCCCCTTGGCCTCCCGGGCCCGGCCACAGCTACGCCAGGACTCCCGATGGCTTGCCCCACCAGAAAGGAGGATGTCCTTTCAGCCCAGACCCCAGGCTACAGCACCTTTTCACTTGTAGTGACTTGTTTTGGGGTCGCACTTCAGCCTCTAACCCACAAAAAAATATATCAACATGCTTTTTATGAGCTTTTCAAAAGTCATGGCCTATCATATGAGCCTAAGCTCTTATGTTAAAAATAATCATGCAACTTTGATTTTGTTTGAGACTGAGTCTCACTGTGTCACCCAGGCTTGGAGTGCAGTGGTGTGATCTCGGCTCACTGCAACCTCCGTCTCCCAGGTTCAAGCGATTCTTTGTGCCTCAGCCTCCTGAGTAGCTGGGATTACAGGCGTGCGCCACCACGCCTGGCTAATTTTTGTATTTTTAGTAGAGACAGGTTTCGCCATGTTGCCCATGTGGTCTCGAACTCCTGGGCTCAGGCAATCCACCCACCTCGGCCTCCCAAAGTACTGGGATTACAGGTGTGAGCCACCGTGCCCAGCCACAACTTTGATTTTTGACATTAATTTTTATCTGCACTACCTTTGTACAGACTAATAATAGTGTTAGCCGAGACCTGAAAAACCAAGGTTTCTGTTCCTCTTAGTCGTCCTCCTGCCAGCCCGTTTCAGTGAATAACACTCCAGCTTGTGCTCAACCTTCCAGACCACGAATCTGGGAGCCACTCACCCAGACTTCTCCTTTCTGCACATCCCCACACTCCGCGGCTTCTGTGCAATTCTCCCGTCCATTCCTTACACCCTCTGCAGCTCCTGTCCCTCCAGAGTAGAGAGGCCTGTCCCGGATCCTGGTGCCTTCCCCTTCCTGACTGCAGTTTCCCAGAGACAGACAACGCCTCTTCAGCAAAATGTATACCCTTAGTGAACCCAAGTTCTGGATGCCAGGTTCTTAGTGTCTTCTACTGCCTGAAGTTTTAACCTGGTTTAATTGCCTAAGTCCTTCACTGATGGCGAAATCTTAGATGTTAAACGGATTGAATCTCAGACAATTCAAAGTTCATTTTCTTTTTCTTTCTTTTTTTGAAACAAGGTCTTGCTCTGTCGCCCAGGCTGGAGTGCAGTGGCACGATCATAGTGAAAGTCCATTTCTTATAAATAGAAATTACCTTGGGCTATGAAACTATTTCCGAAATGATTATAACCACAACAGAAAAGGAAGGAAACAGTGAAACTATTTGTTTTATTTTTTTGAAAGTTTCTGTAACTTTATTTTGATAAAATTTCAAATTTACTAAAAAACTGCAGAAAACCCCCGGAACTCCAATATATTCTTTACCAGATTTACCAACTGTGTGCATTTGGCTCCATTTGTTCTACTTCTCTTTACGTGTGATAGTATATATGCATATTTTTTCCTGTGCCATTAGAAGAGTAAGTTTGAGATACCATGTCTGTTTACCCTTAAATATATCAGCATATTTCCTAAGAACAAGGGCATTCCCTTATGTAACCACAGAACAGTTGTCAAAATGAGGTCACTTAGCATTAATCCAATGTTGTTGTCAAATCCACAGTCTGTAACCATACTTCATCAATTGTCCCAATAATCTTTTTTTTTTTTGGCGATAGAGTCTCACTCTGTCGCCCCCAGGCTGGAGTGCAATGGTGTGATCTTGGCTCACTACAACCTCCGCCTCCTGGGTTCAAGCGATTCTCCTGCCTCAGCCTCCCGAGTAGCTGGGATTACAGGCATGAGCCACTGCACCTGGCCCTCTTTCATGTCCTTTTAATCTGAAACAGTTCCTCAGCCTTTCTTTGTTTTCATGACATTGACATTTTGAGAGCTTATAGGTCCATTATTGTATAAATTGTCTCAGTCTGGGTGTGTCTGCTTCTCTTCATGATTGGATTCAGGTCATGCATTCTTGGGCATCAGCGCCATTGACTTGGTGTGTTGTTCCCCATGCATCAGATCAGATGTCCTGTGCCATCTGTCCTGGCTTTTTAAAAAATAGAGACAAGTGTCTTGCTCTGTCACTCAGACTGGTGGTGTAATCATAGCTCACTGTAACCTTGAACTCCTGGGTTCCAATGATATCGCCTTAGCCTCCCCAGTAGCTAGGGCTGCTGATACATGCCACCGTACCTGGCTAATTTAAAAAGATTATGTGTAGAGACAGAGTCTCACTACCTTGCTCAGGTGAGTCTCAAACTCTTGGCCTCCTAAAGTGCTGAGATTATAGGTGTGAGCCACCACTCCTCGCTGGTGATGTTAGCTTTGATCACTTGGCTGAGGTGTGTCCCTCAGGTTTCTCCGGCATAAGATTAACTATTTTGCTTCATGTAATTAATAAGGAATTTGTAGGAGACACTTTCAAACTGTGTAAAAATCCATTCCTCATTGAGCTTTCCCCACTGGTGTAAGCATCTGTTGATCATTTCCTAGCTCCATTGGTCTCTCCTTACTAGGTGACTTCCCAAGAGCTTTCCTCCTCCTCCATTAATTTCTATGTTTGTTTATTTGTACCTATATGGGCTAGTGGATTTCTCTTTTATTCAGTGAGTTATAATCCATTGTTCTCATTATTTGGATGAGTAAATTGTTCCAGATTGAGTCAGTGGGAGCCTATTCAGGCTGGCTACTGTTTCTTTTAGACACGTCCCAGTATTTCTTTGAGAACTTTCTTTCTAGTCCAGCAAGATGCTGCAGGCTCATCTTGTACTTTCTAGTAAGTCCTGGAAGCCATTTGTTTTTAATGAATGCATTGATACAGTGCATTCCAAAATTTTATTTTGTGTTAATACTACTAGTTGGGATTTATTTGTGTTATTTGGAACTTTTGTTTACATGTTCTTTGGAGAGAAGACCTTGTGATCATCTCATGAGTAACTTTCTTTTTATGATATGTGAATACTCATTATAAATAGGTAATACAGATTTACCTTGTACATAATTTAAGCTAGGGGTTACGTACTAAAGCAGCTGTTACTCTTTAACACTAATTGTGTACTTGAAATTTTAATTTGTATAACAACCTTGTAGAACATGGGGCAGTGTGCCCTTGTTAAATGTAGGAAACTGAGGCTCAGAGGTTAATATACTGGTCCAGTGTCATGTGGCTAATGAATGGTTGAGCCAGAGTTTCAATTCAGTTTAGTCTGACTTCAAAGCTTACTTTTTCTGATACCCTTTGTTATGACATAACACATTTTCTTACTCTAAATTATAGAATTAGTTGAATAACAAAAAGGTTTTTTGTTTGTGTGTTTGATTTTGAGACGGAGTCTTGCTCTGTCACCCAGGCTGGAGTGCAGTGGCACGATCTCAGCTCACTGCAAGCTCCGCCTCCCAGGTTCATGTCATTCTCCTGCCTCAGCCTCCCGAGTAGCTGGGACTACAGGTGCCTGCCACCATGCTGGGCTAATTTTTTGTATTTTTAGTAGAGACGGGGTTTCACCATGTTAACCAGGATGGTCTCGATCTCCTGACCTCGTGATCTGCCCACCTCGGCCTCCCAAAGTGCTGGGATTACAGGCGTGAGCCACTGCACCTGGCCAACAAAAAGTTTATTTCTGGCTTAAGGTCTTTCTCCTGCCGCGTAATTCTGTGTCTGTATGAAAATCAAGTCTGAAGAATTAAAGTACGTGGTTCTCAGAGGAAAGCTGACTTGTTTTTATTAGAGTGGTTCTGCTGTTCTGGTGTTTCTTGAATTACCCAGAAATGCCCTAACCTTGTTATTTTCTTCCTATAGGAACTTGCTTGCTAGAAAACAAAGTGCAAGGCTTGACAAACACAATGACTTGGGATGGAAGTTATTTGGGAAAGCGCCACTCCGAGAGAATGCCCAGAAGGATTCAAAGAGAATACAGAAGGTACACAAGATACAAAATCACAGAAATAGGCTGTTGGATGTGTTTAGCATATATTCATGAACCTTGCAAAAATGACCATATTGAGTCTGAAACTGGAAATCGCTTTGTATTATCTGCATACCACGTTCCTCAGATTTAAGTCTGTATTCACAATGTGGATGAATTTAACCTTCATTTCTTACAGCTTGTAACATGCACATAGGAAAGTCCATTTGACAGAGGTCGGCTTTAGATGTTTATAATGGTATTTAGACAGAGCTGGGCTCTAGATGTTTATAACTGTATTTAATCAGTTTTAGTAATAGTTGCAAATGTGTTTATCATCAAATTTGTATTGTTTGATAGTAAAGCTTTCTCCCGTGGGTTTCTTGGAGCTCACATCCTTCCTGTGCTACTCTGGGACAGGAAGGCGAGGGCCGACATTCCCCGGCTCTGCTGGGATGCCTCTCCCTTGCTCACCCTGAGGCTGCCTACTTTTGGGGTGGGGATGGGGTTCATGCCAGGCCTGCATGTCCTCACCACTGGGCTGCCTTGCTCCTTACGGTGGGAGAGATGCCACTGCTGGAGGCTTGCTTGTGCACGGACACAGCAAGTCCACGGCCCAGGTAGCTGTGACCGTCGCTGCCTGCAGCTTCTCTTAGGCTGTGGGTCTCAGCCGGCTCGGCATCCTAAGAGTCTGCTGTCTGCCCCAAGTGTCGCGACATTGCCCCCAGCACCCTCGCTCCTCCAGCTTCAGTTTTATATTCATTGACATTTGCTCAGTAGACACTCTTGAGGCTCCACTAAGCGCCAGGCCTCATGCTTGGCACCGGAGTTGGAAGGGACACAGTACCCGTGCCCAACAGTGTCCCCATGGAAATGATTCCAGGGCAGGCGCAGGAGGAGTGGGGTGGCACAGACAACTGAGGTTAAAGGTGTGACAGGAAATTAATTGCTATGGGGATCATGTACTGAGTGATTACTGTGTGCTAGTTCTAACGGACTCAGCACTCGTGTTTCTAGTTCCTTTAAAACTCGCAACAACCTTGTGAAGAAGATAGTATTATTAAACTCAGTTTACCAAAGAAGCACTGAGACACAGAGGCTGTGTGACTTGATGTGCAGGGTCACATTGCTAGTAAGTAGCACAGCTGGAAACCGGTCCCAGACAGTGGGATGCCAGGACCCCTTTTGCAGGCAGGGCCAGGCAGGTAGTGGGGACAGCATGAGCTAAGGACAATGTGCAGCTGAGCCCAGGAGGCTGACCGCCGGGAGGAGGCTGACCGCCGAGAGGAGGCTGACTGCCGGGAGGAGGCTGGCCATGGGGCCTGTGCGCTGCACCCGGTAGCCTGCCTCCAACCCCAAGGCTTTGCAGAGCCTCTGAGTGTTTTACGTAGGTAAGGAGTGATGGCATCACCCTGGCAAGAATATGGCTCTTGGACCAGCCCAGGCAAGAGAAAGTGGGGTCTGGCCCAGTGCTGCGTCGTGGGGTTACAGAGGATGCCCCTTTAAGTGCTAAATGGATGGGATTGACTTGCTGGGTGACCTGTTAGGTGTAGGGAGTGGTTTGTTGGGGGTGAGGCGGGAGCGCAGTGTTGAGGCTTCTGGGCAACAAAGTGGGTTTCCACATGCCACATTCTTCACGCGTCGGCAGGTTAAATTTGGTTTGAGTGTTGTCTGCCATTCTCTGCTGTAATCATCTGGACCCAGGGGACTCACTAAGTAAATCAGTGTTGGAATTCATTTTTGTTGATTGTTACATTTTGAATTTGAATCACTTATTGTGTAGGCTTATTAAAATAGCATACAATTAAAGTATGATGAGTTTGTATGCAAAGCTTAGCTATAAATTTCTTAGGAAATTAAATAACCAAGCTGCTATAAAGTTTTTAAAGAAATCACTTTAAAAAAGCAACAATTACATTAAAAAGAAATAGATCTTCCCATGGCACTTAATATCACTTACATAATGTTTGAACTTGTTTGTCTTTTTAAGACCCTGTTTTTTTTTCTTTTTTTTGAGACGGAGTCTCACTCTGTCGCCCAGGCTGGAGTGCAGTGGTGCGATCTTGGCTCGCTGCACGCTCCGCCTCCCGGATTCATGTCATTCTCCTGCCTCAGCCTCCCCAGTAGCTGGGACTACAGGTGCCCACCACCGCGCCTGGCTAACTTTTTGTATTTTTAGTAGAGACGGGGTTTCAACATGTTAGCCAGGATGGTCTCAATCTCCTGACCTTGTGATCCACCTGCCTCGGCCTCCCAAAGTGCTGGGATTACAGGCATGAGCCACCATGCCCGGCCCGACCCTGTTTTTTTTTTGAGGGGAGCATGGATTATGTTCTTGACCTTAGAGGATTTTTTTTTTTCTGTGAACTGAAATGACTAGGCCAGTTCATTATGCGGTAACACAATATTGCCAAGAGGAGGACCATCTGCTTCCGTCGTCAATAATAAAGAATGTAACTTACCTGCGCGAGTCATTCAATCCTGCCCGGGACCTGCTTGCTTGTCTCTGGCCCTCTCATCGCTCATCTCCCAACCCAAGGGACTTGGTGAAGCCTGGGAGGGGCTCAGGGTCAGGGACTCAGCACTGTGGGGAGGCCTCTGCGCTGCTGGCTGGGGCTGGCTGCTGTCATAGGCATGGGCTCACACAGCCTGCACTTGAGAGAGGCAGGCGCTGGGGCCATGACAGCCTAGACTTGTGATCAGGATGGTGACAATAACTCCAGTCAGGGCCGAAGCCTAGAGAAAGTGTTGAGGAAATTCCTTTTCCTTCTCTGGAAGTTTTCTTATTACTTGAGAGAGCAACATCACGTGGTGACATAAGAACTTGGACTTTGGAGTTAGACTACCAGGGTTTGTATCCCAGCTCTGCTACGGTTTGGTTGTGTGACTTTGGGCAAGTTATTTAACCTTTCTGAGCCTCATTTTCCTCATCTCTACAGTATGGAGAACAGTAGCACCTGCCTCCATGGTGGTGAGGATTAAACGGGTGAATACACACACGCACTCAGAATAGTAGTGGACATAGAAAGTATTTGCTGTTACCGTTGTTTCTTTCTTATGACAAGTCAACCTTGAACAACAGGAAATGGAACAACGGAACACAGTGCAAGAGAATGAGCCTGAGCTCTTCAGTGCATTCTTCATCTGCTTGGCCAACAAGTACTGAGCCATGTTGAGGCCAGGTCTTGTGCTGCGCACTGGGAGCCCAAGAGCAGTTGGGTTGACCTACCTCAAGGAGCCTGTGGCTGAGCTGGGGTCAGGTGTTCACACTGGCCAGGAGCTTTGGACCTGCCTCAAGGAGCCCGTGGCTGAGCTGGGGTCAGGTGTGCACACTGGCCAGGAGCTTTGGACCTGCCTCAAGGAGCCCGTGGCTGAGCTGGGGTCAGGTGTGCACACTGGCCAGGAGCTTTGGACCTGCCTCAAGGAGCCCGTGGTTGAGCTGGGGTCAGGTGTGCACACTGGCCAGGAGCTTTGGACCTGCCTCAAGGAGCCCGTGGTTGAGCTGGGGTCAGGTGTGCACACTGGCCAGGAGCTTTGGACCTGCCTCAAGGAGCCTGTGGTTGAACTGGGGTCAGGTGTTCACACTGGCCAGGAGCTTTGGACCTGCCTCAAGGAGCCTGTGGCTGAGCTGGGGGTCAGGTGTTCACACTGGCCAGGAGCTTTGGACCTGCTTCAAGGAGCCTGTGGTTGAGCTGGGGTCAGGTGTGCACACTGGCCAGGAGCTTTGGACTTGCAGGCTTGGGTTTGGTTTCTGGCTTCACCACTTTTTGTCTCTGTTGAGCCAATGACTACTTCTCAGTTTCCTCATCTGCTAAACAGGCATTATGACATCTACTTGCTTAATTGTTCTACACTAAGGGATAATGCGCATGTGGTGTATTTTTGCCCAGGGTTGAACACAGTGAGTCGCCCGGCGTTACTAGTCAAGGAATGGATGTCTTGACTTTTAATCAATAGGTCCGATTTGTGGTGTTGATCCCATATGTGGTTTGCCCAGGACATTTGCCCAGTACATCGGATTTTATTCTAACTGGGCTGCATTCTTTTGGCTTGGGCCTTATATATTACTATTTTGGGGAAATATTGAAATGTTAACTTTTAGTTATCTTTTCAAATTGCATAAACATTTTGAAAATTAAGTCATATTTTTTGTTAACCTCGATGGTAGTTTGAGAGCGATTTTCTTAACAGGGGAAACAAAAATGACCACGGGTAGGAGAATAACAGTACAACAGTGGCTGTCCAGTTGCGGTCCCCGGAGTAGTCACATCAGCATCACCCGGGCATTTGCTAGAAATGCACGTTCTCGGGCCTTACTCCAGACACATCAAACCAAGTTCTGGGGCTGGGGCCCAACAAGTTTTGTTTTAACAGAAGCTACAGGTCATTCTAATGCATGCCAAAATTTAAGAACTATCGGTATGCAGGAAGAGAATGTTAGCTATTGGAAGGAAAATAGCCATCTTTGCCACAGCAGGTTAAATAAAGGGCCCAAAGCCCACCGGCCAGGCAAATTTCAGTAACTGCTGGTGAACCGGAGAAGTTATTGTGGATAAAGATGGGAGCATGTATTTGGAGAGAGCTGCCTTCAGGCCTCTGGTTGCTGGCTTTGTATGAGCTGGACTCTGGCCAGGGCAGCATGGATGGTGACACTGCCTCGGAAGTGCAGTCCTTTGCCTTGTGAGTAAAGGGGAACCTTCTTTCTTGGATTCCATGGCCCTTTTGTTTGTTTCACAGATTTGAGCCTCTGAGTAGATCCATCCTGAGATTACAGTGAAGGGCAAAGACTTCTGTGGCCCTTGCCTTCGTTGGAATTTACCATGGGTCAAGGAAAAGACAGATTTAAACAAATAACTCTACATATAATTATAGTTGTGATCAATGTTGTGAAGAATTGCGGTGATAAGCAATTCTTATCTCTGAGGTCACCTGTTTCAAGTGACTGTCAGCCGCCGGCCACCAAATGCAAGCGTCTGTTCTCAGCCCTCGTCTTCCTTGGCCATCAGCAGCATTACCCCGGCTCCTTGAGTGACTTTCTTGCCTCGGCTTCCAGGCTGCCCGTTCGCCCACCTTTTCGGTTTCCTTTGCTAGGTCCCTCATCTTCCCCATCCTCTAAATGTTAGAGTGCCTGGAAGGCCCTTCCCTGTCCACTGTCACCCTCTAGGGCAAGCTTGTCCAACCCGCCTTAGTTTTTTGTTGTTCTGCTTTGTTGAGGCTTTTAGCAGTCTGAAGCTATGGTTTTTGTTTTCTGTATCTAGAAGCGGAAAAGAGGGATGAGGAAGGGGCTTTACTGGCCCAATCAGAAACAGAAACTAAGAACCCATGACTGTATTCTCTCTCTTGGACACCCCTGGGGCATCTCAGCTGGACTCGAAGCTTCAGCGGTCAGGCTGCCGCCCTGTCTCCAGTTGGGACCTACCTCCTGCCCAAAAATGACCATTTAAAAAGTAAAAGTGATGCTTTGTAATTTGAGCAGGTGTCAGAGGCTCAGGGCTGAAAATACGTGGGGATGCTTTACAACAGACTCGGTAACTCTTTCCGACATAACACTGTGTACATAGGCTGTAGGGATTGACGTCGTTGTTGGAAATGAGGTTGAGCGGAAAGTTAATGTCCTGGTTGGACTCTGAGGGTGCTGCTGATTGTTGGAAAGATAGCCGCAGGGAGGATAGGCTTGTAGGTTTCAGTGTCCTGGATGAAACCCTGTCATGTGAGCACCGATGAGTACATGGCCTGTTGTGTTAGCATTTGTATAGCCTGGAATGTCTTGGGCGGCCTTCTGGAATTTCAAGTCAGCTCTTAGATTTTAAAGCAAGAATCCCAGAAGAAGGCAGATCCAGGACAGTGACATTTTCTCTCCTCACCTCTGAGAAGTCTGGGGTACTCCAAAAGTCTCAAAACATTGTAGATTGCAGCAAGGATAGGTCTTGGTGGTCAGTGGAAGTAATTGGCTGCTGGCCTACAGGCAAATTCTAAAATAACAAGAAAAAACTTCACTTTCATTATCCCTTACGCCTTTGCAAAATGGGTTTGAAAGAGCTTACAGAAGTGAACAGGTCCCGGTCCCAGGTTAGACGGAATAAGCACATTCCACCCGGTGTCACCCAATGAATGCAGATATAAAACCTGAACAGAAAGCATGGAGCAGCTATTTGAGATTCTGGAAAGTAAACAGTGGCAGGTGAGTTGGGGAAGAAGACCAGAATTTGAAGTACCACTGGATTGGTACTGAGTTTACCAATTTTTTTTTCCCTTCCAATATTTCTCAGCCTGAACTCAGGCAGACCCAAACCCAGGAATAGGTCTTAATGTGGACAGAGAGCACCAGGAGAAGCTCTGTACTTCTGACTTGGCGAATGGGTCTCTAACACTTAGAATGAAGAAACCCCATTTTTTAGTTTTATTTATTTATTTATATTTATATTTTATTTTGAGACAGAGTCTCACTCTGTCACCCAGGCTGAAGTGCAGTGGCGCAATCTTGGCTTACTGCAACCTCCACCTCCTGGGTTCAAGTGATTCTCCTGCCTCAGCCTCCTGAGTAGCTGGGACTACAGGCGTGCACCACCACCCCCGGCTCATTTTTATATTTTTAGTAGAAATGGGGTTTCATCATGTTGGCCAGGCTGGTCTCGAACTCCTGACCTCAGGTGATCCACCTGCCTTGGCCTCCCAGAGTGCTGGGATTACAGACATGAGCCGCTGGGATTACAGACATGAGCCGCTGCGCCCAGGCCTAGTTTTATTTTTTACTCTGTCCTCTTGCACCCCAGCCCTCAGGCATTCTTATGAGAGCAGCAGCTGATGGGAGCCTGAGACTCCCAGAAAAGGGGAGCTGATTAGAAGAATTTTGTTTCCAAGGGGTAAAGTGTGAACCCCCCGATGCTTTATTCTCTCTCTCTCCCCATTACCTGGCCCAGATATGGATGCAGTTGTGGGAAGCGTGTGGCTAGAGAACCAGAAAAGGGGAGACCCAGGAAACTAGAAAGTACTGGGGGGATTGCAGAGAGGAGGAGCTCAGGAAGGTAACCCTTTAAGGTGTTAATGAACTCCCAGACTTCTCGTCATGTTGTGGGTACCCAGATCTGACGCTGAGTAGCTTACGTAGACTTGGAGAACTCATCTCTGGGATAGACCACCATGCAGTTCCCTAACTGGCCACTGGATGGTGCACAGGCAGGATGGATCCAAAAAGCGCTTCAAAGGCTTTGAAAACAGCTGACTTGGGAACCACAACTCACAGAAGGCTGGCTGGAACTTGTGTGTGGAATCTAACTGCATAAATTGCTTACTAAGATAAAAACGTCAACATTCTCCCAAGGGTTGAGAGAAAATTCAGAGTTTCTTAACACAATATTGAAAATGTCTAGAATGCAGTTCAAAATTAATTGGCTTAAGAACTAGAATCATCTTTAAAAAAAAAAAATTTCCTCTGAATCAGAATAGGTTCAGATAGGATCGTCTTTTTTTGTGTGTCTGTTTTGTTTGTTTGTTTGTTTTTGTTTTGTTTTGTTTTGTTTGAGATGGAGTCTTGCTCTGTTGCCCAGGCTGGAGTGCAGTGGTGTGATCTCAGCTCACTGCAACCTCTGCCACCCAGGTTCAAGTGATTCTCCTGCCTCAGCTTCCCAAGCAGCTGGGATTACAGGCGCCCGTCACCATGCCTGGCTAACTTGTTTGTATTTTTAGTAGAGACAGGGTTTCACTATGTTGGCCAGGCTGGTTTTGAACTCCTGACCTCAAGAGATCCGCCCATCTTGGCCTCCCAAAGTGCTAGGATTACAGGCATGAGCCGCCGCGCCCGGCCTGTTTTTTGTTTTTGAGATAGGGTCTTGCTCTGTCCCCCAGGCTGGAGTGCAGTGGCGCATCTCAGCTCACTGCAACATCTGCCTCCCAGGCTCAAGCGATCCTCCCATCTCAGCCTCGTGAGTAACCGGGACTACAGGCACGTGACACCACACCTGGCTAATTTTGTATATTTTTTGTAGAGACAAGGTTTTGCCATGTTGCCCAGGCTGGTCTTGAACTCCTGGATTCAAGTGATCTGCCTGCCTCAGCCTCCCCAAAGTGCTGGGATTACAGGTGTGAGCCACTGCGCCTGGCCAGGATCATCTTTTAATAATCAAGACACCACTGCCGAGATAACACAGATGTTGGAATTATTCAATAGACTTTAAAGCAGTCATTATAAAAATGCTCCAACAAGTAAGGGTGCACACTTCTGAGATGGGAAAATAGAAAGTATCAGTAAAGGAAAAGAAACTATAAAAAGAATTAAGTGGAAATTTTGTAACTGAAAAATACACTAACTGAAATAAACTAACCAGACAGGCTCAATAGCAGAATGGAGATGGTAGAGGAAAGAGTGAAGGAATTTTAAGATCAATAGAAATTATCCAATCCAGGCTGGGAGTGGTGGCTCACACCTGTAATCCCAGCACTTTGGGAGGCTGAGGCGGGTGGATCACCTGAGCTCAGGAGTTCGAGACCAGCCTGGCCAATGTGGCGAAACCCCATCTCTACTAAAAATACAAAAATTAACCAGGTGTGGTGGCAGGTGCCTGTAATCCCAGCTACTTGGGAGGCTGAGACAGGAGAATCACTTGAACCCAGGAGCCGGAGGTTGCAGTGAGCCGAGATCGTGCCACTGCACTCCATTCTGGGTGACAGAGCACTCTGTCTCAAAACAAAACAAAAAACAGAAATTATCCAGTCTGCATAGTACAGAGAAAAAAATGAGTTTAAAAAATGAACAGAGCCTTAGGAACATGTGGGGCAGTACTAAAAAGTATAACACTGTCACTGGAGTGTCAGAAGGAGAGGAGAAACAATATGATGCAGACAACTATTGGAGTAAATGATGGCTGAATATCTCCCACATTTAGCAAAAGATAGAAACCTATAGATTCAGGAAATTCAGTGGCCGCCAAACAAAATAAACTCTAAAAAGTAAGAAGTCCATGTCCAGATACATCATAACCAAATTGCTGAAAATAAAGACAAAAAAATCATATAAGCAACCAGAGAAGAACAATGTCATACTTATTGGGGAATAACAATTTGACTGAATTTCTCATCAGAAACCGTGGAGGCCAGAAAAAGTAAAACGATATTGTTAGAGCGCCGAAAAGAACTGTCAACCCAAATTCTGTATCCAGCAAAAATGCCCTTCAGGAATGAAAGTGAAATAAAGATATTCTCAGGTGATGAAAAACGAAGAATTTGTTGCCAGCAGCAGACTTGCTGAAAGAAGTTGTTCAGATAGAAGGGCCTGTATGCTAGGAGGAGACTTGGAACATCAGGAAAGAAGGGGAGCAGAAATTGTCAGGATCTGGATAAATACAGTAGACTATTTTCCTTTTGTTTTAACTGAAAGCAAGTAGATGTTGCCTTTAAATATACAATAACAATGTGCTATAACACGATTAGAGTAGAAAGAGCAATAAACAATTTGCCGTATAATTATAATGCAAAGTTGGTGACTTAAAACACCATAAATATAAAGACATTCACAAAACCACAGTTGAATATACATAACTCTCATTTCCTGGGAAACACAATTTTAAATAAATAGTTGAGTTCCCCAATGGACTATCAATCCCGGAGAAGAAAATCAGGGCGCTCCCTCCTCTCCCTCTCCCTCCTCTCCCTCTCCCTCCTCTCCCTCTCCCTCTCCCTCTCCCCACTGTCTCCCTCTCCCCACGGTCTCCCTCTCCCCACGGTCTCCCTCTCCCTCTCTTTCCACGGTCTCCCCCTGATGCCGAGCCAAAGCTGGACTGTACTGCTGCCATCTCGGCTCACTGCAACCTCCCTGCCTGATTCTCCTGCCTCAGCCTGCCGAGTGCCTGCGATTGCAGGTGCGCGCCGCCACGCCTGACTGGTTTTCGTATTTTTTTGGTGGAGACGGGGTTTCGCTGTGTTGGCCGGGCTGGTCTCCAGCTCCTAACCGCGAGTGATCCGCCAGCCTCGGCCTCCCGAGGTGCCGGGATGGCAGACGGAGTCGCGTTCGCTCAGTGCTCAATGGTGCCCAGGCTGGAGTGCAGTGGCGTGATCTCGGCTCGCTACAACCTCCACCTCCCAGCTGCCTGCCTTGGCCCCGCAAAGTGCCGAGATTGCAGCCTCTGCCCGGCCGCCACCCCGTCTGGGAAGTGAGGAGCGTCTCTGCCTGGCCGCCCATCGTCTGGGATGTGAGGAGCCTCTCTGCCTGGCTACCCAGTCTGGAAAGTGAGGAGCGTCTCTGCCCGGCCGCCATCCCATCTAGGAAGTGAGGAGCGTCTCTGCCAGGCCGCCATCCCATCTAGGAAGTGAGGAGCGTCTCTGCCAGGCCGCCATCCCATCTAGGAAGTGAGGAGCGTCTCTGCCAGGCCGCCATCCCATCTAGGAAGTGAGGAGCGTCTCTGCCAGGCCGCCATCCCATCTAGGAAGTGAGGAGCGTCTCTGCCCGGCCGCCCATCGTCTGAGATGTGGGGAGCGCCTCTGCCCTGCCGCCCCGTCTGGGATGTGAGGAGCGTCTCTGCCCGGCCGCCCCGTCTGAGAAGTGAGGAGACCCTCTGCCTGGCAACCGCCCCGTCTGAGAAGTGAGGAGCCCCTCCGCCCGGCAGCCACTCCGTCTGGGACGTGAGGAGCGACTCCGCCCGGCAGCCACCCCGTCTGGGAGGGAGGTGGGGGTCAGCCCCCCGCCTGGCCAGCCGCCCCATCCGGGAGGGAGGTGGGGGGGTCAGCCCCCCGCCCGGCTAGCCGCCCCGTCCGGGAGGTGAGGGGCGCCTCTGCCCGGCCGCCCCTACTGGGAAGTGAGGAGCCCCTCTGCCCGGCCACCACCCCGTCTGGGAGGTGTACTCAACAGCTCATTGAGAACGGGCCATGATGACAATGGCGGTTTTGTGGAATAGAAAGGGGGGAAAGGTGGGGAAAAGATTGAGAAATCGGATGGTTGCTGTGTCTGTGTAGAAAGAGGTAGACATGGGAGACTTCTCATTTTGTTCTGTACTAAGGAAAATTCTTCTGCCTTGGGATCCTGTTGATCTGTGACCTTACCCCCAACCCTGTGCTCTCTGAAACATGTGCTGTGTCCACTCAGGGTTGAATGGATTAAGGGCGGTGCAAGATGTGCTTTGTTAAACAGATGCTTGAAGGCAGCATGCTCGTTAAGAGTCATCACCACTCCCTAATCTCAAGTACCCAGGGACACAAACACTGCGGAAGGCCGCAGGGTCCTCTGCATAGGAAAACCAGAGACCTTTGTTCACTTGTTTATCTGCTGACCTTCCCTCCACTATTGTCCCGTGATCCTGCCAAATCCCCCTCTGCGAGAAACACCCAAGAATGATCAATTAAAAAAAAAAAAAAAAAAGAAAAGAAAATCAGGGCACATAATAAATTATCATGAAAAGAATCTAGAAAATGAAATGACGTGTGCATGGGGTTCTTATTCCTATTGAGATTGATTTGGGGAACGTTTTCAAATCAGTAGACTGTTTTCTTAATGAGTTATTTAAAAATATGTTTGAAAGCAAAAATGATAATGTCTGGCGTTTGCAGTGTATGTAGATGTTAATATGTAGGACAAGTGAAATACAAAAGGGGACAAGGTGTGGTGATGAAGTTTCTGCATTCCACTTGAAGTAGTAAAATACTGATTCTAAGTAGATTGTGAAAAGTTAATATGTATATTGTAATCCTTAGACCAACCACTAAACTATACAAAGAGATGGCAAAAAACATAATAGAGAAATCAAAATGGAGTTCTAAAAAAAGTTCAAAAAGCTTGAATCAAGACAGGAAAGAAGACATGGAGGAAGAAAAAAAGAGAAAACAAATGAGATGGTAGACCTAAATTCAAACATATCAACAACTACATTAAATGTAAATGATCTGAACACAGCAGTTGTGTGTCTCAATACTCAGTTCTGACAGATTGTCAGAATGGGTTAAAAAAATGGGCTGGGTGTGTTGGCTTGCACCTGTAATCCCAGCACTTTGGGAGGCCGAGGCAGACGATTACTTGAAGCCAGGAGTTCCAGACCAGCCTGATAAGCATAGTGAGACCCTGTCTCTATTGAAAAAATTTACTTGGGCATGGTGATACACACCTGTAGTCCTAGCTGGTCAAGAGACTGAGGCAGGAGGATCGCTTGAGCCCAGGAGTTTGAGGTTACAGTGAACTGATTTTACCCCTGCATGCTAGCCTGAGTGACAGAGTGAGACCCTATCTCAAAAAAAACACAAAACCATAGACCCAACTATGTATATGTTGTCTGCAAGAAACTCACTTCAAATATAGAATATGTAGATTAAAATAAAAAGATAGAAAAAGATATACCATGAAAATACTAATCAAAATTAAGATAAGTCTATTAATATAATAAAAATTAAGATAGGTCTATTAATATTATAAAAAGTAGACTTCAGAACAAAATTACCAGAGATAAAGTGGGACATTACCTAATGAAGACATAATGATTCTAAATGTATTTGCACTTCATAACAGAGCTGCAAAATACATGAAGCAAAGTCTATTAGATCTGAAACAAATGGACACGTCCACATTTATAATGGGAGTGTCAACAGTCCTCACTAAACAGTAAGTGATAGAACTGTAGACAGAATCAGCCAGGACATAGAAATGAACACCATCAACCAACCTGATCTAATTCACAATTTATAGAACACAGCACCCTCCAGCAAAAGCAGAATACAGTTTTTTCAAATGTACATGGAACATTCACCAAGACAGACCATATTCTGGGATATAAGAGAAGCTTAAAAATTTCAAAAGGATTAAAATTATACAAAATATGTTCTGACCAGAGTGATATTAGACTAGAAAACAGTGACAGAAAAATAATTGCCTCCCCAAACTTGCACATTAAACAAGTAGCATACTTCTAAATCATGGGCCCATGAGGAAGTCACAAGGAAAATTAGAAAATATTTTGAAGCGAACGAGAACACAACATACCAAAATTTGTAGGTTGCAGTGCTTAGAGGGAAACGTATAGCATTAAAATGCTCACATAGAAAAGAAAAAAGGTCTCAGATCAGTAATCAAAGTTTCTACCTGAAGAAAGTATAAACAGAGCAAATAAACCCAAAGCAAGCAAAAGGAAGCAAGTAATAAGTGTGAGAACAGATATCCGTACAATTAAAAACAAAAATGATAGACCGAAAGCTGGGGCTTTGAAATGATCAACAAAATTGATTAAACTCTAGCAAAACTGACAAAAAGAGAATAAAATTAGCAAAAGGAATGAAAAAAGGGGATACCACTACAGACTCCACAAAAATAAGACAATAGAATGTTATAAATAACTTGTCTTTTTTTTTTTTTGATACGGAGTCTCGCTTTGCCACCCAGGCTGGAGTGCAGTGGTGTGATCTCGGCTCACTGCAACCTCTGCCTACCGGGTGCATGCCATTCTTCTGCCTCAGCCTCCCAAGTAGCTGGGACTACAGGCGCCCGCCACCACGCCCGGCTAATTTTTTGTATTTTTAGTAGAGACGGGGTTTCACCGTGTTAGCCAGGATGGTCTCGATCTCCTGAACTTGTGATCCACCCGCCTTGGCCTCCCAAAGTGCTGGGATTACAGGCGTGAGCCACCGCGCCCGGCCTCTGTCTCTTTTTTTTTTTTTTTTTTTAAAGACTGAGTCTTGCTCTGTTGCTCAGGCTGGAGTGCAGTGGTGCGACCTCAGCTCACTGCAACCTCTGCCTCCTGGGTTCAAGTGATTCTCATGCCTCAGCCACCCGAGTAGCTGGGATTACAGGCATGTACCACCACGCCCAGCTAATTTTTGTATTTTTAGTAGAGACAGGGTTTTGCCATGTTGGCCAGGGTGGTCTAGAATTCCTGGCCTCCAGTGATCCACCTGCCTAAGCTTCCCAAAGTGCTGGGATTACAGGTGTGAGGTACTGCACCAGCCACATAAATTTGATAACTTAGATGAAACCGTCCATTTCCTTGAAAATTGCAAATCACCAAAATTCATCCAAGATGAAATAGATAACCTGAATCATCCTGGAATTTATTAAAGAAGGACTAGATGGTTTCACTGATGAATCCTACTGAACATTTAAAGAAAACACCAATTTGAGAAGAAGACGGAGTACGTACTTCCTCACTCATTTTAAAGGCCAATCTTACCCTGCTATCAAAACCAGATGAATACAGTACCAAAAAAACTACAGGCAAATATCCCTTTTGAAGACACACAAAAAATTCTCAACACAGTATTAACAAATTGAATCCCATAATACATTAAAAAGTTACAACCATGACAAAGTGACGTTTAGCCCAGGAACACAAGGCTGGGTCAGTGTTTGAAAATCGATCAGTGTCAGCTACCATACTACCAATTTAAAGAAAACCACACGATCCTATCAGTTGGTGCAGCAAAAGCATTTGATAGAATTCAGTGTCCATTCCTCACAAAAACTCTCAGCAAAGAAGAAATGGAAGAGAACTTCCCCCACCTGATAAAGAGCATCTACAGGAAACAGCTACAGCTAACATGCTTAATGGAGAAAGACTGAAGGCCTTCCCCTAACATTGAAAACAAGACAAGGATGTCCGCTCTTACTATTCCTGTTCAACATTGTATCGGAAGTCCTAGCTGGTACCTTGCTTGTGGTAATGCACAATGGTACAGCCATTCTGGAAAACCAGTTGGGAGGTTTCTTTAGGTGAAACATATACTTAGAATTAGCCCAGCAATCCCACTCTTAGGTGTTTGCCATCGAGAAATGAAAACTTATGTTTGCACAAAAATCTGTACATGTTTATAGCAGCTCTTTTCATAATCTTCAAGAAATGGAAACAACCCAAATGCCTTTCAATGAATGGATGAATGGTGGTACATTCCATACAACGAAATATGACTCAGTAATAAACACACCTAATACCTTGGGTGAACCTCGGGCATTATCTGAAGGTAAAAGTCAGTCTCGAAAGTTTGCGTGCTGTGATTTCATTTGTATCACATACTTGAAAAGACAAAGTTGTAGTGATGGAGAACAGATTCACAGTGCCAGGGGTGGGGTAGGGTGTGACTACCGAGGGCTAACACAAAGGAGGTTTTGAGAGTGATCCAACTGTTTTATATCTTGATTGTCATAATGGTGGCTACAAGGCAACATTTTAGAAGTCATAGGACTATATACACTAAAAAGCTAACTGTATGTTAATTCAAAAAATTAACATGAATTAATGGATCATTTAGGGTTCTTTTGACCCAGCATTTCCACTTCTGTTAATTTCTCCTACAGATGAATACGCATATAGGTGAAATGACAGTTGTATAAGGGTATTGATCGCAGCACAAGTGATTGGAAGCTATCTAAATGTTTGGCAGGGAATTGGTGAAATCCTAAATGAAATACTGCACCGACCTCACAAAGCAAGATGGATCACTATTTGTATAGTGTGGTCTATGTGGCTAAAGATACACACACATCCTCATAAATGCAGAGACCATATTTGGAAGGGTACTTACAAAATAGCTATTAGTGGAATTTCTTTGGAGAGGAGAACAAACTGGGTACATGGGAGATAGGAGGGAGACCTACTTTCCACTGTATACACTTTTGTACCTTTTGTATTTTGTTCTGTGTACATGTCTACTTAAAAGAATTTTTTTTTTTGAGACAAAGTCTTGTTCTGTTGCCCAGACTGGAGTGCAGTGGCACGATCTCGCCTCACTGCAACCTCTGCCTCCTGGGTTCAAGCAATTTCTGGCTAATTTTTGTATTTTTAGTAGAGACAGGGTTTCACCATGTTGGCCAGGCTGGTCTTGAACTCCTGACCTCAAGTGATCCGCCTGCCTTGGCCTCCCAAAGTGCTAGGATTACAGGCGTGAGCCACCGTACCCGGCCTTTAAAATATATATATATATTTTTAATGTGTAGAATGACAGAAAAATTGTTGAGGAAATTTGGGCAAAGGACAGCAAGATGAAACCAGACGTAAGTGGATGCCCCAAGATACAACTCACAGAATCTCATGTAACTCCTAGAGGTGTGCTACAAATTTTACATTGAGCTTTCTAGTGGCCAGAGCAGAGGGAAACATTATACAGCTGGTGACCGAGTTGAAAGCTGAACCTACTCTGGAAGTTTTGGCTTGTCAAGGTGGTAGAGGTCATGTTTGTATGGGACTGGGATCGTTTGGTGGAGAACAGGTCTATCAGGAGATTATCCCATAAAATGTCTAATCCCCATTTGTCCCCATTAATGTTGGGGTTTAGAGAAGCAGCAGGTTAATTACATATCATACTTCCACATGATGCCAAGAACTAGAAAGAAGGAAGTGATCTGAAGTTTCTACAGGGGAAATGGCAGCATGGTTGTTTAATTTGCACTTTCCTTTTTAGTCTTCTATTATCCTGGTAACAGCTTATTTATTCTGAGAAGTATAAATTCTTCATCCCCAATGCCTTTTAACAATAAAGACTGAAATTCCTATTTAATGCTTAATGCTTCCTAAGTTTTGCTTATTTTTCCTAATGTGGAAGTGATAAGTTTCCGTTAGTTGGAGAGGGTAGTGTTGAGAGCACAGTTTCTTTGGTGCAAACACTGTGGATCTTGTGTTCAGTCTTACTGCTGCGTCTCGCCAGAAGGAATAGGAATTCAGGAACAGGAAACACATTTGTTCTTTTACAGGTCTTTACTGGGGCCTTTCACAGTACTGGGGTGAGAGGGGTCTCAGGCCTGTGAACATGGGGTTGGGGTGGGTTGGGAAGACTCTGGCTTTGGGATTAGAAAGCTGGAATGTGTACCTTGGTTCTGTCATTTACAGTCAGTCGTGTGGACTTAAGCCCATGTCTTTGTCTCTCTGAGCCTCAGTATCCTCTGCAGAGGTAGTGCTCACATTGCCTATGCTCGTGAGGGTGAAGTACAATGCAGCATGGGGTCGTGGAGCAGTGGCTGGCATCCTGGCATCCCATGGGAGCTTCGGCACGGTCAGGACTCCTCATTGTGGTCTCCTGTCACAGCTAGACCTTCAGTCTTGTGTGCATAGAAAAAAGCCAGCAACAGACCCAAAAAACAACCTTGCTGCAGTAATAATTCGGTGTGGTTTGGAAATAGTTGGTGAAATCGATTTTTGATGCCATCTGAATTAGCTTAAAAATTATTTTTCACATTTTAAATACAATTTATGAAAAAATACTTATCAAATACTCAAATGATAGATGCAAGACAGGAAAATCCTTTCCCTCCTGAGACTTCACAGCCCCCGTTACAGGAGTCTCTGATGGTTTCATGTCTGCCCTCCCAGGCCTTTCTCTGAGACAAATTATGTATGTGTAAATTTCGTCCACACAATTGCATAGACATGATGTAATTGCAGACTGAGTTCTTTGAGCACCTTCTCTCTGGTATGCTTAGGAATCTTGTTAAACACATAACTTGAAGCTGTAGTAGCCTGTGATTGTAAGGAGGGGACTGTCTGTGTTCTAAGTCTGGTTTCTGGCTGACCTTGGACTCGGCAGTGGTGTCTGCAGGCGGGTGGCCCGTTGTGTACGATTGTGAACGCCGAAGAGATGGTGCAGCTCAATTGATGCCGCTTCCCAGAAAGACCGAGAGAAAAGCCCCTGGGAGCTTTTGAATGCTTTTGCCCTCGCCTGGGCAATTTAATGTGTTAATGTGCCCCACTTAGATGGAGCGGCTGTTGACATTTTGCCATATTTACTTTATTGTGCCTCTATTTTTTAAAAAATTGAACCATTTGCAGTATTATGACATCTTACTGCTAAATACTTCAGCACACAGCTCTTAAGAGTAAAGACATTCTCCTACATAACCATGACTGTTACCACACCCAGGAGAATGATGGGGAATTCCATAGTAGCATCTGATACCCAGAGCATGTTCTAATTTCCTCAGTTGTATCAAGCTGTTCTTTTTGAACCAGGATCCAGTCAGGTTTGTGTATTGCCTTAATTATATGTCCCTTTATTCTTTTCATATAAAACACTCCTTTTTCTCACGACTTTTACCTTTTTTAAAATTAAAATGATCAAGGTCAAAGATTTATTTTACGCCTTGAGGAGACCAGTAAGAGATAAAACTTATGCCAAGAGCATTTGAGGAAT
The DNA here is from genome assembly GCF_000001405.40 of Homo sapiens. Taxonomy (NCBI): domain Eukaryota; kingdom Metazoa; phylum Chordata; class Mammalia; order Primates; family Hominidae; genus Homo; species Homo sapiens. The sequence goes on from NC_000004.12 coordinate 6,985,491, forward strand.
TAGGGGTGTGTGTGTGTTTGTACACACATATATGCGTAAAACCCAAAAAGAACTAGAGTAAGATGGCTAGGTTAGATTTCAATGAACAAACAAACTGGTGACAATAAAACATAATCTTTGGGGTTATCTTTTCTTTTGGACATTATCTACAAGTTAATATGTAACTTTACAGTATCGGGGCTTGAATGGAGTAACAAATAGCACAGGGACAGTGTCCTAGATAATTAATCTTTAGGCAGCCATGCTAAAAGTGCCCAGGAATTAATTGAAAGAATAACCCCTACTCCTGCTTTTGCCTTATTTTCAAATTTTGGATAATTGTCTTAACAAGGCGTTCGCTAATCCTTTCAGCCAGAATCAGCCTCTTTCCCTTTTATCCTATTTTTAAAAATGGCTTGAGGTATAAATAATATACCATGAGATCCACTCATTGTAAGTGTTCCACGATTTTAATAAATGTATACAGTTATGCAACTATCATTGCAATCTAGTTTCAAAATATGTTCGACATCCAAAGTTTTATTTTTCATCACCCAAAAAAGTTCCTTCGTGCCTGTTTGCAGTTGATCCCACTCTCACCCCCAGGCAAACATGAATTTGCTTCCTCTCTAGAGATTTACCTTTTTAAGAAGTGTCACATAAATGGAATAATGGAATTTTCTTGTCTGGCATCTTTCACCTGGCCTAGCGTTTTTGAGGTTCATCCATGTAGGCCCATGTCTCAGCAGTTTCTTTTCATGGCCATTTCCCTGCTGCTCATGCATCCGCGGTTGGTGGACGTTCTGGTTGGCGTGGACAATGCTGTTAGGAATGTTTGCATGCAAGTCTCTCTGGTCGTATTTCTCTTGGGTGGGTTCCAGGGAGTATGGTAGGGGATGCTGAATTATAGAAGAAGCTGCACCATTTTACACTCCTACCAAGGATTTAGGAGAATTCCAGCTTCTCTAAGTCTTTGCTATCACTTGCCATTGTCCTTTTTATTTTATCCTGGCGGCCGTCACAGGCTTCCTCTGATGGAGACCTGTCTGCCGGCGATTTGGTAGTTCTGAATCCCAGGAGATCTGCGGGGGGAGCCTTGGGCTAGGCCCCGTCACGGGAGAGCCTCGTGTTGTCGCAGACCGGACTTGCTCAGCCCTGGGACCTGGGGCCCGCGGCTGACCAGAAGTAATTTTGACCCGACGTAGTCCTTATGGTGTAGGGTCGAAGTTTAAAGACTGTTTTTAAAAACCTGAGGTCTCATCGACAGCGTACCGCGCCATCTGAAGGGCGCTGTCCCGCCAGCTTCCGTCTCCCTCCCGGCAGCCCCGGGGCGCCTGTTCGGCTTCTCTGAGTGTTTTGTGTGCTCCCTGACGTTTTAAACCCACCTGTTAATACTTTGTGAAAAACAGGAGCCACGGTAGCCCGTAAAAACTGCTCACAATCACCCCGCCACCCAGAGCTCACTAGTGCGACTATTTTTGTGCAATTTCTTTTGGCAACACGTTTCTCAGCTCTCGGGTGATCTTTAAGGCAGAAGCTGGCTCTCCGCCTGTCGGCGCGCGTCCCCGGTGTTTACGGCCGGTGGGGCCGTACCACGGGGACGCCCCAGCCCCGCCCCTTGTGCCCGCCCCTCGCCGCTCATCAGCCCCGCCCCCTTGGGAGTCTCCAGCCAGGCCTGACGCGCCGAGCCGGCAGCGCGGATCGCCTCGCTGTGTCTGCGCGCGATTGAGCGGCCTGCCGCCCCGCCCCGCCCCGCGAGTCTGAGGAGCCGCCGCGTCCGCCCGCCCGCCCGCGGTCCGGGAGGGAGGGAGGGAGGCCGGCCCTCCGCTCGCTGGGCATGGAGCCTCCGGCCGCGCGCCTCTAAGGCCCCGGCGTTCATGGTGAGTCGGGGTGCGGGCCGGTGCCTCTCCCTGCGCCCCAGGCCTGCCCGGTCCCGTGGGCCTGTCCTGTCCTGGGCCTGCCAGCCCTGCGGCCCCGCGCAGGTGGAGGGTGCGAGTGTGCATGTGTGCGGTTGTGCGGGTGTGCGAGCATCACGTGTATCTGTCCTCAACAGCCGAAGCTTGCTGTGCATGCTGCTGATGCGCTCTCCTCCCTGGTACTCTTTGTGTCTGTGTTTCCACGTATTTTCTTCTGGTTCACGTTTACTAGGACGACGAGAGACAGCGTGAGCGAGCACGTCCTTTGAGTCCTCCTTACCCTGTTTTCAGAGCCGGGCCAGGCCCAGCAGCCCCCTTAGAGGTCAGAAGGGCCTCGCCTGCGATCCGATGAGCCTTTGTATGGAGATGAGACTGCGCTCCGAGCTCTAGAGCCCAATGAGGTGGTCAGGTTGCAACAGCAACCGGGCGTGTTAAAACCTAGTTCCTTTGAATATGTTTCATTCACCAGCCCGCATATTAACTTTTGATGCTCTGGGAGGAATATGACTATTAGAAAAGGACTCCTGAGAGTGCTTCCCAGAATGCCAACATTCCCAGTAACTTAGAGAACGCTTTCCAGGAGGGGACTGCAGCTTGTTAAAGAACCCAGGCCAGAGGAACCACTCAGATGTTCTCAGTGGCTTTACTTACTGTGAGGTCAGGCTTCAGGGGTTAGCCGGGGCTGCCTTTTGGAAGGTGGGACCTTTCTAAGACCTGTGCAGGCCATTCTTCCCCCTCAAAATGGCAAAACAGCCCCTCCCAGATGCTAAACTGGGCTCCCCCCTCCAAGACAATTGCTTTTACAAATGGCCAAGTGTGAGACCAGCCGCGGTGTTGCGGACACTTTCAGTTTCGTGCCCTTTTCCACAAGCAACCCTCTTAGAGTGGAATGTTGTGAAGAGTAATTTCATAGTATATAGTGACAGTCATACTCCTATCATTTCTGGGCACCTGCTTTGGCTCTGCAGCTTATGCTGGTTCTCATTTAATCTTCAAGTGTAACAGATGAGGAAACAGGCTTGTGGATGGAGGAGGAGCTCAAGGTCATTCTGCTGGTGGTGCTGGCTCAGACCAGGCCTGCCGCTGTCCCCCAGCGCTTCCCTGGGTCCTCAGCCTGTGCAGATGTGGTGGCCGTGCTGTCACAGCATTAGTTCAAGTCAGTCTTTTGATAGGTACCACTCGGATGGCCAGCCTGCCTTGGCAGCTTTATTCCAGGCGCGCTCCCAAATCCTCAGGTTATTTTCACTGGTGAATCTTGATACTGCAGACAGCGGGGTCGGAGATTTAAGCACAGGATTTGACTGATGACCCTTTCCTCTTCTAGGTAAAATAGATTTCCAGGGAGCCAGAGGCTCCTTCCTGGAAGTCAGGGGGCTTCCAGTAGCAGGTTATTGACATCATTGGCTGTTTTGTAGTGTTCCTCCAGTTCATAAGTAGCATTGATGACCTTTCTTGTCTTTCTACCAGGAGTACTTTCTTTTTTCTTTCTTTCTTTCTTTCTTTTTTTTTTTTTTTTTTTTTTTGAGACAGGGTCTTGTCCTGTTGCCCTGGTGCGGTTATGGCTTACTGCAACCTTGAACTCCTGGGCTCAAGTGATCCTTGTCTCAGCCTCTTGAGTAGTTGGGACCACAGGCACAGCACCTCTGTGCCAGGCTTAGGAATACTTCTTCATTGTTTGAGAATCATGATCCTTTCTTTTCGCTCTTAAAACAAATGTGCATTGAAGCAGGCTTTTCCCCCGCTTTTTAAACCAACAAACGTTAAACCTAATTCAGGAGCCTCGTGCCCTTCTTGTCTTTAGCACTGTGCAGATCACACGTGGAATGTAGACCCTGCCCCTGGATGCGTCTGAGGGGCTCCCCATACCTCATAGTCTCTCCTCTGGCTCTCCTCTCTCTCCTGGGGCTTGTCCCAGCACCTCTGGGTAACGTGTTGAGACCTTCAAATCTAGAGCAAAACAACTTTGACTCTGCACCATTCCCGGTTCAAATCCTGGTGCTAGCCTGCTTGTGGGTGTCTCTTGGCCACTGCTTCTGCTGTCAGAGTGCCTCTTCCTCTTGGCCTCTAGCCCACGTCTTACCTGTCTGTCCACTCAGCTGGCCCCTTTGTGAAAGCTTCCCATGTCCCCCTGGCCTCAGGCATCCTGCCCTTCCTCCCACAGTGTGTGGCTCGCCCCTCCTGGCACATCTCACGGTCTCACCTGTGTGGGAGCCTCTGCCTGCATCGTATTGCCCCTGTCGAGTGAGCCCTGCTGGGTTGGAGATTGAGGATCTCCTAAACTGCCAGGCCCGCGTGGTCCCTTCACAAATTAGTTTCCTCTTTTCCACATGGCCCCTTCCCTCTTGCCCTGCATGCTGAGTCTCATGCAGAGCCCTCTGCATGAGACTGGGGCTCTGCTCAGGCACCCTGCCTCCCTGCCTTTTTTCTTCAACCTTAGCTGGGTCATCAGACCACACCCCACAAGTTGGCTGCTAGTGAGGTGCTGCTGCCATGTTGGTATGGTCTCGTCTTTCCCAGCGTGATTCCTTATAAGCTGCCCAGAGCAGGGACTTCGAACAACTGTGCTTCTAAACTGACAGCCTGCAAACTTTTTTGAAATTATCCCCAGTTAGACACTTTAAATTGAGACTCATTGTACTGACATAACTAAGTGTAAAGCTGAAGCAAATTGTATTTATGTACTGTGTTTTATTGTTTTGTTTTTTTTAAAAATGCTGTTGTGACCAATCAAACTGATCTGCTGCTAGAACTTTGAAGAACCTTGTTCTAAATTCCTTCTGGGGGCTGGGTGCAGTGGCTCACGCCTGTAATCCCAGCACTTTGGAGGCTGAGGTGGGTGGATCACTTGAGATCAGGAGTTCCAGACCAGCCTGGCCAACATGGCAAAACCCTGTCTCTACTAAAAATACAAAAATTAGCTGGGCCTGGTGGCACGCGCTTGTAATCCCAGCTACTTGGGAGGCTGAGGCAGGAGAATCGCTTGAACCCGGGAGGCAGAGGTTGCAGTGAGCCAAGGTTGCACCACTGCACTTCAGCCTGGGTGACAGAACGAGACTCCTCAAAAATAAATAAATAAATTCCCTTTAGGGTTGTCCAGGGTGGCAGCTGTCACTTAAGTGGGCAGTTTATTTTACCTGTTAGTCTGCAGGGATTTTGACGAGCACAGCAAGACGGGCATCGATGCTTGGTTTAAACCAAGAGACTTCAAAATTTGGTCCCATGCAGAGATGGAACTTGGGAATGATGAGTTGGACTGAAGTGGACCGCACCAGTACTTGCCTGGCACACAGAAAGGGCTTGGCACTTGAGGGAGTGAGTGCCCAGCCATTTTACATATCTTATCTCTTGACCGCCACAGTGGTCTGTACAGTTGCTACTGTTTTATAGCTGAGAACAGACTGAGAGACAAGACGACTCACCCAAGCCAGGACCTAGAACTCTGGTTTTACTTCCAGAGCCTTATCCCTTGCTAGCCCGACCTTAGCGCTGATAATCCACAACTGAGTGTTCTTTCTCCAGTGCTGTTTCTTCCCTCCGGGATCCTGGGAGTGAACAGTCCTCTTTCTTCTTTCTAAAGTTGGTTTGTCTGGCCTGGACAGTGAGCTTACTGTTGTCACCTCCAGGTTGCCCTGGGAGAACCGGGTCTAGAGCAGGACCTGTCACCATTTCCAACACCATTTCTCTTCTGAAAGGGTGCCTAAGGTTTTGGAAAGGGCTTTGCCTGGGATTTCAAGTATGAGCAGGCTAGGCCACCTGTGTTACTTTATTATTTTAATCATGCCTTGGTCTGTGATTAAAACAAGCATTTGACCCTGCGTCTCTGCTGATCTGTGCACTTAGTTCAGTATTTGAGGTTTCGGTCACGGTTGTGAAAACTACTGAGACTGAATCTGAATGATGGATTACTTCTGATGCATGTCTGCCAGAGGCTTGCATGAATTCTGTGATGAGGAGTGTGGCTGCGGAACCCCAGCGCGTGGCCTGTGACCCAGCTTCCCCACTTGCCCGCCGGGTAAGTCACGGACACCTCTGGGTCCCCGTGTGTGTTTGGTGCACAGGGAGTGCTGGAGAAACAGCAGCCCTTGTTGGTCTGTGGCACTTGCTTTTTCTCCCCCTCAGACCTGAAACCACTGGAAGAGGCAGGAAACCATGCCTGCCTCAGGTAGCCTGCATCCCTGCTTTTTTTTCTTGAACCTTCGTTGGGCCATCTGACCACAGCCACAGCTTTGCGCTGGTGAGGTACAGCGTGTCCTTGTGCAGCTGTCTTGTTGGCGTGGTCTGGGATGGGGCAGCCCCTTCGGGGGGCTGGTGTGGAGGAAATGGAGTTAACCCAGCATGGTCTAGGGTGGAGCAGCCCCTTCGGGGGGCTGGTGTGGAGGAGATGGAGTTAACCCAGTGTGCACGCGTAAAGCACTCAGAGGTGCTGGGCTTGTTAGCGTCAGCCGCCGCCACTGTTTGTTGCTGTTGGTAATAGTAAGAAGCTCTGACTGAAGCGATCTGATGTTTCTGGTCATGACTCAAGGCTTTTACTTCCTTTTACTCCTACTTTTTGTATCTGTGCTGTTGGCAACTTGGCAGGGCTCCTAGATTGTTGTTTGGCACTAGAGCATGGTTTTCTGCCTTTCCCGTGGTTTCAGGTCTGAGGGGAGAGAAAGCTAGTGGCGCAGACCAACAAGGGCTGCCCTTCTCCAGCACTCCCTGTGCACCAGAGGCTGTGACATCACCTCATTCCTTCCAGCAGCCCACTCAGGGTGAGGCAGGCGGGGTTTCCCATTTTGCAGATGTGGAAAGAAGGCTTAGGGATTTGAAGTGAGTACCTTGCCCGAGGTCACAGCTGGTGGTTGGTGGATCTGAATTTGCTCCCAGAGCTATCTGGCTGCAGAGGCCACACCTAAGCCGTGTAGGACTCGGGCTTTCCCCTCTAAAACTGCACACCTGTGGGTTTGAGTGTATTCACAGATGATATTGGGCCGGCTCAGGGCGGCAGGCCCAGCCTTGCTGGCTGTATGCTTCAGGCAAGTCACTTCACTTTGAGCCTCAGTTACCCTGTCTTTAAAATGGGTAACACTTGCCAAGCAGATTGCTGTGAAGACAAAGTGAGTCCACATGCACAGAGCACACAAAAGCCGATGGAAATGGGCATCCACATCCTGCCATGGCTGATTTTGGGCCCAGCATTCTGGCCTTGGCATACAGTTCACCAGACCAGGCTCAGCAGATAAGTAGCACCTCATGGGGTATGTGTTACTAATTCTTGTTAAAATGCAGCATGCCTCAGAATCTTTCTCAACACACAGCTTTTGTTTGATTTCCTATGAAATTGGAGACTTTGACATTCAGGTGCTAGACTTGAAGCTTCATGAGGGCTAGTGCCGTCTTAGGTCACGGCTGTGTACCCCATACAGTGTAGATGTTCAGATGCTTGAATCCAGCAAGGAATGAGTCCGTGTTTTCAGTTTTTGGTAAGTGGAAGTAATTTTAGAATTGTAATGAAACCATGTTAAGCCACAGTAAACAGTGTTAAGACATGTGACCATATACATCCAGGTGTACAGAAACTGCCCCACCCAACTGCTTCTTGGTGCACGTCCTTCTCATAGCCTGTGTATTTTGAGGAAATAATCTATTTCTTTATACTTTTTAGAGGCCTTTCTGGCTAAGAGAATAATTGCTTGCCGCATAATTTCACCAGTAACACGCCTCTTGACAGCTAGTTTCCCTGAAATTCATTTAGCAATTTCTCACCACCTCATGACAAACATGAAATCTTAGGTTAACACTACCTTCTTTGTCCTATCTTCTCAATGAGATTATCTTCCCTTCAGGGGCATTCCTGAGAGCCTTGTCTGTAATATTTCCTTAATTATCTATAATCATCTTAAATGATTGTGTTTTTTGATTTTGCACAGAGCGAAGTACCTACACATTATTTCAGAAGCACCAACCTGTTTGGCTCTCCTGAGTTCTTCCAGCTGGGCGTTTGGAATGTGGGTCACCGGGTGTGAATGAGCTCTTGTGGTTGCAGTGCACGGGTGAATCGGTGACCCAGTGATGTGGAGGCTGCTCTTAGATTTCCAGGGCATGGCAAAACTATTTACATAACAATTTGCAGTGGCAGCTTCCCAGTGGCCGTGATAATAATCAGTTAAAATTTACAGTGTCCAGAAGAGAGAAAACATGCCTGTTACCCAGGAGACAGTAGACCTGAGGCAGCGTTTGAGGGCCCTCCTCAAAGGGGCTGCTTTGATAATGAGATCCTTTGTTATTTCCCCACCAACGAGGGAAGCGTGCAGTCATATCATAAAGCAATGGTCTCAGCTTTGGAACTCTAAGACCCCTTTAGGCTGGGCACAGTGGCTCACGCCTGTAATGTCAGCACTTTGGGAGGCTGAAGCGGGTGGATCACCTGAGGTCAGGAGTTCAAGACCAGCCTGGCCAACATGGTGAAACCCCATCTCTACTAAAAATAAAAAAATTAGCCAGCCGTGGTGGTGAGTGCCTCTATTTCCAGCTACTTGAGAGGCTTAGGCAGGAGAATCGCTTGAACCGAGGAGGTGGAGGTTGCAGTGAGCCAAGATCATGTCATTGCACTCCAGCCTGGGCGACAGAGCGAGACTCCATCTCCAGAAAGACCCCTTTAGTCAGCGGCTTTTCATTCTGAATAGCAGGAAAGGTTTTTGGCGAATTGTCCTCGAAATTGGCTTAAAAGAGTTTCATGACAAAACAACTTTCTTACTTTCCGAAGGACTTCATCCTATCTGAAAGGACCTGGAGTCATCCCTGGTTTCTTTGTCCTAGGAATATGAAGACAAGGCTGGAAGACCTAGCAAGCCACCCTCTCCAAAGCAGAATGTGAGGAAGAATCTTGACTTTGAACCACTTTCCACCACCGCACTCATCCTCGAGGACAGACCAGCGTGAGTTTAAGAAGACTCTCTTTAGAGTGTTTGCTTTAGGAAATAAGTACAACTTGCTAAGCAGCTTTTCATTAGAGAAAAACTAGGGTCAGAAAAGGGGAGAAGAGTAAGCCAGAATCACTTCTTATTCTCTATATTAACATGTGTTCTGTAATTATATTAAATGACCAATTTGGAAAACTGTCCTATAGCATAGAAGTTTTGACCAGGATTTTCCGTTCAGGTAATTTTTCTTTTTACTTTAGCATTTAAAAATAAGTTGTCAGCTGGGTGCAGTGGCTCACGCCTGTAATCCCTGCACTTTGGGAGGCCGAGGCGGTGGATCACTTGAGGTCCAGAGTTGGAGACCAGCCTGGCCAACATGGTGAAACCCTGTCTCTACTAAAAATACAAAATACTAAAAATACAAAAAAATAGGTGTGGTGATGGGTGCCGTAATCCTAGCTACTCAGGAGGCTGAGGCAGGAGAATCACTTGAACCTGGGAGGCAGAGCTTGCAGTGAGCCAAGATCACACCATTAATTACACTCCAGCCTGGGCAACAAGAGCAAAACTCCGTCTCAAAAAAAAAAAAAAAAAGAAGCAGTGTGTCTTCTACTATTTTCTTGTCCTTGAAAGTTGTATGCTGGGGAGAGAAATGGAGGACTGGAAAGTTAGAGGCCATCAGGAAAAGACTCTGGCCTTTGAAGTCCAGTCGTTTTCATGCTCTGAAAGGTGAACTGGCGGACTCTCCTGCAAGTGATGGTTGTTTAAAATGTCCCAGTGAATGTGGGTCCTGTTGTGTGAGGGACACAGGCAGCCAGACACTCCTGCTCTCCTTTTACCCTAGTGCCAGTACAGTTACAAGCACGCTTCTGAAAGAGAGCACGAATTGTATTTTTTTAAATGGGTTTTGAAGGTATACCAAGATGCTTAGAACTAAGGTGCACATCTGTGTATATGTCAAAAAACAAATGAACCACGTAGCTAGTATGAAATCTGTTCACTTTAAAAATCTGGTCAGGAAATGTCTTCATACATACATGTAACAAATGCTGTTAGGGTGCCCTGCCTCAAGAATTAGGTGTTGACAGTTATTAGTGTATTGCAGTCAAATCAAAGTTTCTTTGGAGTGTGGGGTGAAAATATACCAAAAGATTAAGTGTTTATCACTGTTGCAGTTATGGATAATTGTTATTTTCTTCCTGCTAATCTTTATCATTCATTTTTCCTTTCTTTTTTTTTTTTTGAGATGGAGTCTTGCTCTGTTGCCCAGGCTGGAGCACAGTGGCGCGATCTTGGCTCACTGCAACCTCTGCCTTCCAGGTTCAAGCGATTCTCCTCCCTCAGCCTCCTGAGTAGCTGGGACTACAGGCACGTGCCACCATGCCCGGCTACTTTTTGTATTTTTTAGTAGAGACAGGGTTTCAATGTGTTAGTCAGGATGGTCTTTATTTCCTGACCTCGTGATCCACCTGCCTCGGCCTCCCAAAGTGCTGGGATTGCAGGCGTGAGCCACTGCTCCCAGCCCATTCATTTGTTTTTATTTAATTAATTAATTTATTTATTTTTTGAGATGGAGTCTTGCTCTGTCGCCCAGGCTGGAGTGCAGTGGCGCGATCTCAGCTCACTGCAAGCTCCGCCTCCTGGGTTCACACCATTCTCCTGCCTCAGCCTCCTGATTAGCTGGGACTACAGGCGCCCGCCACCATGCCCGGCTAATTTTTTGTATTTTTTAGTAGAGACGGGTTTCACCATGTTAGCCAGGATGGTCTCGACCTCCTGACCTCGTGATCCGCCTGCCTCGGCCTCCCAAAGTGCTGGGATTGCAGGCGTGAGCCACATTCATTTGTTTTATAGTGAACTTGTTTTTGTTTTTGTAAGAAAGCATTATAAAAGTTTGTGAAAGAACTGTGTAATCTTAAAAAAATGAGTTTTTAGTGTTTGAGCTTTATATTTTTTAGGAAATTATGCTTCAGGTTTTTTCTGAAAGACTTCTATGCGGTATTTATAATGGTGAAAACTCATTTCTTTCCTGTCAAGAAATCTCCCAGCAAAACCAGCTGAAGAAGCTCAGAAGCACAGACAGCAGTATGAAGAAATGGTGGTTCAGGCCAAAAAGCGAGGTAATGGGGTTCACACTTGATGGGTTAAATCAGGCAGCACAGGGTTTGTGTCTTTCTGGTTATTTTCTTTTTACCATTTGGAGTCATAGAACCTGAACTTCAGTCTTTGAAATTTGTAGTCTTCCAGTAAAAAAAAAAAAAAGATGCATGCGGAAAGCCCCCACAAGCGAAAACAGGGCTGCAGGGTGGCGTGGGCGGACTGCAGGGACTCGGGGGGATGTTGAGGCAGGCAGAGGGGAGAAGCGGTGAGACCGCAGGGTTTGCTGGGAGCCTCCCAAGGAGGCCTCTTCCATCCCAGAAGCCCCCAGGGCTGTCCCGGGCGGGCTGTAAAGCCCCAGGCTTTGGAGCTGGGTGCCTGTGTCTCTCGCAGAAGGCTACTATCCATTCCGGGTAGCTTTATTCAAGAGAAAAGCACTTTGAACTGACGTGAGAAAAGTGACTGTGTAAGATAGAAATACTAGACTACAGAAAGTTTCAGCCATCAACGACACGTATATTTCTTTCCCTCTCTGGGTTGTTTTTTAAAGTTCCAAGAAGATATTTTGATAAAATTCCTTGCAACACTTAAACTCTTTTTCTAGGAGATTTTAAAAATATATAACATGGATGTGAGGGCGATTTGGCTGTCATATCTGTCACTCCATTGATCACCAGGGTTGATTCGGCTCATCTGCTGGCTAGCCCGGTGTCCCCTTCCCCACTAGCACTCCATGTGCGTCCCTCCCGAAGCTGTGTGTTTGGTCAAAGAGAATGACCATCCCTGATAGAGGACCGGTCTTCAGTCAGGGTATGTGAGTAGCTGCACTCCCCTGCTAGAGCCTCCAGACAGGCTCCATTCGTAGGAGAATGTAGAGTCGTCAACCTTCCAAGACTCCAGACACATCCAAATGAGGCACTGCATGTGGCAGTCTGCCTTTCTAAAAATAAAAATAAAAAAGGCCAGGCATGGTGGCTCACGCCTGTAATCGCAGCACTTTGGGAGGCCGAGGCGCGTGGATCACCTGAGTTGGGGAGTTCGAGACCAGCCTGACCAACATGGAGAAACCGTGTCTCTACTAAAAATAAAAAATTAGCCAGGTGTGGTGGCACATGCCTGTAGTCCCAGCTACTTGGGAGGCTGAGGCAGGAGAATCGCTTGAACCCAGGAGGTGGAGGTTGCAGTGAGCCGAGATCGTGCCACTGCACTCCAGCCTGGGTGACAGAGCGAGACTCCATCTCAAAAAAAAATAATAAAAATATATAACAATGTGGTGTATATGTACAGTGGAATATTATTTGGCCTTAAAAAGGAAGGAAATTCTGGCACATGTGGCCACATGAAGGAATCTTGAAGATACCCTAAGTGAAACCAATCAATCAAAACAGGACAAATAATGTATGGTCCACTTCTATGAGGTCCCTAAGAGCAGTCAAACTCAGAGACAAAAAGTAGAATGATGGGTGCTAGGGGTTGGGGAGACGGGGAGTAGGAAGTTAGTATTTAATGGGGGCAGTTTGATTTGGGAAAATGAGAAAGCTCTGGTGATGGATGGTGGTGTGGTTGTACAGTATGAATGTTCTTAATGCCACTGAACTGTATACTTAAAATGGTAAATTTGACCACACACACAAAAAAGTATATGTAAACTAAATGCATGGTATTTCTCAGAGCTGCTATTTGTAGATTAAGAGTAATGCTCAAGGCTGGGCATGGTGGCTCACACCTGTAATCCCAGCACTTTGAGAAGCCAAGGCGGGTGGTCAGGAGTTTGAGACCAGCCTGGCCAACATGGTAAAACCCTGTCTCTACTAAAAATACAAAAATTAGCTGGGCCTGGTGGTGGGCACCTGTAATCCCAGCTTCTCAGGAGGCTAAGGCAGGAGAATTGCTTGAACCCGGGAGGCGGAGGTTTCAGTGAGCCAAGATTGCATCACTGCACCCCACCCTGGGTGACAGAGCAAAACTCCGTCTAAAAAAAAAAAAAAAAAGCAGTGCTCGAACTGTTGGAAGTCAGCATGGAGCTTGCATTTGGAAGGGGATAGGGCTGGGAGCACAGGAGGGACTTCCAGAGTTCCAGTAACGTTCGGTTGTTTTGATCAGGATGGTAATTTCAGGGATTTTTCTATTTTGTGGTAACAATTGTGTTCTTTTTTTCTTTCTTTTTTTTTTGAGGTGTAGTCTCGCTCTGTTGCCCAGGCTGAAGTGCAGTGGTGCTATCTCGGCTCACTGCAACCTCTGTCACCTGGATTCAAGCAATTCTCCTACCTTAGCCTCCCCAGTAGCTGGGACTACAGGCCCCTGCCATCATGCCCAGCTAATTTTTGTATTTTTAGTAGAGACGGGATTTCACCACTTTGGCCGGGCTGGTCTCGAACTCCTGACCTCAGGTGATCCACCCGCCTTGGCTTCCCAAAGTGCTGGGATTACAGGCGTGAGCCACCGCGCCTGGCCAACTGAATCGTATTCTTCTTTGTGTACTTTCCTGTCTAGATGTTAGACTTTGCAAGCTTACTAAAGGGTGGATAATGCCTGAGCCTTCTGGAGTCCGTCAGGTGTGAAGTGAGCGCTGGAGCTGATGCTCGCTCTGCTTCAGGGCGGTTTTCCTGGTGTGTTCGCAGTGTGACAGGAAAATCACCTTGCCTGGAAATGGTCCATATCAGTTAGTAGATTGTTGTTTTTCTAAATTGTGATTTCTAGAGCTGAAAGAAGCCCAGCGAAGGAAGAAGCAGCTGGAAGAAAGATGCAGAGTCGAGGAAAGCATTGGAAACGCTGTGCTCACCTGGAATAATGAGATCTTACCTAACTGGGAAACAATGTAAGATGTGGCTCTGGGTGTGGCTGAACTGCAGAGCATGTCTTTCTAGAATCTGTGGGCCACAGCTGTAGTCGTCATAGCCAGCAGTGACACCCTGGATGCAGCGAGTTGAAGTTGCATCATCTTCCTTCCCTCTACCCTGGCTCAGCCTGCGCCATCCCTTGCTTGGAGACTGTGATAGCCCCTTCCCCTCCCTTCCAGTTCACCTTCTTCTCATCTCCTGAGCCAGCTTCTAAAGCATGAGTCAGTGTCCCCTCCCTTACCTAGAATTTCAGTAACTTCCTGTGACTGTCAGTACACAGTTTGAACCCTTAGCAGGCAACACCCTTAGTGAGGTGGCCTGCCTTCCTCGGCAGCCTCACCCTCGGATGCCTCTCCTCCACTTGGACAGAGCCCTCTCCCTAGGGAGCCCCCCATAGGTGTTGCTCCTTTTAAACCTGGGGCCTCGCATGTTCCAGGCCCTGTGTCTGGAGTGCTCTTGTCCTGTACTTCCTCAGCCAGCAAACTCCTGTGTGCTCTCCAAAGCTCAGGGAAGACTTTGCTGCCCCTACCCTGGCTCTAGGGCCCTGTGGTTCTGTGTGCACACAGCTGTCTGTTCAGGCCTCTGTCTTCCTCTCTTTGAGGATAGTGACCCCAGTGTCCAGTAGAGTGCACCTGGCAGAGTCTGGCAGCTGCTGCCCTCTTTACATCTGAGGGGCAGCTGTGGGTCTTGTTTTTATTCTCGTGTTCAGAACGGTGGGGGCCAGTGTGCGGGCAGAAGTCCCAAGGCTGCGCACAGAGGCATTCGGGGAGCTTGGATGCCAGCTTCCCTTCTGCTCTCGTCCCACATGTCAGCACTGCAGGGGTCACGCGGCCCTGCTCAGGGTCTCCACTAGGAAAATATGCTCAGAGCATGCTTTTTAAGGCAGTATCCTCAAAAGGCTGGATGCTGTCAGGAAACACTTTATACCTGTTCTCGCATGGGATCTAGTAACAAGGACAGAGGTTCTCAGAATGCTTGCTGCTCCCACCGAGGGAGACCACTCTGGTCTGTCCTGCAGGGCCGTGGGTTGGATGTGGTCTGAATGCATTGCATGCAGACCCACAGCAGTTCCCGTCGACTGCACACGGACGCTGCCTGGCACTGTTCTCCGTGCTTTTGTACTTTATCTCACTTCATCCTCACAGTGGCCCTTGGGTGTAGGTTTCATCGTCTTGACTTTCGAGAGGATGGTATAGGTTCAGAGAGGAGAGATCATTTGTCCGGATTCCACAGGTAAGGATGGAGTTAGGATGCAGCCTGCTTTCTGCAGCCTCAAGCCTGTGCTCCCCACGATGCTGCGTTCAGAGGCACCACGGGGGCCTGGTTTGCCCAGGCTGTTGGCAGTGTGTGTTCCGTGTCCCAGCAGAGCTGAAGGACTCTGTACAGCCTACAATGTTCTGAGTCAGCAGTTCTTCTCCGCAGTTAGAACTTGCCAGCTCACATCTGGGCGCTGGGCCTGTATTGGTGGTGCGATGGCCGTCTGCTGACTCTCTGCTGGGGTCTGCTTCTGTCTCCAGTGCTGCTGCAGTGCCGCCTGGCACTCCTCACCCACTCCCAGCTATGTGCTGTTCCTGTAGGAGGCCAAGCCATTGCTTTTTCCTGTGTTTTCTGCTCAGAAAGTCCTCCCCATCCTTCATGTGCTCAGGTCATTCAGAACTTGGCCCCAGAGCGTGCCTGGGCCTCTGGTTCGTGGTGACCTACGCTATGCTGTGCTCCTCCATACCTGCCACGGCAGCTGCCAGTGGAAGGGGATTGTTGATTTGATCTTTACAGAGCCCTGGACTCTAAGCTTCCTGAGGGCAGGGGCTGTGCCTGATGCAACGGTGCATCCCAGCTCTTGGTGGTTCGGGGCTAGGCACGCAGGTAGACAAATGTCTTTGTGTGGAACAAACTCAAACTCCTGCTTCTGTTTTTGTCCAGGTGGTGCTCTAGAAAAGTTCGAGATTTATGGTGGCAGGGAATCCCTCCAAGTGTGAGAGGCAAAGTCTGGAGCTTAGCCATTGGCAACGAGTTAAATATCACCCACGGTGAGTGGCCTGCATGATCCTGGGGAGTCCACCTCCAGGCCCTTTGGCTTCTTCTCTCCCTTTTGCCCTGTTGGAAAGAATGGCAGCCATTGCCACGAATCTGTGTCTTTTGAGAGACCAGGAGACTGTGTCCTTCAGGAGAGAGGGGCAGTTGGGAGGCCTGGGTTTAGTGCTGTGCACTCCGGTTACCTGACAGCTCAGCGCAGGAGCTCTTGAATAGAGGGGGCTTGGAAGACAGGGCTTAGAGCATCGGGGAGGTGCCTGAGCTTCGCAGATCAAAGTCCTAGGAAGGCAAGCCTTGCCTGCGACGTGAGTGTGGAAGGGGCAGGTGGTTCTTGCTGTGAGGGTGTTTATTGTACTGGGGTGTCTGTTGGTATTTTGTGGGATTTTTTTTCAGGCAGCCTTGGAGGAGACAACATACTGTGCTGGGACTGCGGTCCTTGGGGCTCTGGGAGTTTGTCTGCTGGGTGAGAACCATGCTCACCGATCTCTCGCTGTATTGCATCTACTCAGTTTGCATGTACACTTCCTCCCTCAGGCTGAATTCACTTCCCCAGGTGTCCTGAGCACTCTGAAGCGCGTCCAGAGTGAAATAGGTGCCAGGAGCCCGCAGACTTCAAATTAAGTGATTAATACTGGCAGCCATTCTTTTCACTTCTGCCTCCCTGCCTGCGGTCTGAGCTGTGGAAAGACGGGGCTACCTTCCTGCTCTTTCTTGGGCCTAGGACCTGCTGGGGAGTTGATGATGTGGTTTTTATGCTCATGAAGGCCTTGAGTTTAAACATTTGATTTGTATCTTCGCTCTCTAGTTGGGGTTTTGATTGTTGTTCTTATCCTGACAGGTTATCTTAGCCTCATCCCAGGCAGGTCTCCCCTCACGCCCTCACGGAGCGTCAGCCAGCTGGCTGGTGACTGGCTTCTGTGCGGTGTGGTCCTACAGAGGAACGTGGGGGCCCGGAACTCCCTCTTGGCTAAATCCATACCTACCAAAATTTTGTTTTAACATCTCTGTGTGAGAAGATGAATAACGTTTAACTTGTGGAAATGGTTTTTTAAAAGTATCCTCAGAAGTTGAGGTTTGGAGAAATTACTGAGCATTTATTTCTAAACTCTTGTCTCTGCAGATTGGATGGAATGCACAGTACCTTGTGTGTGTGTTTAATTTTTGCTTCTCACTGATGCCTGGGTGGATTTTATTTAAATTAAAACCTATGGACCGTATTGTTTTGGATTGGGCTAAACCGCTGACGAGTCAGTTACATGTTTAGACATGAGTCTTAGACATTTATCCAAACCTTGGTATTGGCTCGATTTGTGTACATTGTGTCTGTCTTGTATTGTGAACCGCGCAGTGTCAGTGGCCCCCGCTAGCACTGGTACTCAGGAAGCTGGGCCCTCACCTGCTGTGCTCTCTACCTTTTCACCCTTACCAAGCCTGGGTCTCTGCATGGGGCAGGCCCTTAAGAAATACCTGCTGTGTGAATGAATGCTGCCTTACTGGGTCCTGCTTAATCTCGATTTTACTACGTTTCCAAGCCAGTGTAAGAACACAAACAAACTTGGTTGCTGAGTACCAAGCATCATATTAGGTTCTTTACTTATGGATCTTATTTAATATTGACAGTGCGACCTTGACCTCATTTTCCTCTAGAGAAGGCTCAGCATCCTGGAAAGGCTAGGACTGTGCCCAGGTCTCTGGCTCGTGTGTGTGGGGCCAGGACTCTGATCCTAGGCCCAGGCTAATCCTAAATCCCATGTTCTGACTTGGAGAGCCCTAAGGTTTTGCTCTTGTGGTTGTACAATTGAAAACTTAGTGAAAGTCGACCTAATAGTACTATTAAAACTTCAGTTTTAGGGCCCCAGTCAATCTTGTACTTTGACATTGGAGCAGGGGGTTTGGGCAGAAGGTGTGGTAGCTGTCCAGCCTCCAGCGTTCCCCAGATGCACACCAATAAAGAAAGCCATGGGGGAGACTTACAACTCTTTGACACTTTGACCCATTAAACCCCGAGGCTGGCAGCCTCTGTGACTTAAATGTCAAATGCCTTAGTTGGGAAGGGATTCCCTAGTGGCCATGGCCACACAGTGGTTTTCATCCACCTCCTGCCAAAATGACCAAAGCTTGGCCGGCCTCCTGGAGGCCGAAAGCAGGTGGAAGTGCCACCAGGTGCATGAGGCAGCAGCTCAGAGCAGTGTGGGATTGTCCTGGGAGCATGCGTGCTGAGTTACTGCTTTGGACACTGATACCATAATAGCGAAACTAGATTTTGGATTACATTTTAATAAAATAGTGTGCACTGCCCAGAAGGCAGATGTGCTCTGCTGTATTTTCCAAAAGTAATGATGGGAAAAATAAAGTGCTGAAAATTCCATGGGTAGCTGCAATTAAAGTCTTAGTGATAGACAAGTGATTGTGTGTAATCTGAGACATCTGGGAGCTGATCAGGAACATCAGAGCCAGAGGAGTGGCGGGTGCAGCAGCTGGCGCTTGTCATCCCAGCACTTTGGGAGGTTGTGGCAGGGGGGAATCACCTGAGGTCAGGAGTTTGAGACCAGCCTGGCCAACACGGCCAAATCCCATCTCTACTAAAAAAAATAAAAAATTCACCAGGTGCGGTGGCGTGCACCTGTAATCCCACCTATTCAGGAGGCTGAGGCAAGAAAATTGAGATTGAATCTGGGAGGCAGAGGTTACAGTCAGCCAAGATTGCGCCACTGCACTCTCCAGCCTGGGCGACAGAGCAAGACTCCATCTCGGAAAAAAAAAGAAAAAGCCAGATGACCAGGAAGCACCTGAGACTGGGCTGTGTCGGGGAACAGGGCGCTGAGAAGGAGCTCTGTGGATTCAGCCTTCACACTTGTCCTTGAAAGAAGAATGGGGCACGGATATACCTGTGGAGGTCTGTGTATGCTAGTGAAGTCGTGTTGTTTAACTATTACCAAACCACCCGAAGAGAGCTGTCACAAAAATAAGTTCTAAATATGGAGATTTGGAGGCTGTCATGATCCTTCTCTGCCAGCAAGAGTCCTGTTTTTTGAAGCTTCTGCGTATTCCTGGGATCTTCCCCCACCCCTGCTTCACTGCCAGGCAGCAAGACGAGGCCTGTGCCAGGTGGGGGCAATTGCACCATGTCCTTTCTTGAAACCCAATGATTCTCTGCTGGTCCTTCCTTCCCTCCCTCGGTCATTGAGACATTCCTTGATTGGGTTGCTCTGTGTCAATTCCAGTGCTGTGTGTTTTGGATACAGAGGGAGTGAGAGAGCTTCACCGTCTTGCCCCAGGGATCTTGCGGTCTGGGAGAGGCAGTAGACAAGTCACAAAGACCAAAACAAGGCAGTTTTGTGGGTAGGCTGTGTCAGAGAACTAAATAGCAGTGATGTGTGTAATCTTTCTTTGTTTCAGGCTGTGTCTTTAAACAATAAAATTACTTTCAGGCCAAGTTGGGGGGAATTGTTTAAGTAGCCTGTTAAGTATGCATTAAGCCTATTATAGTTGAACTTAAGTATTTGGAGGAAATAGTACTGTGTTCTGTGGTGGTTTTGACGAAAAATACATGTGCACGTAATACTTACCCAGAGGCTTTTCTTCCAGAGCTCTTTGACATCTGTCTTGCCCGAGCCAAGGAGAGGTGGCGGTCCCTTAGCACAGGAGGCTCTGAAGTGGAGAACGAAGGTAGAATGTCTTCTAAAACCAGCGGACTGCTGTGGTCAATTATGTTTGTCATTCTTTATTACATAGTGAAGAAAGTTGACGTTAACTACAGTAGAGATTGTTGTGGAGTCATAAAAAGCTCCACGAGAAAAGGGTTTTTTTTGTTTTGTTTTTTTTAGCAAAAATTAAAGGTAAAAACTTTTTATAAGAAATTGGCCGGGTGTGGTGACTCATGCCTGTAATCCCAGCACTTTGGGAGGCTGAGGTAGATGGATCACCTGAGGTCAGGAGTTTGAGACCAGCCTGGCCAACATGGTGAAACCCTGTCTCTACTAAAAATACAAAAATTAGGCTGGGTGCAGGCGCTCACGCCTGTAATCCCAGCACTTTGGGAGGCTGAGGCGGGTGGATCACAAGGTCAGGAGTTCGAGACCAGCCTGGTCAACATGGCGAGACCCCCGTCTCTACTAAAAATAGAAAAATTAGCCAGGTGTGGTGGTGGGTGCCTGTAATCCTAGCTACTCGGGAGGCCGAGGCAGGAGAATCACTTGAACCCGGGAGGTGGAGGTTGCAGGGAGCCAAGACCGTGCCACTGCATTCCAGCCTGGGTAACAGAGTGAGACTCTGTCTCAAGAAAAAACAAAAATTAGCTAGGCGTGGTGATGTGCACCTGTAATCCCACCTACTCGGGAGGCTGAGGAAGGAGAATCGCTTAAACCCTGGAGGTGGAGGTTGCAGTGAGCCAAGATCTCACCACTGCACTCCAGCCTAGGTGACAGAGCAAGACTCCCTCTAAAAAAAAAAAAAGAAATAGAACATCCCAGTTCCTGCGAGGTGTTTGTGTCCTGACATGCTGGAGGGCCCGTCATAACCAGTGCCATTCCCTTTAAAGTTGTTCATGTGACTTCCAGTACCCTGGTGTCTGGGATTAGTTGAATACTGGCTTATAGAGGAGCTCAGATTTACAGAGACAAGAACACTGCATGTTTGCTAGATTATGCCTTTAGAATTCTCCATAACACACAAGGATGATTACTTCTTTTGGTTAAGAAATACATGATTTTACTGATCATTTTTACAGTCTTTGTGGTATTAGAATTCTAAAAAGTATAAAACAAATTATTTATGATTACTTGTTAGAGATACTACACACTGGCTGGGCACAGTGGCTCGTGCCTGTAATCCTAGCACTTTGGGAGGCTGAGGTGGGCAGATAAGGCCAGGAGTTCAAAGCCAGCCTGAGCAACAAAGAAAGACCCTGTCGCTACAAAAAGATAAAAGAAAAAAGAAATATTACATGAGTATAATACCGCAATAGTTTCTACATCTAGTGAGTTTACACTGAAGATGTTTGAGATCGAGCAGTGATATATGTGTGTGTGTGTGTGTGTTTATGCTTGGAGTTTCTTTGTGTTTATTCTCCTACTTGTCCTTGCTTTCCACTGATTGTTATTGATGAGAGGCAAAATGTTAGATTTTGATTTCAGACTCTGGAAAATATCTAATGATAATCTAGAATTAGCTGGTGCCATAAGATATTTTGTTCTCTAAGAAACCCTGCAATCTGTTAAATACTCTGAAGCTGCACTCTGAGTCAAGATGTGATTAGGTCAGTGTGCTTCTGAAAAACTTTTTTCCGTGTTTTGTTCTTGTAAAACTTCAAAGGCTCGTAATTGTCCTACATTCGTGCCCTTGAGGAATGTAATTATTTTTGGCATCTTTTGACAGATGCTGGTTTTTCAGCAGCAGACAGAGAAGCCAGTCTGGAGCTTATTAAACTGGACATTTCTAGAACATTTCCTAATCTCTGCATTTTCCAGCAAGTAAGTGGTGGTGACTTGTTGCTTTCAAGTATGTTTTGTCTAAAATTCATAGATGCTGAACTGTGTATATTTGTTGTCAAGTTTGAAAGGTACTTGGGTTTTTGGGGGTGTTAGGAGGTAGGGTGGATGTTACTATTAAATACATTTAGACTTTTTAAAATAAGTGTAACTGATCATTTCCAACAAATATTTACTATGTCCATACTTGTGCTCCAAAAGACAATTCTGTCTTCCTCTTGAGATACATGTCTCGGGGCCCCTGTAGGTCTGGTCTGAGAGGGTCCCCATGGGTGGCTGTGTCTGCTGGCGCTTTCTTGGACACTCCTCTGCTCTCAGGACTGTGTGTAGCAGTCTGCGCTCAGCAAGGCCATGTTGGTGTGATGGGCTTCGGCTCAGATGAGCCCAGTGCAGTGAGCCCGTGTGAGAAAGGGAAATCCCTGGCAGCCTGGGTGGGTGGCCAAGCCGGGGTGACAGGTTTCTGAGCAGGTAGACCAGGAGAGCAGTGCAGCTGAGGGACAGAAGCCTGCTGTGGGAGATAGGACAGGCTCCTTAGGTGGCAGGAAAAGCAGAGGGGAGCCTCCTCCTGGGCATCTGAACACAGGACAGGGCTGCCAGCAGTAGGTTGTGGGGTCATCTGAGCTGAACTCTTTAAAGACCTTCTATTCTTTGAGCCAGCAGACGTTAATCTGGGGATCTTTTGATCCCTTTCTTATCTATAACGGGTTTTTGCGGGGGCAGTTGTTCTTGCAGAATACCTTTGCACCTGTCCCTTGTCTGTTCTCACTGCCTTTACTCAGGTTCTCATCTTTGTGGATTTCCGTGTGGGTCTTCAGAAATCTTTTCAGAAGAGGAAAGAGAGGGAATCTACAAAGCTCCAGCAGCTTTGGTCCTGGTGTCTGGTGCGTGAGCCCAGCGAGCACCCCACTGGCTTGCAGCAGGCAGTTGACTTAGCTGGGAGCCTGTTTCCTGGAACCCTGCTTCTCCCACAGGGCAGATTTCAGCTTCTCTGCCCTTTTGCCCCAGTTCGTCTCCATAGGCCTCAGTGCACTCCATGCTTTGCAGCCCCTGCATCGCTCTCTTGGAGCTGCTCCTGTTTCTTGGCCCTTGGAGGGGAAAGACTTTCTTCCCCCAGCCCAAAAGGCCCTTCCCCACCCTCCACCCACGGTTCACGTGCCCCCTCACCAGGCTCTCAGAGGGATCCAGGAGAGGCAGCTTTCTGGAAAGGAGTTTTACCTTTGATTTCAAACAAATTTGGGCTTTTATCACAGATTGCCTTCCCACTAGCTTTGGGCAAATCCATCTTTTTGAGCCTTAGTTTGTTCATCTGTAACAGGGTGATCATACTGGCCTAACAGGGCTGTTGACAGTACTTGGCAGATAACAGTGCTTTTTGTTATTAAATCTCTTTGAACGTAATTTGAAACTGAAAGACAACTAAATCCAACCAGAGGTCAAAGGGCCATATCCTACCAGGTGGTGGCAGAAGTGTGTGATGAAAGAGGTGGTGGGCGGAGGCCAAAGAAGTTTCTTCCCAGGTCTTTCATTCCAATGTAGAGATCTCTCAGCCCTGGTAGAAAGTAGCTTAGTAACCTTTCTAATGAGCAGAGATTGAGTTTACTAAAAGAAAGCAAAGAACAGTTGAGGGGGAGAGTGGAGAACTGTGTCCAAAAGCAGTTAAGGTCATTTATTATTTTTTCTTTTTTGAGACAGAGTTTCGCTCTTGTTGCCCAGGCTGGAGTGGAATGGCATGATCTCGGCTCACCGCAGCCTCCGCCTCCCGGGTTCAAGCGATTCTCTTGCCTCAGCCTCCCGAGTAGCTGGGATTACAGGCACCCACCACCATGCCTGGCTAATTTTTGCATTTTAGGGAGAGACGGGTTTTCACCATGTTGGCCAGGCTGGTCTCGAACTCCTGACCTCGTGATCAGCCCACCTCGGCCTCCCAAAGTGCTGGGAATACAGGCGTGAGCCACTGCGCCCAGCCGCATCATTGTTTTCATTTAAGAAATGACAGAAATGACATTTAGCACCAAAGTGAGATGGAAGGATCGAAATTACAACGGTAGAAAACCTTTGAAGTTAAACACATTTAGCTTTAAGAGAAGTTCAGTGTAATGCTCTTGTTTTCTTGTTTAGCCTTGGCCTGGATAAAACTTTGTTACAGTCACACTAGTCCTTAGACTGGCATTTGGTGCCACTGCAGACCGTCACCCCCACCCTAGGCCTGGATGCTGGCATTTTTACCCTCTCATTGCTATTTTTCCTTTTGTCCCTCTGTGATTTGGAACTGTCTTTTCTTTTACTTAGCTCTTTTCACATGCTAGAATATGATGGTCTGGGCCATGGCATTCTTTTGTAAGCCACCTGTGGTCACCTGTGGAGTGACTTCTTATCTCTCACCATGTGTGATTTTTATTCCTTGTGTTAAATGTAGGTACCTGGTAGACATAGACAGTAAGTGTTTGGGACTGAACCTGTCCTTTTGTTGTATCTTCTCACATGCTAACTTCAGCGTGAGGCATCTCTGCACTTTCTTCTGTGCTCCATTGGGGAAATAATTCCAACAATTGACTTTTTGGAAGCAGTTATAAGAGCAAGTGGAAATGTTAGAGGGGTGGAAGAGCTGGGAGAATGTTTAAACAAAATGGTAGCCACCAGGACTTAGAAGAGTGTATTTCCTAAACTTGCCATTCAGAAAACCAACAGAAACAAGGAGAGTGATAAGCCTGGGAGGAGAGGCAGAAAGGATAGTCAGGATGTGGGGCACAGTGGGAGACGGCCTGAGTGACACTGAGTAGTCACCTGCTTTGAAGAGCCCCCGCATACCTGGCTCTCCTGGTGGGCTTTGAAAGGGAACACAGTTATACAGCAGGAGCCAAATAAAGGATATTTGTCCAGGGTGGTGCTCCTGCCTGGCCCTCCAGCTTCTTTTCAGAGCAGTTACATAGCGTGAGCTGCAGACTTCCCTAGCTGTGAATGGGTAATTTGTTAAATTCCATATGCATATAGAGCTGCTGGCATCATGCTTGGCATATTTCATAATGCTGAAAATAGCAGGAGTGGCAGCGGCAGCAGTAGTAGTATCAGATGTTCGTCTGAGCACTAACAGTACTCATGCATGTGTTGTTTTTGCTGTGTTGATCCTTTTAGGGTGGTCCATATCATGACATGTTGCACAGTATTTTGGGCGCTTATACTTGTTACCGGCCAGATGTGGGTTATGTAAGTGAAGTTTCTCAGTATTTTATAATGTTGTTATCTAAAAAGAAAGTCAGATATTGTCCAGCACGTGTTAGCTGCAAATGTCATGCCAGTGCCTTCGTTTTTGCCGAGGAGTATGAAAAGTCTCGTGGTAAGTGAGTTAAGTGAGTTGACTCAGGTTCCTCTTAAAGAAATTGAGCTGTCGTGGCTGCTCTGGGGCATTAATCACATTTTAATCGAATGCAATTTTCATTTTTGGCATGTGACTTTTTTCCAACATTAAATCAAAGAAACCTTAACCACGTTAAAAGCAGCAACCATTAAAAAGCACTGCTGATACTTCTGTGGCTTCGCGGATGTGTGTGCGCATGCATGGTTTGATATTAAGCTTATTGAGATAGATAACACAAGTCTACGGCACCGGGACACTGGACATAGGAAAGAGCAGTATTTCAGATGCTCTGGGCCTAAGAGGGCTGGTTTAGGGTTTTCCATTTGCGGGGTGGGAGCAGGGGTGGGAACTGAAGGAGAGCAGGCCGGGTGGCTGGGGTGGCAGAGTGGTGGTTCTGAGTGAGGGCAGTTCAGCGTTGGGTGGCCGGAGGAGTGGGGCGGCTCTAGGGACACTTCTAGTGTGAGGGTGGTAGGTTTGTCTTTGCTAAAAATGAACACACTACGGTGACCCTGTGGCCACTGTGATTTTAACGTGCCTTTCTCTCCTCTCTCAGGTCCAGGGCATGTCCTTCATAGCAGCAGTGTTGATCTTGAACTTAGATACTGCAGATGCCTTTATTGCCTTTTCTAACCTTCTGAATAAACCCTGTCAAATGGCGTTTTTTAGAGTGGACCATGGCCTTGTGAGTATCCTCTGTGTTCGGGCCCTGGGTACTGTGTCTTTAAATGTCAAGAGTTGCTTACTCGTCTGTGTTTTCGGTGGAAAAAAAGAATACATTTTCTCTCTGTGAAGAGATGTTTAGAGTAAGCAGCACTGTAAGGTGGAGGATGATTTTGAGCAGCGTATTGCATGGAAGCTGAAAAAGACACGGTTAGTAGCCGTATGTCTGGGTTTCTTAATACGTTCTCTCAGAAAAACATTACCTGTATTTTTGAAAATGTATTCTTTTAATGAAGGAAGAAGTGTGGCTCCTGCTTAAACTTAACACACACTTGGTGTCAAAGTCACAGCTTGATGGCAGTGCCCACGTTTGGGCCTGTTGGGTAGAACATGTCGTAATCGAGCGGTGTTGCTGCTCATTGTCACCCTGCTTTGTGAAGTGTGCCCACACCCGGGAGAAAGGAGACACGCTGGAGACCATACTCCTTTATTTTTTAAAAGGCAGCCATTTGTTTAGTGGACCGCTCTAGTCTTTATGACACTGCGTAAGTGGGAGGCGGTGACAGTGGGGGGTGGTGACAGTGGGGGGTAGGGTTTACATGCCTCCCAGATAAGCCCTCTGCGCAGTTCAGGTGAGGAGATAAGGCTCAAAGTGAAGGGACTCGTTCAAGGCATGCATCTGGTAAGTGGAGGAGCTGAGATTTGAATCCGTTCTGGTTCCTAAGCCCTTGTTCTTTCTGTAGCATAGAAGTCACTCATTTAATAAGCCCATCAGGGTTTTTTTTGTTTTTTTTGTTTTGTTTTGTTTTGTTTTTTTGGCAGGGTCTTGCTCTCTCACCCAGACTGGAGTGCAATGGTGCCATCTCAGCTCACTACGACCTCCGCTTCCTGGGTTCAAGCAATTATCGTGTCTCAGCCTCCCTAGTAGCTGGGATTACAGGTGTCTGCCACCATGCCAGGCTAATTTTTTGTATTTTTAGTAGAGATGGGGTTTTGCCATGTTGGCCAGGCTGGTCTTGAACTCCTGACCTCAAGTGATCCACCTGCCTCGGCCTCCCAAATTGCTGGGATTACAGGCGTGAGCCACTGTGCCCGGCCATCACTGTCTGATTTGCTGATAATTATTACCAGTACTTCAAGACTAAAATGATCTAATACTTTAGATCATCTAGGGAGTATTTCTTCCTTGATATCTTAAGGTTTACTGAGTATGTCTTGCTCAGATAGTACATACATAAAGTATTTAAAAGCTGTTGGTTGGCCGGGCATGGTGGCTTACGCCTGTAATCCCAGCACTTTGGGAGGCCGAGGAGGGCGGATCACGAGGTCAGGAGTAACACACGAGGCCTGGCTAACACAGTGAAACCCCGTCTCTACTAAAAATACAAAATAATTAGCTGGGCGTGGTGGCAGGCGCCTGTAGTCCCAGCTAGTCGGGAGACTGAGGCAGGAGAATGGCGTGAACCTGGGAGGCAGAGCTTGCAGTGAGCCGAGATTGCGCCACTGCACTCCAGCCTGGGCGACAGAGCGAGACCCCATCTCAAAAAAAAAAAAAAAAAAAGTTGTTGGTAAATTTGGTAGCTATTACTGGGACTGTAAATTGGCACAGTCCTTTTGGAAGACAACTTGGTATTAAGTATCAATAGCTGTAAATAGCATTGGTGTGCAGTTCTGCTCATAAGAATCACTTCTAAGAAAGTCATAAATGTGGACAAAGCATTATGCACAAAGATAGTCATTACACACTTATTTACAATTGTAAATGTGAGAATAGCTGAAATGAGGTTAGGAGAATGCAGAATGGTAAATTAAAATTTGGTAAGTGATCAGTAGTGATGCTTACAAAGAGCTGCATTGTGAGAAAGTGTTCAAGATGTTAATTCAGTGTATGTAAGATAAAACGTAAACTATAGTGACTGTTGTATTTAACAATAAAAGGAAATATGCCACAGAATTACTAGTGTTTATAGTTTTTTGAATGATGGATTAATAGTGTTTATGTGTTTCCTAAGTTATCTACAGTGAGTGTTTACAGGTATGACTTTCATAATCAGGTAAAAACTTACCTTTCCAAGAAAAGTAATGGTCAGAAACAGAAAATAAATCTTGAGGAAGCGTTCTTACTCTTGAAATAACTCATTGGCACAGTATATACTGGCCTTACGTTGCTTGTGATATTAATTCCTGAAAATAATTCCTGCATGTAAATTTAATTTTATCTTTTTATAAATAAATACATGATTCCCATCTAAGTTTCTGCTGATTTTGAAGATAAGACCCCAGCTTTCTCTTTGGAAATGTGGTAGAAATTGTGCCTAGGAATCATAGCTTGTATTTTGAAGGAGAAACCATAGAGTCATAATGTTGAGTGGGGTCTTCATGACAGCAGCAGATTTTCTCCCTGGCAGCCCCGTTGAACTTAGGACTGTGTGACTCTGCTGGGGGATGTCCTGTGCGCTGGAGGATGCTAAGCAGCTTGCCAGCCTCCATATCCCCGTGCCAGCAGCACCTGCCCCCGGTTATGACGACCAGAAGTATCTTCACATTGACCAGTGTTGCCTTAGAGACCAAATCACTCCCTTTTGGGAGCCACCGTCTACAGTAGAGCCCCTCCTTCGGATGCACAGACACCAGAGTCGTGATCTGCCCCCAGGCGCCCAGCTGGTGAGCACTGGAGCAGAACTGGGCCACTATCAGACGGGTGCTGCCCCCAGTCCAGCTGGAGTTCTTTCTGCTGTCAGCACTGCTTCCCAGCTTTGTACATTTTGCTTCCTTAAAAAACCGTCCACCGTTGGAAAGCAAGTTCCATAAACTACGGGCTGTAACGCCCTCCTTTCCTCCTTTCCCTGTAGTGTTTCCCCCTCGTTGCATTCAAAGGTGTGCCTCTGTCAGCTGGAGGGGTGCTGCCGTTGACTCAGACATGAGTCGTGTAGCCCCCTGGAAGTGCCAGGGGTTGGACGAGGCATGCCTGCTTTTCCAGATACTTTTTTTTTTTTTTTTATGAGATGGAGTCTCGCTGTGTCGCCCAGGCTGGAGTGCAGTGGCGCAATCTCGGCTCACTGCAAGCTCCGCCTCCCGGGTTCACGCCATTCTCCTGCCTCAGCCTCCCGAGTAGCTGGGACTACAGGCGCCCGCCACCACGCCTGGCTAATTTTTCGTTTTCGTATTTTTAATAGAGACGGAGTTTCACCGTGTTAGCGAGGATGGTCTCGATCTCCTGACCTCATGATCCACCCGCCTCGGCCTCCCAAAGTGCTGGGATTACAGGCGTGAGCCACCGCACCCGGCCTCCAGATACTTTTACACGTTCATATATTCCTGGTTTTTAGGAAAGAGTGAGTCTGTACAGGCTCCACCTTTGCAGCGGGACAGGCACAAATTCATTCCCAGCTTCACCACCTACAAAGCTTGTGCCCTTATTTGGCAAGTTCCATAACTGCTTTGGGTTTCAGTTCCCTTTTCTATGAATTGAAGAAGATGAGGTGTAGCTATTGATGTCATTGTGAAGATTAGAAATAGTGCTTGTTTATAATTTGAATAGTACCTACAATAAGTTGCCATTCAAAGTGTATTAGTAATTACAGAAGAAGGTAATTGTTAGAGTCTAAAGATATACATATATTGACTTTTTTGTAAATTGAAAACTTGTGCAGATAGTTTCTGAGTAAATTTCATATTATCTCCCTAGATGTTGACTTATTTTGCTGCATTTGAAGTATTCTTTGAAGAAAATTTGCCGAAATTATTTGCGCATTTCAAGAAGAACAACCTAACTCCAGATATCTACCTAATTGATTGGTAAGACTGGCTTTTCCCTGTGTTTTCAGAGCATTTCTCAGCCCTTGTCTGTTCTTCACTCTCTTCTCTGCCAACTTCTTCATGGCCCGGCTGAGTCCTCATATCCTGCTTTCCAGCCTTCCCTGATGGCCCTGCCCTTGAGTTTTATTTCCATCAGTGCCTCCGCCTGGCCCTCCTGAATTCCCTCAAGGGGAGAAATGGTATCTTGGGCCTGTTTGTTTCCAAAGTGCTGTCCATTCCTTAAAGGACCCGTCCTAAGCACCCGGCCTGTGCAGGCCCTCGCTGGGTATAGAGGTGGCCTGAGGAGCAAGGGCAGCGCTTGCCTGTCAGGAGCTCCTGGCTTGTGGGAGACACGTGTGTCCATGGACACTGTCCACGTGAGATGAGTGCCGTCTTGGAAGGCAGGAGGTCCTGGACCCAGCACAGGGTTCAGAGTACATAGAGCGAAGGTGACAAGTGCATGTGCCATTCCAGAGTCAGCGGGCACTGTAGCCAGGTCTGGTGGGGTAGAGGTTGAAAGTAAAGGGCAGAGGACGGCAGGCGATGAGGTGGGGAGGCCAGGTCACGGTGGCTCTTAGACCCAAGCTCTGGAGCTTGGGCAGGATTGCGGGGCCAGGGGGAGTGGGAGAAGGCTTCTGCTGAGGATGAGGGTGGGGCAGATCCAGCGGCGAGTTTTAAGTTACCTGGAAGGCAGGAGAGCCTGGGAACAGAGAGACCAATTAAGGGGGAAAAAGCTGAAGTAGGTGGAGAGAAGGCCCCGTGGAAATATTGTGGGTATGTCAGAGAATCATGGTCAGCTCTTGACTGCGGTTGGGGAAGGGGTTTGCTGATGCCTTCAGCTGAGACCAAAGACAAAGGGAGAAGATTCGGCCAGGGCAGTTAGTGGATTTGACTTCAGATGGGTGATTTTGAGGTGCCTGCGGGACATGTGAGTACAGGCATCCTGAGACAGATACAAGGATCCTGAGAGGTCTACGCAGCAGCATTGGGCCAGGCAGGTCTTCATGCTGTGGTGAAAGGGGTTGCTGAGGATGTGGTGTGGCTGTTAGCCCAGAGAGCACCATGTTTGAGGGCCAGGTAAGAGGGCTGGGAGACCTGTGTGTGGAAGGGAGCAGCCTCTCAGATCACATGGTGGGAAGAGGGTGCCTCCGGGATCCAGCAGCCCCAGCCCAAACCCAGCTTCTCCCATTATTGCCTTGTGGTCTTGGGGAAGGCTGTGAAGCCCGGCTGAGCTCCCAGTTCCTTATCTGGAGGCCACAGTGATTCACCCCACAGGGTGCTGTAGGGTGACCGTGCGGCACCACCCGACTCATAGAAGGGGCTCCGCAGAAGTAAAGAATGTACTATTCGACCAGAAAGGCACGTTCCACTAAATCGTATGGTAAATGTCAAACCACTGTGAACAGATAGCTGGCTGGTTTGGTTTTGTTGTTGTTGCCCACTTTCTTCATCAGGGAAAAGGCCTTCTGGAAGGTAAAATTCAAGTATCATTTGAAAGGAAGCTGACCCTTAGCTAAAGCAGCCTTGTCTGTGCCCTTAAGAGTGTGCCTTTGGGATTCTTGGTTTGTTGCTTCTGTCCGAAACCCTGGACTGTTCTCACTCCACTGACCTTTGCTATGAAGGACGAGGGTTTTGGAGGTTGAATCTTGTAGCTGAAGCCACAAGGCGCTGGTGACAGGACAGTGAACATGGGGCCGTGAGTGGCGCTGGCGGGGATGCTGGGCTGGCCTGCCTGGCTATACTGGGTAGAAGTGTTTAGGGCCTGCTTTAAAGGGGACCTTTATTCAGCAAATGGTGATTTTCTTCACAGCTGTGAACACAAAGCTCCTGCACAGGCTGCCCCACCGTGTGCATTTGACTGCGAGCCCTGCCCCTCAGATTCCTGGCTGGGGCCCGCGGTGCTGGAGGACGGGAGGGGATCCAGGCAGGACCTGAGCCTTTAGCTTCTCCCTTATCTGTTTTAGGGCTTCTGATTAGTTTCTTAGGATTCTAGGCCAAAAGTCAATAGTGTCTTTCAAACTTTTCCCACCTTTACTTGCAAAAGGAAATGTGTTTTAAATTGTGACCCAATGTGTGCAGAAACTTAACACGTACGTATGCTGGGAACGGTGGTTTCATGACCCAGTACCTAACCCTGACCATGTGAAGCATTCTGAAATATTGTACTTTGTTCTATTTATTCCAAAAAATGCTGGTGATAATCTGCTTTCGTTGCCTTCGTGATCCACTGGCTGTTGTCTGGGTCATGCCTGGCAGTGTGAAAAGTACAGGCCTGGAGAATAGTGTTGTCTGCTTCTGTCCCAGCCTGAAGATGGTTGTAATCCATGTAGGGGCAAAGACAAAAGGCACCAGCGTTTTTTGACTCGAGTGCTTCTCACACATGCTGTCTTTGAACCCTTGGAACAACCTCTCCAAGCCCAGTGTAACACTTGTGTTTTATAGAGGAAAAAAACAGGCTCAGGGCGGGGTGCACTAGCTCACGCCTGTAATCCCAGCACTTTGGGAGGCCCAGGCGGGCAGATCACATGAGGTCAGGAGTTCGAGACCAACCTGGCCAATGTGGCGAAACCCCGTCTCTACTAAAATACAAAAATTGGCTGGGCATGGTGGCGCGTACCTGTAATCCCAGCTACTTAGGAGGCTGAGGCACGAGAATCATTTGAACCCAGGAGGCAGAGGTTGCAGTGAGCCGAGATCACACCACTGCACTCTAGCCTGGGTGACAGAGTGGGCCTCTCTCTCCAAAACAAACAAACAAAAAATAAAACTGAGGCTCAGAGAGGCAGAGTGCCTTGGCCAAGGTCCTGATGCCAGCCAAATGCAGAGCTGGAGTCCGGACTCAAGTCTACCCGGCTCTAGAGCTGTGCACTTTCCCTTAGAGTCCTTTCTAAGGGGGTTTGTGTGAGGCAGTGTCACCCATAAGATGGGTCCCATAGCTCAGGTTCCAGAGACAGGAATAGCATGTCGAGTGTAGAACCTGGGTTGGACTGTCAGTAATGAGCAGTGAGGCAGAGTAAATGAAAAGGAAGTGGCAAGGGTTCTTCACTGCTGAGGCCTTTGTGCTGTGAGCTGGTTGGTGCCCAGGGCCTTGTGAATGCTGTCCACTGTGCTTTGACGAGGCCTCCACAGGCCTTATTCTTGAAGTGCTGACTGTGTTCTAGAATAAGCACCAGCTAGGATACAGTCTGTTTTCGCAGTTCCAGTACAGGGCAAGGCATATAGAAAGGCATTAGTAAATATTTAAGTTGAACTAAGCACAGGAAAGCCATGTATTCATGACTTATTTCCTGAGTCAGCATTTATTGGTGGTCCGCAGTGATTCAGGCTCCTTGTTGGGTGCTGACAGTTCGGTGAAAGCTCAGATCAGAAACAGGTTGGGCAGTAGGGAGGAAGCAAAGGGGAAGAACAGACTTTACATAAGACCTGTCCTAGAAGCTGCCATTTCAGAAGCACTCGTCACTGTGGTCTTCAGTGTTCAGGAGCAGGTGTACCTATTTCTGGGCACAGAAGAAGTCACTGAGGCCCATGGTGTGAGGTCCAGGTTGGTTTGCCTTCGGGGTCTTTGCTGCTTCTGCTACATCAGACCACCTTTCCCAGAGACACGTCCACACCCATCACAGCTGGGCCTGCCTCCACATTATGGGTCTGCACTGTGCCTGGCGGGGTATAAAGCATGCTAAGTTCCAGGGCTCAGCAGCTAACTGCCTGAGCAAGAGAGCCTTCCTCCTGCTCGCGGCAGGGGCTGAGGGGCCTGTGGGTGTGGCCAGCTCAGCGTCCTGGGTGGGCTGTGTGGGTAGCCCATTAAAATGGCTACACTTTGGGTCAGAAAAATCTCCTGTCCTGCCACACTGCCTGCCCACCAAACCTGCTCCCCACCGCCCCAGCTCCACCCACTCTCTGAGGGTCCCCTCTGTCAGCTGCTGCCCCAGTGGTAAAGCTTCAAGAGTCACCTCTGTGTCCCCAGTGCCTGGCCCCATGCCTGGCTCAGTGTCCTAGGTCAAAGAATGCGTCTGTGCCTGAGGGTCACCTTCCTCGGTCCCTTTTCCAGTGCACCCTGTACGCTGCCTAACCAGTGGCTCATGAGGAGTCAGGGCTGAGGGTTCGCTGTCCTTCCAACACCGCCTTCCTGGCCGTTCTTTAATTGTGGCTTGCCACTCCTCCCGATGAGGCATGTGGATCAGAGCAGGGGCCCTTCAGCTGTCTCCGTCTTCCTACAGAGTTTTCAGTGTTTCGACTGTCAAGCATCTACATTTTGTAGGACTGACTTTAGGTCATTTCACTTCTGAAAATATTTCCCATTGCCGGCCAGTGGCAGAATTATCTAGAGGTGTGAGTGAGCTTTATAATAAATAATCTTGAGCTAACAAAAGAATCGGGGACTACATTCCATGTTATGGTTAGCGTTTCTGAAATTATGTTTAATGATCCTTGGAGATGCTGTCATTGCCTGGAGTTTCCATCTTTTTTTGTTGTTGTTGTTGTTGAGATGGAGTCTCGCACTTTCACCCAGGCTTGAGTGCAGTGGTGGATCTCGGCTCACTGCAAGCTCCGCCTCCCGGATTCACGCCATTCTCCTGCTTCAGCCTCCTGAGTAGCTGGGACTGCAGGCGCCCGCCACCACCCCCAGCTAATTTTTGTATTTTTAGTAGAGATGGGGTTTCACTGTGTTAGCCATGATGGTTTCGATCTCCTGATCTCGTGATCCTCCCAACTAGGCCACCCAAAGTGCTGGGATTACAGACGTGAGCAACCGCGCCCAGCTCGAGTTCCCATTTAAAAGGAAAGGTTCAAGGGGGAGTGACTGTTGGGAGGTTTCCGTTTCTGCTGCCTCTTGCACTTGGGTCGTCTCTGGCCTGTCAGTTCTGGGGTACAGGTTGCCCCACGAGTGCCTTAGGAGCCGGGAGCATCTTGCTGAGCACGTCTGGCTTAGGTTGGGTCTTTATGGGCATGTGGAGGAGGGAAGAGCGTCCCCTGCCTGCACTGGGGACCTGCTCGAAGGGAGGGGCAGCAGCCTGTGCATCGTTGGCACACCCTGGCCTGGCTGAAGTGGGAGCCTGCATTCTCATGCGGTGCTCATGATGTTTACTTTCATGTCTGTTGGCCCCTGCCAAGTGCTGGGACAGAAAGACTGGAACCCTGCTGGGCTCAGGTTAGGGAGGACTCTGGGGCACAGAGGTGGGTATGTGAACCCCGCTGGGCTCAGGTCAGGGAGGACTCTGGGGCACAGAGGTGGGTATGTGAACCCTGCTGGGCTCAGGTTAGGGAGGACCCTGGGGCACAGAGGTGGGTATGTGAACCCCGCTGGGCTCAGGTCAGGGAGGACTCTGGGACACAGAGGTGGGTATGTGAACCCCGCTGGGCTCAGGTTAGGGAGGACCCTGGGGCACAGAGGTGGGTATGTGAACCCCGCTGGGCTCAGGTCAGGGAGGACTCTGGGGCACAGAGGTGGGTATGTGAACCCCGCTGGGCTCAGGTCGGAGAGGACTCTGGGACACAGAGGTGGGTATGTAAACCCTGCTGGGCTCAGGTTAGGGAGGACTCTGGGGCACAGAGGTTGGTATGTGAACTCCTCTGGCCTTAGGTTGGGGAGGACTCTGGGGCACAGAGGTGGGTATGTGAACCCCACTGGGCTCAGGGTGGGGAGGACTCTGGGACACAGAGCTGGATA
Source organism: Homo sapiens (assembly GCF_000001405.40). Lineage (NCBI taxonomy): Eukaryota > Metazoa > Chordata > Mammalia > Primates > Hominidae > Homo > Homo sapiens. The sequence continues at coordinate 7,020,226 of NC_000004.12, forward strand.
TATGTCTAATTGCTTTCAGAATCAAGGTGAGCGCAGTTTATGGGTTTAACTAAGTTTGAACTGAGTCTTAAGTAACCATCTCCAACTTTTAACAAATGGGATTGTGTGTTTGGAGTTTAATGTTGCTTTATTTAAGCTTCACAAAATCTAATGAGGCTCAGTAGTAACCCTGTTCTTACCTAGCACTGTCTAATCTAACTGTTGATGTTTCTGGGAATACAGGGAGCCCTGTGGTTGGGGGAGGGGCGGAGTGCCATTCATGAGCCAGCCTGGGAGTGAGGGCGCCTCCTTAGCAGCTGGTCAGGTTGGGAAAATGGGGACACAGCTAGAAATTGGTAATGTTGGGCCTTGAAGGTCCAAGTTGCTGGTTTTGGCTTCTTAATGGGTGAGACTACCTGCTGACTTTCCCTTTTACTTTAAGCTAGATCTGCTTTTCCACAGCCTCCCTTTATTTGGTTGAGTTTTTTCTTGTTTTGTTTTGTTTTCTTTTCTTTTTGAGACGTATTGTCACTCTTTCCAGTCTGGAGTGCAGTGGTGCGATCTTGGCTCGCTGCAGCCTCCGCCTCCCAGGCTCATGCAGTTCTCCTGCCTCAGCCACCCAAGTAGGTGGAATTACAGGCACATGCCACCATGCCCAGCTAATCTCCCTTTATTTGTACTGTCCTCCTCTGTAAAATGGAAAAGACGATTGTACCTCCTCTTGGGGTTGTAACAAGGATTCAGATGAACAGTCCCTGTAAAAATGTATGAAACGAGCACTTTCTGTTGTGTGCAGCCCGGGGCCCTGATTAGTAGACAGGGCAGAGGCCAGTTCTGTTCCGTGGATGCCGTCTTCCTCCTTCACGACAGCCCTGAACTGCCCTCGTCCTTACCCCATGGTGCTTCCTTGCCTCTAGCAAGCTCAGACAAGCAGGCGGAACAGACCTGGCTAGGTAAGAATTTTCTGGAAGTTGTGAAGACACATCAGCAAAAACTGCCCCTTTCCTCCCTCACGTATCACGGGGGAAACAGATACGCAGCTTTTGTCTGGGGTCTTTTCTAAGCTGAGAGACACGTCATTTGTTTAGCGACATAGAAATATATCATTTTGGGCTGGGTGTGGTGTCTCATGTCTATAGTCCCAGCACTTTGAGAGGCTGAGGTGACAGGATCATTTTAGCCCAGGAGTTCAAGACTAGTCTGGGCAACACAGTGAGACCCTATGTCTACAAATAACTTAAAAATTAGCCGGTGTGGTGGTGTGTGCCTGTAGTCTCAGCTACTCAGGAGGCTGAGCTAGGAGGGTCACCTGAGCCCAGGAGGTCTAGGTTGCAGTGAGCCGTGATTGTGCAACTGCACTCTGGCCTGGGCGACACAGTGAGACCCTGTCTTAACAAAAAGAAAAGAGAAGAATTATGTTATTTTGCATTAGTTGAAGTTGTACTTGAAATTACTTTTTTTTTTTTTTACTTTTAAAAACATACTTTTATTTATTACTTTTAAAAAAATACCATTTTTGATCTACAACGCAATAATATGCAGTGGTCGGAGGCAAAACGTAAACATCTTTTGGGAGAGAAAAACCCTTGAATTCTGTCTTCCGACCATGGGAGGAGTACTGAGCCGTCTCTGGGAAGGCCAAGGGGCCCTTCCCGTCCTGCTTCTGTGAGCCTGAGGGCAGCAGGGGAAGGTGGACCTTGAACCAGGAGGGCCGTGTGGACAGTAGCCCCCTTGTTCCGACCGGTTCTGATCCCATGGCAGGGCTTCTTTGGGGCCAGGACAGAGCCTGGTGTCCCCCTTCAGTGGCCTGTTCACGGCTGGCTTTCAAATCTAAATGTGGTTTAAAATAAAGCCCACATTTGGAAGCTCCTGATAATGATGTGGGAGCACCTCTGAGCAGTCCCTGCTGGAGGAGAGAATGGGAGAAGAGGAGCCTCAGTTCAAGACTGTGGGGCGGGGTCTCTGCCCTTGAGGCACTTCCAGCCTGGAGCAGGGGACAGAAGTGGCTTAGGACGGTGCAGAGCTCTTGGAGTGGAGTCCAGGGGCTGGAGAGGCCATGGGGAGCCCTGACTGGGGCAGAGGGCCTGGGAGCTGCTTGCTGAGAGGCCTGCCAGAGCCTGCAAGGCCCAAAAGATGCAGGATGGTATGCGAGGCAGAGGGAAGTGTCCAGGAGTGTCAGGAGCGTCCCTTCACTGACTCAGTGTAAAGGAAGGTGAAGAATGCCAGGGCCTCATGAAGGAGGGTGCGTGCAGTGCAGCGTGAACATTTCAAGGAAACTTGGTCCAGCCTGAGGGTCAGGAAATGACCTTCCAAGAAATAGTGACACACAGCATGTGGGAAGAGCCTGCAGGGGACAGAGGCTGATGCCAGGAACAAGCCCAGAGGCCGCAGTGAGTAGCCAGGCATGGTCGCAGCACGGCGTCAGCAGTAAGCATGGCCAGGAGGTGGAAGCTCATGGGATTGGAAATGGATTTGTCTCATGGAAATGCAGAGCAGGGGGCATCGTGGGCATAGTGAATGGCATTCTGGGTCATTCCAGTGGTGACTTAATTTTATAAAGTTCATTACCTGTCTAGAGTAACTTATGGAGACTCACACATAAATCTCAGCTTAAGAATATTATGTTAAATAAAAAAAAGAACAAACTTTAGTTCTTTGGGCTTGGGGGGGTACATTGTAGAAATCTCTTTTGTTCTCTTTGCTATAAAAACTATTTGACTATATATATAAAATATGTATGGGTATAAACTATATAAAAACTGTTGTTTTGGCTGGGCGTGGTGGCTCACGCCTGTAATCCCAGCACTTTGGTAGGCTAAGGTAGGTGAATCACGAGGTCAGGAGTTCAAGACCAGCCGGGCCAAGATGGTGAAACCCCATCTTTACTAAAAATACAAAAATTAGCCGGGCATGGTCGTGGACGCCTGTAATCCCAGCTACTTGGGAGGCTGAGGCACAGAATTGCTTGAACCTGGGAGGTGGAGGTTGCAGTGAGTCGAAATCGCACCACTACTGCACTCCAGCCTGGGCGACAGAGTGAGACTCCGTCTCAAGAAAAAAACAAAACAAAACAAAAAACATTGTCGTCTTTCCCCATCCGTTTTTTTCTCAGGACTCTGCTTTTTAGCAGATGTAGGGAGAGTCTGATTTCCATGTGTGAGTGGGCACACAGAGATAGTTGTGCAGGCCGAGTGGACTCTCCTGCCCTTTCTCATAGTGTTAACAAGCATGCTCTCCAGGTACAATTGAGAATATTCTCTAGACTAAGGAAACAAAAGATCTCTTTGTTCTTTCTTGAACTGTACTTTCTAGACCAGGTGGTGAAATGGTTTTCTGGTTTTGAAACAGCAAGAAGCTCGGGCTGAAGGCTTGTGATTTTAGAATCAAGCTTCCTACCAAGCCTGCGACGGTGCTGCTGCCTCATGGTGTGTGCTGAGGCTCAGACATCAGAGCGTGGGCGTTGGAGTCAGGTTCAGAGTCTGGCTCGGGACTTACTGGTGGTGAGACCTGGGTCCGTTTAGCTGTTGTCCTGAGGCGCGGTTCTGTCAGGTGTAGTGAGATGAGAGAGCCCGTCTCCCGGGCATTTCTTGATGCATGGGGTGTCCTTCCGGAGGGGCTCGCATAGCACACAGCGCCCGGTGTGCGCCCAGCTTCTGTTGTTCCTCTAGGTGCAGGTTTTCCCTGGCATCTGGCTCTCCGTTCCCTCCTCTGAGTTGAATGAAGTCTAGATTTTTAGGCCTTCCTCGACTTTTACTGTTAGAAGGTTCTGATGAGGGACAGCCTGGAACATTCCTGCTCTCATCTAGGAGCTGTGGGCTCTGTGCAATGCACGTCCATAACTGCATGTCCTCGGGACCTGGAGGACAGGCCGCATCTAACGGAGCACCCCCCGGCCGGAGTCCACTGTGGGCAGAACCCATGCCCCTGTCACTTGTGAGCAGGTTGACCAGTGTGCGGGGTTTTCTGTGGAATCGTTATGGGAAAGTCAGGGTCACACTGTGGAAGCTTTAGTGGCCTGACCTCCTGACCGAGTCAGCCCCTCAGGCCGAGTCCAGTGCCTGCAGTTCAGGGGCTTTGTGGGCCCAGCACTTTCTCTGTGCCAGCACAGGAAATACTGAACTCCGTAAGAGAGGTCCTCCAGGAGGGGTGGAGATGTCCCCACCCAGCTGGGGATCCCCACCTGTACCGAGCACTGTCAGTGTTGGGCAGGTTTTGAGAGCCAGGAGCGTCTGGGAAGTCCTGCCGCAGACAGGGCGTTGGAATTCAGCAGAGATTGCCGGACAGGGCACTAGATGTGGAGCTAGGGTGTGCCATGATGAGCACCAGGCTGGGGACCAGGAGCCTAAGGGCACCCAGAGGAGGAAGGAGCCTCGTGCATGCTCCCAGGGCGGGGGGAACCTGTGCAGTGGCGCCAGCATTGAGCCCCATAGCCAGGAGGAGCACCTACCGTACGCTTGCTCTGTGGGTGGCGCGGCGTACAGCGGCCCCTAAGACAGGATGCCTGCCCCCACAGCGTGAGCACACAGTAGGGGCTCAGCACATATTCCTTGCAGGCAGGAGTCGTTGCTGTCAGTCATTCGGAAGCTGTGTGCTGCATGATTCTGTGCGGAAGCTGATAGTGCTGTGTCCTGAGCGATGTTAGAATTACCCTTCAGTGTGAGTGCAGGCCTGGCCCTGGCCCCAGCTGTTGCCTGAAAGTGACTAGGGGAGTGTTTTTCATGGAATCAGACTGGAATTCACTGTTCTTTCTTTGTTAGGAGAGATTCAAAATCTGAAAAATTCCAACTTTTACCCCCTAGGATCTTTACCTTATATAGTAAATCTCTGCCCCTCGACCTGGCCTGTCGTATCTGGGACGTGTTCTGTCGCGATGGGGAAGAGTTCCTGTTCCGCACGGCCCTGGGCATCCTGAAGCTGTTCGAGGACATCCTGACCAAGATGGACTTCATTCACATGGCCCAGTTCCTGACCCGGCTGCCCGAGGACCTGCCCGCCGAGGAGCTGTTTGCCTCCATCGCCACGATCCAGATGCAGAGCCGAAACAAGAAGTGGGCTCAGGTCAGCGGGCTTTGTGTTCTTGGCTTCCCACAGCGTAGCCGGCAAGTGGCGCGACTCAGGAAGGCCCCTACGTAAAGTGCTGTCTGAGGACGTAGCCCCTTTGATGGAGTCCCTGGGCTGGAACTGAGGGGGGCCGGGTGGAGACGTGGCTGTGCCACAGGGCGTCTCGGCGGGTCGCCTCCTCTTTGGGTTTCTGTCAGCTGGATGGGGTGTGGATAATGAAAGCCTTCCCACCTCCTCTGCAGTGGCATTGGGAGGGTCAGCACTTGTATCATTATAGTGCTCTTTACATGTTAGAAAGTACTTTGTAAGCCACGTACCCCCCTTTTTAAAAAAAATAATGCCAGAGACAGAAAGCAAAGTGGACCCACTTACTGAGCCCCGTGGCCATGCCCTGTGGCAGGCTTTTGTGTGTGTCCTTGAGAAGGAAGTGGGATTACCCCCCTCTTACAACAAAGGGAGGCCCAGAGAGGAGGGCGCGGGTCCCTCCTGGGTCTTCCCATGCGCTGCTGTGCCCTCTCTGGGCTGAGTGCCCCAAACAGTGGCGCGGATAGTCCGTATCCCTTGGTTTCCCTCCAGGCATCCCTCCTAGGTCCTGTCCCCAGTGGGATTGACCTGCATTTCCTGTTCCGAGTCTTTGTCATACTAAAAAGGAAAAAAAAACCAGTTTGGGTTCTTGATCCTGCATACACTCTGCATTGGTTTGAAGTCCTTGTTGATTGACGTCTATGAAGACTTTTCCTTTTCTGTACGTGCTACACCATGCCTGGGGGATTTCTTTGTTTTGAGAGAGGGTCTCGCTCTGTCATCCAGGCTGGAGTGCAGCCCCCGCCTCCCAGGCTCAGGTGACCATCCCACCTCAGCCCCCCGAAATGTCTGTTCTTGATTTAACTTTTTTTTTTTTTAATGGAAGATTTAAAATATTTACAAAACTAGAACAGCATAAAATAATGCACCCCCACACGCCTGCTCTGCAGTGTCAGTGACTGTGGAAGCGCAGCGGCTGTTGGAGCTGCCTCCCACCTCTCCCCTTCCCACCATATTGAAGCGAGTCCCAGGCACCGTGTCACCTGTTGGTGTTAGCGATCTCTGACTCATATGGGCTCTTTTAACGTAACTGCAATACCGTTACCACTCAGCTACTAACTCCTTCCTATCATCAGATATCCAGTTTTCAAATTCAGATGTCATAAATGGCTTTATAGTTGGTTGGAATCAAGATCTAAATAAAGTCCATGCCTTGTGATTGGTTGAAAGCTCTGTTAAGCCTCTGTAATATCTATGCCACGCCACTTCTCACTTTTTAGCCCTCTCTTGCTTGCCTTTATTTGTCAAAGAAAACAGGTCATTTAGGCTGGGCACAGTGGCTCACACCTGTAATCCCAGCACTTTGGGAGGCCAAGGTTGGGGGATCACTAGAGCCTAGGAGTTTGAGACCAGCCTGGGCAACATAGTGAGACCCCGTCTCTACAAAAAATACAAAAATTAGCTGGGCATGGTGACGTATATCTGTAGTTCCAGCTGCTAGGGAGGCTGAGATGGGAGGACCATTTGAGCCTGGGAGGTCAAGGCTGCACTGGGCTGTGATTGCGGCACTGTGCTTCAGCCTAGGCAACAGAGGAAGACCCTGTCTTAAAAAAACAAACAAACAAACAAAAAAAACAGGTTGGCCAGGTGCAGTGGCTCACGCCTGTAATCTCAACACTTTGAGAGGCTGAGGCAGGTGGATCACGAGGTCAGGAGTTCAAGACAAGCCTGGCCAAGATGGTGAAAACCCATCTCTACTAAAAATACAAAAATTAGCCGGGCACGTTGGCAGGCTCCTGCAATCCCAGCTACTCGGGAGGCTGAGGTAGGAGAATTGCTAGAACCTGGGTGGCAGAGGTTGCAGTGAGCCAAGATCATGCCACTGCACTCCAGCCTGGGCAATAGAGTGAGACTCCATCTCAAAAAAACCCCAAAAAAGCAGGTCATTTGTCCTGTAACATTTCCCACTGGGGGAGAGTTTTATGGCATATACATATGTCACCCCCCCCACACACATCACACACCTATACGTACACAATCACCCCACACACACAATCACCTCCACGCACACACATTGCACATCCATTCACCCCCCATCTCACACACCCACACAATCACCCCCCACACACCTACACATACACAGTCACCCCACACATAGACACGCACAGATCACCCCCACGCACACTCATTGCACACCCACAGTCACACCCCTACACCTCACACCCAGTCACCCCACACACACATCACATACACAATCACCACACACCACAATCACCCGACACGCACATCACACACCCACCCACGCATACAATTACCCTACACAGTCACATCCACACACAATCACCCCACACACATCACACACCCCCACAATCACCCCACACAATCACACACCCACACAAAATCACCCCCCACACATCACACAACCACACACAATCACCCCCCACACATCACACACCCACATACACAATCACCCCACACACATCACACATCCATACACAATCACCCCCTACACATATCACACACCCTTAAATACACAGTCACCCCACACAGGCATACCCACACACACACAGATCACCCCCATGCACACACATTGCACACCCAGTCACCCACAATCACACACATACACAATCACCCCACACAGTTACCCACACGCACAGATCACCCCCCACACACACATTGCCCACCCCCCCACACATAGATCACCACTTACACATCACCCCACACACACCCACACATACATGCACACATCACACACCTACACATTGCATACCCACACACACACCTACAGATCACCCCCCACATACACCTATCACAGCCCCACACACACGTCACCCCACACATCACACCCACACGTACACATTACACACCCACACACCTCACATGCACATACACACCCACGTACAGGTGCAGGTCAGTCCCTGCGCATCCACATACTGCACACCCACATACACAGGAAAGGATTAAACCCAGATCAGCCATTTTGATCCTTGCATATTTTAGGGACTAGGTAAAAACTATTGGTTAAAACTGGGTCAGATTATTTGACCGTAGGACATTGTTATTAATGGGATGGTGATAGGAGTTAGTCTGATGATGGGGGTGGGGGGCTTGGGCATCAGTGACGTGCTGTCAGTTTTTTGTTTGTTTTTTTTTTGAGACGGAGTCTCCACCCTGTTGCCCAGGCTGGAGTGCAGTGGCGCAATCTTGGCTCACTGCAACCTCTGCCTCCCGGGTTCAAGCGATTCTCTTGCCTCAGCCTCCCGAGTAGCTGGGATTACAGGCGCCCGCCTCCATGCCCAGCTAATTTTTGTATTTTTAGTAGAGACGGGGTTTCACCACGTTGACCAGGCTGGTCTCAAATTCCTGACCTCGCGATCCACCTACCTCAGCCTCCCAAAGTGCTGGGATTATAGGCGTGAGCCACCACACCTGGTCCAGGCATCAGTAACTTTTATACAGTTCAGGTCTCATGGGACTTGTGGTCCATGCACATTTCTCTCAAATCCTGTGCTTAAGGTTAAGACACTGGTGAGCTTTCTTTTTCTTTTTCCTTCTTTTTTTTTTTGAGACAGAGTCTCACTCTCATTGCCGAGACTGGAGTGCAGTGGTGCGATCACAGCTCACTGCAGCCTGAACCTCCGGGGCTCAAGCAATTCTTCCACCTCAATCTCCCAAGTAGCTGGGACTGCAGGCATGTGCCATGATACCCAGCCAATATTTGTTTGTTTTTGTAGAGATTTGTTTGCTTTTTTGTTGCTGAGGTTGGTCTCAAACTCCTGGGCCCAAGTGATCTTCCTCCCTTGGCCTCCCAAAGTGCTGGGATTGCAGGCATGAGCCACCACGCCCAGCCATGAGCTTTTTCAAAATGACTAAATGTTTATGTTGAGCCAGCAACCCCATTTACTTCAAGATGCAGGGGGACTTTATCTGCCATTATTCCTTTTCTGCACCTTAATTGAAACCAAAATGCTTTTACTTTTAAATTTGTGACTCAAAGTGGCATGGTTCCTGGCCCCAGGCAGGTAGCACTGTGTTACCAAGATTCTCTTGGTTTCACCCTTGGACTTTGAGCACGTCACTTCCGTACATGTCTGTTGTTCAGGCCCCTCATGTTGGGGCATTAGCCTTCCAGAGTTTGTCGCGTGGGCTAAGCGGGTGCTGGGCGCGAAGCGCTGGCAGAGTTCTCTGCTTGGCGTGGAGCCTGTTAGTGTTGCTGCAATTGCTAAGCAGCCACAATGGCGTGGAATATCTTTTAAAAGAAGGGTGTTGGCCTGGCATGGTGGCTCAAGCACTTTGGGAGGCCAAGGCGGGCGTATCATGAGGTCAGGAGTTCGAGACCATTCTGGCCAATACGGTGAAACCCTGTCTGTACTAAAAATACAAAAATTAGCCAGGCGTGGTGGCACACCTCTGTATTCCCAGCTACTCAGGAGGCTGAGGCAGAAGAATCTCTTGAACCCGGGGGTCAGAGATTACAGTGAGCCGAGATGGCGCCACTCCACTCCAGCCTGGGTGACAGAGCGAGACTCCATCTCAAAAAGAAGAAAAAGAAGGATGTTGACCAAGAACTGTGAGAACAGAGGAGGGAGCAGGCTCTGGGTGAGCTCAGGAAGGCAGGCAAGAGGAACCAGTGCCTTGAGGCCTTCTCAGGTGGCAGGCTTCCTGGTGGAGGAGGAACAGGGTGGCAGGAGTGCAGCGGGATGGGCACAGGGCTTATTAGCATCCTAGCGTTCAGGCCTGGGCTTCCTGGGTGGCCACTGCAGGACCCCAGTGAGGCCCCCAGCTGTGCTTTGACGTGGATTCTGTGGCCGGCTGGAAGGAGTGCAGCTAGCTCACCAGGCCAGAGAGGGCACGGGCAGGTGTCCATGTTGGAAAGACCACGAAGGACGTAGGAGTGGAAGACCCTGGAGGGTTGGAGGCAGTGGAAGTGGGGAGCCGGGGGACCCTGTTAGGAGGCTACTGCTGTCTCTGCTTCGCTGCTGTCAGGATCTGTGTGCGTGGTCACTTAACCTCAGCTGTCTTCCCTGTGACTTCTAGGTACTGACTGCATTGCAGAAAGACAGCCGGGAAATGGAGAAGGGAAGTCCGTCCCTCCGACACTGAGGCTGCAGCGGGAATTCGCACTCGGCACCAATCAGAGCCCCATGCCGCGGCCCCTCTGTTGTTTCAGACTGACACCCGGGCAGCCGAGAAGAACAGACGCTCTTTAAGTTTGATTCCTAACACTGGAGTTGGCCTTAAACAAAACAAACACAAAAACTTTTAAAGAATTAAACCAAGGCTTAGCCTTAAGCAGCTCAGTGGAAGGATGAGCTGCTGCGGACCACAGCCAGCCACTGCATCTGCTGCACAGTTGAACGATGGGCAGTGGCTCACCCCCACTCCTTTATTTCAGCAAAAGCTAATTAAATTGTAATGTTTCTATGTCAACTACTGGGAAGTATGTTACAGTCTTAGCCAGGATGCATGAGAGATGTTATTTGGGAGACTTGAGATGCTTTGGCTGATATTTACATGTTTTCGATAAGAAAGGGATCGCTGATTGAGTTATTGAGATAGTTTTTCCAGAGCTGGAGGTCACGTTTCTAAAACTCACCTACGAAAGATAGCATTAAAGGAACAGGGGCTCTCTGAGGATGGCCACTGATGTGTGTTTGTGGATACCTGGGCATCGACCCAGCCTGCAGGTGAGCTCTGGGCCATGTTGCCTTGACACAGTCACAGTGTAGAGGCTGCAGGTGCACACGTGGGCTCCAGTGGGACTGCGCTCTGGGAGACTGCTCCCTGGCATCGGTCCTGCGGAGGTGGAAAGTTCGAGAGGAGGAGCTATTTGCGAGGAAGCCCTGTGGCAATAGAGATAGGCTTAAAAGCGGAGAGAACACAGAGTGGAATCAGCCCCCTGTAAGTAAAAGGGTAGAGAAAGAGATGTGTGGCTGGGCCCTCTCCCACCTGCCTGTTCAGTGGAGGCCAGGGCAGCAGCCCAGAACAGCACATGTGGGGGAGGTGGCCCCTTGTGCCAGCAGTGGCTCCTCTCTGCCTTTGAGCCCTGCACAGCTGGACCCATCCTAAGTGCCAGTGAGTCCCTCACACATTTGACTTTAGAACGTGTGCTTCATGACCCGTTGTACAGACGGAGGAGCGAGCAACACACGTCTAACAGCCTAGACAATCTCGTCAGATGCTCATACTGGACCATCAGCCTCCCCATTTTAGCTGACTTTCCCAGGGTCGTTGGCAAATTTTTTGTTCTGTCTTTTCCTTGACTAATTGTAGAACTTTGTGTGAGGACTTTGGTTATCCAAAATCACAGAAATGAACCGTTTTGCAGCTGCGCAGTCTAAAGGGCAGGCCAGTGTCTGGAAGCAGGGCCCACGTGGCGGTCCGCTGGCAGGCTGGTCCTGGGGAGCATTCTGCGGACCCGGTCACGGGCTTGGTTAGTCATGCGTACATGTGTGCCTTGGGGTGCTCTGCACTCCACGGCCCTTCTCAGCCACACTTCCCACCCCAGGGGGTGCCCCCAGGCTGATCTCATTTCTGATGTTGAGGGCTGTTTGGCTCTGTCTGTATAGCTTGTAACAGGAGCCTTGGGCTAGGGGCTGGGGAAGGAAAGCCGAGCTGGCATTCGTTCTCTGGACTTTTTATGCCTGCCATACCCGCTAATGCTCCTCGAGGTGCAGGAGCAGGTTGCTGAGCCAGTGGCTGCCCCGTGCCCTCCTTCCCAGCACTATCATGTGTCACGTTTCCCGGACTCTGCCCCTACATCTCAGCTGAATCTCCAGGGAGGCTGCAGAGCATCGTGGAGACCACTTTCTGCCTCGGCCTTTAAATGCTGACTCACCTCCTCTCGGAGGAGGCGTCCTGTCTTCACGGGGGGGTCCCGGTGGCCTCCAGACGTAGCCATTTCCTGACATCAAGATGTTGAATGTAATCTGGTCTGAGCTGGGCCTGTGGGAGGGGCCGCCTGAGGCCTGTGCGCTGTTGTCCTCGCAGATGTACTTATTTTTGTTCATGTTACGGGCGTTCCGTTCCTTAAAGATGTATATATTTTCTTACTGTACATAAAGATGTTCCTTAAGTCGTACAGAAGGTGGCGCGGCAAAGGGCCTCGTGCAGTGTGTTCAGATTGCCCCTGGGGATCTTCTGTGTCTTCAGCGCCCAGCCCTGCGTGTTCCTGGTGAAGCAGTTTCACATCAGTCTCTCCAGATAGCACTACGATGTATTCCGCTTCTGAACAGGATCCCATGCCAGTGTGGAACACCTTCCCAATCTTAGTTCAGAAGTGGCTTGTATGACCTGTTCAGGGGTCACATGAGGTCTCGCCAGTTTCCTGGGTCCTCTTCAGAGGCCAGAAAGTTCTAAGTTCTGAGTCCCCGGCCAGGGTCCCTTAACACCTCGGCACAGAGGCTGTTGGCAAGTGTAGAGGCTGCCTCTGTGTGTGGTTTAAGTAAACTGGAAATGAGACATTGACGTGCTGCTCCTCCAGAGGTCTGCACACTCCACTTCACATGCCGTTGACTCTCACAGTCTAAGACTTCAGGGCCGGGACCTTTGTCCAGCCTGCACAGTAGAGTGAGGCTGCCTCTCCCGCCAGGCATTGGGATCCCATTTAGAAACGGCATTCACTTCAGAAGGTACTTTTTAACTGCTCAGTTTTTGACTATTTTAAATAGTTTGCTGAAAACTCCTGATAACACTTGCTACATATCATGTTTTAATTGCTTGTACAGTTAACCTTTAATTTTATTTAGTAAAGTGTATCAAAGTAGGACTTTTTTGAATTGTAAATAGGTGGTTTTATTAAATAAAAGTCAATGTAAAATTGTTACTTATGTTCACCATCGTTTGTTTAAAGTTGAAGTTCTCACTTTGAGCATGATGCTGTTTGAATATCTTAAGATCCATTTATCAGACTGGTTAATAACAGGATGGTGCAGTGGTAGTTGAGTGAAGGGATTCGAGAGTTGAGTGTGCCCCTTGCAGGTTGGAGGGAGTCGCACCCTTGTACCCCCTCTCGAGCTAGCCCCTACCCACTGCTCCTTCCTGGTCCTGCAGCACCCTTCCTGGCGTGCAGCTGGTGCTTACTCTGTGCCAGCCACAGGACCAGGGGCTCTCCATGTTCCCTTCAGAACCTTCTCAGAAGCCCATGAATCAGGCACTGAGGTCTGTCTCCCCAGCAGGCAGTGGGGTGGCATGAGGTGGGGGTCAGTGGTGTCTTCTCAGGAGGCCGTGGCTGTGTGGTGGAAGGCTCCGCGAAGCCACTGAGAACTGGGTAACACAGGGCCCGCCGTGTGGGTGGGCATCGCTCCGCTTCCCGAGGCAGGAGGCTCCCGGCTGGCGGGGCAGAACCTAGGGCAGCTTTCTCTTCTGGCCCCTTGCTCCCAGGACAATCCTTCTGTGTGCTCCATAGCACTCTCCCCAGAGCAGGTGCGGCTGCCCGCTCTCCCGCCTCTCCCTCAGTGGCTGCTCTCCTCTGTGGGCCACTGTTATCTCCTATGCGTTCTCTGCAGGCCATGGTGAGAGGACGGGCCACAGGCGTGATGGTGGCAGCAGTCACAGCCACGCCAGGCGCTGGGCCGAGTGCTGCCTGTGAGTCATCTCTGCAGCTGCTCTGCGGATGACAGGGCTATTGCCCCATTTCAAAGATGAGACACGGCCGGGCGGGGTGGCTCACGCCTGTAATCCCAGCACTTTGGGAGGCTGAGGCGGGTGGATCACGAGGTCAAGACATAAAGACCTTCCTGGCCAACATGGTGAAACCCTGTTTCTGCCAAAAAAAAAAAAAAAAAAATTAGCTGGGTGTAGTGGCACATGCCTGTAATCCCAGCCACTCAGGAGGCTGAGGCAGAATTGCTTGAACCCGGGAGGCGGAAGTTGGAGATCGCACCACTCCACTCTAGCCTGGCAACAGAGCGATACTCAGTCTCAAAAAAAAAAAAAAAATATGAGACGCAGGGAAGGATGTGCGTAGACGCGGACAGTGGTCAGAACTGGGTTTCAGACTCCAGCCTTGTGAATGACTCCCAAGCCCTTGTCAGAAACACCCTCTAGGGGAGGGGGCCTTTGCGAGCCTTGTTCTTGTAGGGCTGACCTCAACTCCAAGTGCAAGGTCTGGGGTGGAGCCTGGACTTACTTATTTGAGCGCCTCCTGTGTGCAGGCACCACCTGCAGAGGAAGAGATGGGGCCAATGGGGCTCATGGGCCAAGCACGGGCTGTGGTGGCAGGAGCCGTGGGATGTCTGCCCCAGAGGTAGCAGAGGTGCAAACATGAAAGGGGCCGGGATGCTTTCCTGAGTGCTGCAGCCCAGGGGAGAGGGGCTGATAGTTTACAAACCACCCCCGAGACGTGGAGCCTGCCAGGCAGGAAGGCACAAAGAGAACGGAACGCTGCACCAGTGCGGTGTGGAGAGGCAGTGTGGACCTTGAGACCAGCTGTGGGTCACCGGGGAGCCAAGGGAAGGGGCTGGCCAGCAGAGGGAAGCCTCAGAGCCAAGGGCCAGTCCTCAGATGGGTCCGTGTTAGGACGCGGAGGGGCTTGCAGGGTTCCCAGGGAAACCAGTGGATCTGCTTTGTGTGGTACAAACACAAAGCTCAAATATTTGCTCATATGACTCAGGCCCTTGCCTGCCTACCAGGAACCTGGCCACGAACTAGAGTGGCCAGATAGGTCTTTCAGGCCCAGAGTGCTGGCCTGCCCCATGGGCTCCCGCGAGCATCGCCTGCAGCCAGCCTGCTCTGGCAGCACCGGCCAGGGCCACACCAAGGCACTGTTTCCCGAGACTTGCTGCCAAAGCCCCATTTTCCAGGATGCCTGAGCTGCCTGGGGTTCTATGTGGAGTGAGGGGAACTGCCTTCTCCCTAAGCATTACAACAAAAGGACTTACTTGTCAACTCAGAAGCATCACTCTGGACTCCAGAACCTCACAAAGTTTATCCTCAAACGTTGTTCCTCCAGCTTCTTGCCCTGCTCTGGAGCTGCTGGTAGAAACTGCTCCAACCAAAAATAAATCCAAGTTTAAGGTGCAGTCTGGCCACAGGTTAAGACAGGGCCCTGGAGATAAATCTCATAACCAATCATTGCCATTTAGGAACTCTGTGACTTTGGGGAATTTTCTTGAATTCCCTAAGCCTCATTTTTCTTTTCTGTTACCAAAGGTTAAAAAGAGTACCCAGCCCTGTCCACTGGCTTATGAAGATCAAACAAAAATAAGCTGAACTACTAATTATATTTTTAAAAAACACCCACAGAAACGTTGCCATGGGTTGGTAGACTCATGCCCTTCACATGGAAACCGTTAGTATCTTATACTCTTGAACTTAAGAATTTTTTTTAATTTGGGATTTTCCTCCTAAATTAAGTACGTTTACTATATAAAATTTGGAAATTCAGAAAAGCATGAAGACAGTTGTTTTTAATTGTACCACCTAGAGAAAAGATACTGTTTTTAAATTCTGATCTTTTTTTCCTATAAGTAAAATTTTCCCATTTTACAAATGAATACATTGAGGCTTAGAAAGCTGAAGTATTTTGTCCCAGGTCCCAGTCAGAAGAGAGCTGAATCCAGCTCAGCCTGATTCCAAGGTCTTAGGAACAAGCTGTGTCTTCTCCTAGACAGATCCTCGTATTCACCCTTGGCATCCTGTGGGTGAAATGTTAGAATACATCGTCAATTTAAAAATTAGGGAGGGTGTAATTTTATTCATTAAAATATGTACATATTTAGCCGGGTGCAGTTTCTCACGCCTGTAATCCCAGCACTTTGGGAGGCTGAGGTGGGCAGATCACCTGAGGTCAGGAGTTTGAGGCCAACCTGGCTGACATGGTGAAATCCCGTCTCTACTAAAAATACAAAAATTAGCCAGGCATGGTGGTGGGTGCCTGTAATCCCAGCTACTTGGGAGGCTGAGGCAGGAGAATCGCTTTAACCCGGGAGGCAGAGGTTGCAGTGAGTGGAGATCATGCCACTGCACTCCAGCCTGGGTGACAGAGTGAGACTCTGTCTCAAAAAAAAAAAAAAAAAATTGAAATTCAATGTAAAATAAAATATGTACATATTTAATCATTGGTGATTTAAAAGTAGACAGTCCTCTGGAGGGAATATTGCATGGAAGTAGGAGGCATGCAGTCAGTTGAAATGGCCTCCTGCAGCCCTTTCCATTCATAGCATTTGTACGATTCATCACTCTGACATTAAGACTATCTGAAAGTTCAAAGCACAAAAAGCACCAAATTGAGGTGCAATAACTCTGATATTTCATGGACAGGCACCCCATGCCAGTGGAGAACAAAATCTAAATTATGACTACAGATGAACTTATTATAAAGGAAGAAAGCATATATCTCTACTTAGATAAATTTTAAATCTCAAATGTGTTAAGTCAGCAAAAATGATTTTCATTTACCGATGAAAAAGTGTTTCCTTGGCCGGGCGCGGTGGCTCATGCCTGTAATCCCAGCACTTTAGGAGGCCGAGGCGGGCGGATCACGAGGTCAGGAGTTCGAGACCAGTCTGGCCAACATAGTGAAACCCTGTCTCTACTAAAAATACACAAAAAATTAGCCGGGTGTGGTGGTGTGCTCCTGTAATCCCAGCTACTCAGGAGGCTGAGGCCGGAGAATCGTGTGAACCTGGGAGACGGAGGTTGCAGTGAGCCAAGATCGTGCCACTGCACTCCAGCCCGGGTGACAGAATAAGACTCTGTCTCAAAAAAAAAAAAAGTGTTTTCTTTTCAGATGCCTCAGGCTCTGTCAAATTAGGTGTCTGGTTTACTCTTGCTACTGCTGCTGAAAAAGAGAAAGCTTCCTGTAACACTGAAGGGGACAGACCTCAGTGTCTCAGTTTTGATTCATACCTATTTTTTCAAGAAAGGTCTAATTTTATATAACACCTCACTCAAAATGTATTCAGTGCCAACGTTTTCTGGGTCCTCTACTTTTTGACGAGGAGATGACAGTCTTTTAAAAAATCATCATGTCTCAGAGGTTTCTAGCCCAGCTGCTGCATTTGGAGCAGCTGCATTCCCTGCTGGCATGAACAACTCTCTTTACCTGTAGTGTCTTCCTACTTTGACTACAAGTCTGCCATTCTGCTATTTTCCTTAACTGGTTCTATGTCTTGCGAGATCCTCTTTTTGCCTGGAATTATTTTTGAATCCAACACAGGACTTACCAGTGCCCGACACGTGATAGGCATTCAAGTAATACTTATTTTCAGAAAACGAGTGAGATGGGCATTATATTAATGTATTAATCCAACGCATTTACTGATTACCATTTATATGCCAGGTACTGTGCTGGCCACTAGGGAGGGTGATGAACCAACAGTCTTTGACTTCCAGGGACTTTGTCTCACTGGGGAACAGGTACCTAAGTGCACCATCACTAAGCAGGAGATCAAAGGCTGAGATGGGGCCGCACACAGGCTTCTGTGGAGGCACTAACAGCTCTTCAATGAGACTTTGGGGATAGACTGCGTTAGGGTCTGTAGAATTCTTCAGAAGTCATTATCAATTTGTGAGTGTGTTGCTATTTCATGATTAAGCACTCTCCTAGAATTGGAAAGAACTGTGGTGGGAGATAATTAGCAGAAGATTACCTTCTAATTAATTGTAACATCTCCAGCATAAGGTACTATAATTTGAGAGAACATTGGTAACTCACTATACAGTCACTTAGGACAGGTTTGCTTTGCACCTTAAAGCCATGGCAGACTCCTTTGTATCTTTGTGCTCTGAGAGATCTGCTTGTTACTGGGTTCAAGTCTGGTGAGGGAGTGTTTGCTTGGATCTGGATAATTGCTGGTGGGTGAAAACCAGCTGAAAATACCTATTCTCCCTGTAGCAAACCAAAGAGATAAAGGACGCCATTATCACGAAAGCCACATGCCTGGTCAGGTCTCGGAGCATCATTGCCAGTTCCACTTGAGGCCTCCCCAACTACAGAAGAACCCAGTGGGCCTGTCCTGCTTTTAGTTTGAGGCACACAGGAAGTTCTGTTCGCCAGTGATTTGCTTTGGCTTTGAAGAAAAGCGTAGAGGGAAGACTAAAATGTTGATGAATAAGTGAGTGAGAATGGAAGCCAGAAGTCAAAGCTTTTGGAGACAGGATCTCACTATTACCCAGTTTGGAATACAGTGGCACGATCACTACTCACAGCGGCCTCCACCCCCTGGGCTCAACTGATCCTCCCACCTCAGCCTCAGCCTCCTGAGGCACTGAGACCACAGGCATGTACCACCACACCCGGCTAATCTTTTTGTATTTTTATAGAGATAGGGTTTTGTGATGTTTCCCAGGCTGGTTTCAAACTCCTGGGCTCAAGTGGTCCACCTGCCTTGACCTCCCAACATGTTGGGATTACAGGTGTGAGCCATGGCGACCGGCCTAAAGCTTTTTAACTCATTACTACTTTTGAGTGGTTTGATTTAAAAAAGTGTATTCGAGCCATGAAAGTTAGAAAAGGAATTTTAATCAACCTTCATTGGCTTCCAAGGGAGCACACTTTACAAAACAAAATCATGGCCGGGCGTGGTGGCTCATGCCTGTAAATCCCAGCACTTTGGGAGGCCGAGGCGGCCGGATCATGAGGTCAGGAGTTTGAGACCAGCCTGGCCAATATGGTGAAACCCCGTTTCTACTAAAAAATACAAAAAATTAGCCAGATGTGCTGGCGGGCGCCTGTAATCCCAGCTACTCGGGAGGCTAAGCCAGGAGAATCGCTTGAACCCGGGAGGTGGAGGTGGCAGTGAGCTGAGATCATGCCACGGCACTCTCCAGCCTGGGAGACAGAGTGAGACTCCGTCTCAAAAAAAAAAAAAAAAAAAGAAAAAAAACACAAAATCATGGCATCCAAAGATAACGTTCACAACCAAGTCCCCTGCCCAGAGTTGGGTTCCCACCGTTCTTCAGAGGTAGCCAGCACCAAAAACCGTGTTGCATTTTTTTATGATTCACTTAAGTGTAGGAGTGGGAGAATATGTTTAACCCCAAATCTGCACATCTCAAAATTCAATCTAGGATTAAGAAGAAATGAAAACAAGCCCCTAGCTCCAAGATAATCACTGATATTGCATTAAGGAAACAGACCTACCAGGTATTTTTGACACAAGGAATAAGGGGCATTTTACTATTTGATACTCAATGAACTCGTGTATAGCAAGGGCCCTGTTGTCGAGATCTGAAATAGACTGATACAGAAGGCTCTGTCTCCTGTGATGCCAGCAGCCACCGTGTAATATATTTTACACCTTGCAAAGCATGCAATACAACTGTCATTTTGTTTTCACTGGAAAACAAAATTTCAGTTTTTTTTTTTTTTTTTGAGACGGAGTCTCGCTCTTTCGCCCAAGCTGGACTGCAGTGGCACTATCTTGGCTCACTGCAAGCTCCGCCTCCCGGGTTCACGCCATTCTCCTGCCTCAGCCTCTCGAGTAGCTGGGACTACAGGCGCCCGCTACCACGCCCGGCTAATTTTTTTTTTTGTATTTTTAGTAGAGACGGGGTTTCACCGTGTTAGCCAGGATGGTCTCGACCTCCTGACCTCGTGATCCACCCGCCTCGGCCTCCCAAAGTGCTGGGATTTACAGGCGTGAGCCGCCGCGCCCGGGCCAAAATTTCATTTTTTGGTACAGATTAATGCATTTCTTCAGAGGATCCAAGAACATGTTTCATTAGACTTGAACACTGTCAGGCCAGGCACGGTGGCTCACGCCTGTAATCCCAGCACTTTGGGAGGCCGAGGCAGGTGTATCACTTGAGGCCAGGAGTTCGAGACCAGCCTGGCCAACATGGTGAAACCTCATCTCTACTAAAAATACAAAAATTAGTTGGGCATGGTGGCCTGTGCCTGTAATCCCCGCCACCTAGGAGGTTAAGGCGGGAGAATCGCTTGAACCCGGGAGGTGGAGGTTGCAGTGAGCCGAGATCCTGTCACTGCACTCCAGCCAGGGAGACAGAGACCCTGTCCCAAGGAAAATAATAATAATAATAATAATAATAATAATAATAATAATAATAATAATAATTGAAGACTGTCATTGAAGCAGAAACAACCATCAACAGTGAGTAGACTGAACTCCCTTTCATTGAAAAAGGGACGATGAAGAAACATCAGCTCCTCTCCTGTTTATCATCTCTCCTGTTTCCTGGATATTTTTATTGCCCCCTAAGCTCGTGCTAGTCACATATAAAAAAAATTTTTTTTTGAGACAAGAGTCTCGCTCTGTCGCCCAGGCTGGAGTGCAGTGGTGCGATCTCAGCTCACTGCAAGCTCTGCCTCCAGGGTTCACACCATTCTCCTGCCCCAGCCTCCCGAGTAGCTGGGACTACAGGCGCCCGCCACCAGGTCTGGCTAATTTTTTGTATTTTTAGTAGAGATGGGGTTTCACCGTGTTAGCCAGGATGGTCTCGATCTCCTGACCTCACGATCTGCCCACCTCGGCCTCCCAAAATGCTGGGATTATAGAGGTGAGCCACCTAGCCCGGCCCAAAATCACTTAAATTTAAGATTAATCTAAGGGGATTAGTGAGCTTCTAACTGAAACAGTGTCTCGGGACTACATAATTTAATAAATCCAAAGAATTTAATAATTAGCTTAATGCACAGGGTTTTTTTGTACCTTGCCCATTCGCTGAACTTTTAAACCCTCCTACATATGAAAGAGGAACAGTACTCTTTAGTATTACATCACTGAAATTATAGAATTGCTCAGACTTGAGACTTTTGACAGTTTTTCATGAGAAGTCAGTTACATTAAATCACCCTTTGTTTGCTTTTCTGGACCTATTTTTGCTCAATCCCAGATAAAACTCCTAACCCAGGTTTGGGCTCAGCACTGATTTGGAAGCTAAAACGTTTTGAGATAAATACAAAATAGAGTCCCGTCCCAAATGACACAGGCCTTTTTAATAGCAACGAAGGTAAAATAAAGCAGGACAGCACGTCCTGAGGATGAAGTGTTTTGCAGACTCTTCTCATCGATCTGGTCAAGAAGGGAGAAAGGCTTTGGCCTCCCTGATCTTCTGCCTCACGCCTCTGCAGGACAAAGTGAGGCTAGCGTGGTGGCGCTTCAGGGATTCCAGGCGCCGGTGAAGCAGTTCGGTCTTGTCCACCTTTTCTTCCAAGTCCCGAAGAAGTGAGTCCTTGCCTAGAAGGCCGCACTTCTGATTCAGTCTGATGTTGTCCGTCCGCAGCCCCTCTCGGGCTTGCTTCGTCTTGGTCAGGATGTCTCTTCCTAGGGCGGCCTGGGCCTCGATTTCTGCCAGCTGTGTCTTTTTGCACGCGTTCTCCATGTCCATGAAGTGCAGCTTTTCCTTCACGTGGGTTATTACTTGCACACTGTTGGTCACCTTGCTGCGAAGTTTTAAAAGTTCCTCATTTCGTTCCTCAATTTTCTCATTGAAGGTTTGGTTCTCAATCTTCAGCTGTTCAAAGTCAATAAGAAGCAGACCCTGGGTCAGGTCCTCCTGGGTCCTCATCCTGGTTTCAAAATGCACCAGGCTCTGCTTCAGCTGAATGTTCTCCAGCCGCACGGCGCTCATCTCCTTCTCCTTTTTATCCTCCAACGCCTGGATCTGCTCCACCTCTCGCAGAGCAGCCTGGCGCCCGCCCCTCATCCGACAGCTGCCCATGGCCTGCATCACCACCTGCTTCTTGAGTGCCTGGAAGCGTCGCCACTCCTTCTCCACCCTGGTGAGCTTCTCCTGGCACTGCCGCTTCAACTGGCCCAGCTCCTGGTGGTACCACTGCAGGTCGTCTGCCTGCTGCTTCTTCAGCTCCTCCAGCATGCCCAGATGGCGCAGGTACGCTTGCTCTTTCTCGGGGGCCTCGGCCTCTGCGCCCCGGTCAGCCACCTCAGCGGCCTCCAGGCCCTTCTTTCTGCGCAGCGCCTCGAAGATCTTGTGCTGCAGGTATAGGTTGTAGCGCTGGGAGCGGTTCCGCTCCACCAGCAGGGAACGGTACTGGTCCAGGAGGTCGCTGCGCAGCTGCTGCTCCTGCAGCTTCTGGACCTCCTCGGACCACTCGAGGTCCTCAAACTCGTCCCTTCCATAGAGGCGCTTCCCCTCTTCCTGGCTTTTGGCCGGGCGTCCTTCCCCATCCCTCTCCTTGCTCTCCGCGCCGTCTCTCTGCGTCTCCTCCTTGTCCTCTTCCTCCCCCTCCACCCGCTCTGTCTCGGCCTCCGGGGCTGCAGCAGCCTCTTCCTCATCGATCCTGGTCAGCGGCAGAGAGGCCTGGAACCTGACTTCCTTCCCCTCTGCCGCCTGCTCCAGTTCCTCCGCCCCCGCCTCCGCCTCTAGTTCCTCGGGCCCGGCTCCGGGCTCCGGCTGGGCGGGCTCCTCAGCCCCAACCTCGGCCGGCTCTTCGGGCTCGGGCTGGGGCTCGGCCGGCCTCCCCGGCTCTCCAGGCCCCTCCTCGCCCGCAGCCTCGGCTGCCGTTAGCCCTTTCGGGGCCTCGGCCTGCTCGTCCGCGGCGGTGCCTCCCTGCGAAGCCGCTTGCTCCTCCTCCTCCTCCTCCGGCTCCGACTCCAGCTCCCCGGGTTCGGGAGAGGTCGGAGGGCCAGAGCTGGCCTTGATCTTGGACGGCCGCGCGGCCAGGCTTTCCCCGTCTCCGCCTTCCCCGCCGGGGTCCTTAGTGTGCTCAGAGCTGACGTCCATCTCCTCCCGGCTCGGCCAGCGCAGCGGACCCCGGCAGGACGCTGTTAGGTTTCCCGGGGCAACAGAAGGCGCGCGCGCTGGGCCCGGCGATTGGCCAGGCGACAGGCCGTCGTCCAGCGCCTTCTCCCCGCTGCCCGGCGAGAGCAAGCCAATGGGAGGCCGCGAGCTGACGATAGGCGAGATTGATTGGAAGCGGCCGTGGGCTCTCGCCGCGAGGGGCGTGGCGCCCCCGCCGGGCTTTCTGCCTGCCCATTTCCCACCGCCGGGCCTGGGGCGGGGCGTTCAGGAGGCTCTGGGAAAGGCGGCGGTGGCCGGCGCGGGGGGCGCGCAGGCGCAGAGCGGCGGGCCGGGCGTCCGCAAGGTGGCGCCCGCGGGGCGCCTGCGCGATGCGGCGGGGCGACAGCTGCGGCGGCGGTGGCGGCCGGGCCGGGCCGGACGGCGCCTGCGTACTGAGGGGGGACGCGGCCCGGCTGGCTGGCTCTGGCGGCGGCTGGGCTGGGGCCGCGGTGGCGGCAGCCGCGGCGGCGGGCGGCGGTTGCTCGTGCGCGGCGGCGGCGGCGGGTCCCGCGGGCGGCGGGGCGCTGACGGCCGGGGGCGCGGCGGCTGCGGCGGGCCGGGCGGCGGGCGGCGAGCGGGGGAAGATGGCGGAGCTGGGGAAGAAGTACTGCGTGTACTGCCTGGCCGAGGTGAGCCCGCTGCGCTTCCGCTGCACCGAGTGCCAGGACATCGAGCTGTGCCCCGAGTGCTTCTCGGCCGGCGCCGAGATCGGCCACCACCG
Organism: Homo sapiens; assembly: GCF_000001405.40. Taxonomy (NCBI): domain Eukaryota; kingdom Metazoa; phylum Chordata; class Mammalia; order Primates; family Hominidae; genus Homo; species Homo sapiens. Next base: position 7,043,717 of record NC_000004.12, read on the forward strand.
CCGCTACCACGGCTACCAGCTGGTGGACGGCGGGCGCTTCACGCTCTGGGGGCCCGAGGCCGAGGGCGGCTGGACCAGTCGCGAGGAGCAGCTGCTGCTGGACGCCATCGAGCAGTTCGGCTTCGGAAACTGGGTGAGCGGCGCGACGGGGGCCGGGTCCCGGCTAGGGCACTGGAAGGCCCGCGCCTCTCCTGTAATCGGGCGCGCAGGCAGCGCTGGACCTGCTCGCTCGCTCCGCACCCCAGAAGGCCCCGGAGGTGGGGAGGGCGACGCTGCCGGTTTATAGTCGGGCACCTGTCGGAACCTATGCTCTGAGAGGCTGTGACGCGCCCAAGGTCACACAGCCGAGACGGGGCCGAGTGGGGCTTTGAACGCTGGCTTCTGACAGCAGAGCCATTTCCCTCACCTTCAGGGACGCCTTCACAGGCGTTTGCGGAGTGCAGACGTTGGGCAAGACTCGGTGCCTTACCTGAGTTCGTGGAGACAGGCAGGCCCACAGACTCGACAGAAAGCGGTGGGAGCACCAGGGAAGGAGAGCGGTGGGCGCCCTGCGGCTTGTCTCGGGGTCTCTGGGGCGGCCCCGTTTGCTTTCTGTCACTGTATGCATGTGCCCTGTGTGGTCCGCAGTGCACAGAGTCTTTTGTGGGTAGCGTGCCTGGTTTATGCTTGGGTCCCCACAACCCACGACCTTGTGCGAATGGTCAGTAAAGAATGAACAAAGAGGCCTGGCCTGGGAGGCCTGGGGCTTGGGTTTTGCTCTCTTTACCTTTGAGGTTTCTGTAGAGACAGCCCTGTGTGGGGAGCGGTGAGAGCTGGACTGGATCCACTTACGCTAGCAACATCGTGTGCTAGGTTCTGTCCTTGAGAGAGGAACATGGTTCTCTCTGGGCGGTCTCTCAGCTCTCCTTCCACTCTGGAAGCTTGCATCCGTATTAGAAAGGAGAAAATCTCTAGCCGTATTCCCGCTCATAACCACCAAAGACATGTGGCCATCCCCGGGCACCCTGAGGAGGAGGGGAGTGAGACACCCCCAGCGCCCTTAGCTTTCCAGAGTCTTCCCCTGCTACACCAGGTGCCTGCTTCTCGGAACAGCATCCATCTCGCTGCCACCTCTCCAGCAGTCCTGCCTGGGCTGCTTTGATTGCCTTTTGCTTTCCTTTCCTGAGTGAGTCTCAGGGCCGCCTCACATACTCATTCTGAAGCCCTGGAATGTTGATTCTCCTCCCAACTCCTTAGAGAAGATGCTCCTTTACAAACCCTTACCTAATGGCCACCAGCACTGGGATCTCCATTTTTCAGAAACTCCGTCCCACCTTGTCCTTCCATGCTGTTTGTGGATATGCACTGAGCATGTGTTCTGTGCGGATTCTACAGTGGCGGAGAACTCTGAAGGAAAGAGAAGGCTTTATCCCTGCATTCAGGGAGCTTAAAGTGTGGTACTGACTTGGTCCTAGGCCCAGAGCTCTTCCCTAGCACCAGCCCTCCATGTCCAGCCGCCTCCCTGGCCTACCTGCCTCTCTTAGTTCCTTGTTCCACTAAGTTCCTGATCCAATTTATCAGCTGTCTCCTCACAGTACATGCAGAACAAACCACTTCTTACAGCCGTAGTCCCGGCTGATGTTTACGTTTACTTCTTGCCTTGACCACTTTGGGAGCCTCCTTGTTCGTTATTCCCCCTCCACCCCATTCCCCTATTCCACACACCATAACCGGAGCGAGCTTTGGAAGCACAAAGCGCCTCACACCGGCCTCAGTGGCTTTTACTTCAATTAAGGCAGCTTTAGAAGTGTTGAGCAATGAGATCTCATCTGTTACCTCCCTTGATCGTTTTATATTTCTTCTACCTAGAGTGCTCTCCCTGTAAATCATGGCCCAGGATTGAGCTTTCCACTTAAATATCAGTGCCTCAGAGGGCCCTTCCCTTCACCATCCCAGCACTTACCTCTACGTTAGCTGCTAAGGAGGCGCAGAGCCTTGGTGGCATATCTGTGCGTATCTCAGGACATTTTCCCGACAGCCCTTGGCAGTTGGCTTTGGACGGACCAGTTTGACTTCAGAGCCTGTACTCTTAACTTCACTGTCTGCACTGCCTTCCCTGCGGCACTGTGGAAAATACACAGAACACAAGACCTGGGGAACAAAAACATCTATGTGGTTTTGGAAGAAACCAGGCTAGAAGTGGAGAGGCCTCTTCTAAAACAATACTTTCCGAACGAATGTGCACACAGAGCACCTGGGGAGCTGGTGAAAATGCAGATTCTGACTCAGCTGGTAGAGGAGGCAGAGCCAGGACAGGAAGAGAATGGGGCTGGGACTTGGTGCACAGCGAGCCTGGCCAGGCTGCGGTCAGGGCGTTCTCCCGTTGCACCAGCGCGAGGTTACGGTGAGGCCTGAGAGCCTGCATTGCAACCAGGACTCAGGGGGTGCACTGGCCCGTGACCACCCACCCCCCCGGAGTGGTGAGGCACCAGTATTTGGTCGTGCTGCCATCTCCCTGGCAGAACCTCGTTGCGTTATCCCCCGGGACTTTATTTTTCTTCCTCTGAGGCTGTTCTGCAGCTCTGAGATGGGTGGTGCTCTTCTGAGCATGTATCCAGCTATGTGCACAGAGCTGGCGTGTCCCACTTTGGCATATTTAGCCTCTGCCCGCTCTGGGCCAGGCTCTTCCCATATGTGTCCTGTGGGATCTTCCTAGCAACCCTCGGGGGTGGGTTCTTATTCTTACAGTTGAAGAACAGCAGCTGTAAGAAACTAAGCGCCTTGTCAGGGATTCCATGGCATTCATGTGATAGAGCCAGGAATGAACGCAGGCCTATGTGATTCCAAAGCCTGGGCCCTAACCCATTCTGGGTGAGAGCATTAAGCAATGTGGGTCAGAGGCTGGGAGGCCATCGGTGCCACCGCAGGAGTGGCAGAAGGGCTTGACCTGATTCACTGGAGATTAGTGTGGAGGCAGGGCCTGGACTCATGGGCTGTGACTGTGAGTGTGGAAGGAGATGGTGTGGGGGCTGGCGACAGTGATGTGACGAAAGATGAGACCTGTTGAGTTCTACTTTCAGATGGCAAATGGTGACACCTGGCCTGGGGGTTGTACAACTACATGTGGGATTCATGGGAGAGGGTGGATTGTGGCCAAATCTGGCAGCTTTGTGGTCACATTTTGTACCAGGGCTGGGGGATGGGGCCTGAAGGGGACGGGATGTAGCTGAGCAGGGTTAACAGTGACACCTGGGGGCTTAGGGACAACCCGTGTGCTGGTGTGTATGTTTGATAGCGAGGGGCAGAGAGAACAGGTTAAAGGACCTTGGCTACAGTGGGTAAGAGTTGGCAAGCAGTGGCCTAGAGTCAGATTAGCGGGGTCTGGCGTCTCTAGAAGGCCGGTTTGTGATGGGTTCTGCGCAGGATTCCAAGAGTTAGAGGATGCAGGCCCTGCTGGAGCACAGGAACACAGACGCAAACACAGGTGACAGCTGAGGGCAAGTCGCAGTGGTGGCAGAGGAGCCGGAGCTGTTGATTGGTTGCCAAAGAAATTGGGCTGACACTGAGGAGCTTTAGGAGGGCCAGTGCTCCTCTGCAGGTGGTGGTCAGGAGGGCTTTGGCGGGGAAGTGGGGTTCAAGCTGGCCCTTGTGGTTTTGAATCAAATGAGCATGTGAAGTTCTCTGTGAACCATGGAAGGCCTTGTGCACACACGTCAACACTCAGGCTCCTTCTTGGAGCCAGGTGGGGTGTCCTGAGTAGAGCTGCACCCTTTGAGATGATGGTGGACACCCAGGAGGTGGCAGAAGGCCAGACACATCGATGGTCACTGCCTTGTGCGTGCATTCATTCTCTCGCTCATTCATTCAGTTAGCACAGCCTCGGGGCCTGGTGTGCGCCAGCCCCTGTGGTGAGAACAGGCTAGGAGGAAGACAGCTGCCTCACCTGGCAGGTGCCGTGTGGGCAAGTGGGCCTCAGGATGTCCTGCGGAGGGAAGGACACAAGATGGCTGTGCAGGTAGAGGAGAGTGTGGAGGAAGGAAGGGTTTTGTGTTTTAAGAGTCTGGTGTATTCAGGGCCAGGCAAAAGCCAGCTTGGGGTGAGGGAGGAAGCTGGTGAAAAGCCCTGGGTGCTGGGTACAAGAGTGTTGCTGGCTCAGGCTCTGTGATCACGCAGTGTCTGCTCGCCAGTGCCAGGCCCTGAGCAGGTGCTTTGACACGCGCCCCTCTCACCATCTCCCCGTCCCCTAATCCCTGAGACAGGTGCTCCCCACTTTTACAAACGAGGAAACAACTGTGGGTGATGTGGGAACGTGGAATTTCAACCCAAGGCTTCTGACTCCATGCCTAGAACCATCCGTTTCATTGTTCACCAGCCATGCCGCAGGATCCCCTAGAATTCCCAGGGATCCCCTGAGATCTGCTGGATTGTCACCTCTGAGGCCGAGGTCTGGAAATTTGGATGGATGGAAAGAACCCCAGGGAGCTGTGAGGCATGGTTGGGAACCATGGGAAGTGGGGACTTACCTTCCCCGCCGGGGCAGGAGCCTCCACTGTGCGGGCTTCCAGGGATGACCATTAAGGATGGCGGGAGGGGGAGGGAGAGCCCGGATGGGAGAGTGGCTGGGAGGGGCAGGGCACGCAGAGGTGGTCTCCAACTCCAGCCCACAGTGGGACACCCAGGATGCCTGGTTTACCTGAGTCACCCCCACCTCCCAAGCTGCTGAGTCAGGGGTGGGGCTTAGAATCTGCATTTCTAACAACCTCCTAGGTGCTGCTGATGCGGCCGCCGTGGGACCCCACTTTAAGAACCACTGGGGTAGAGTGGTAAGACATGTCACTTTATAAAACTTCAAAATTATTTAAAAATATATTGATTTTTATTGTGGTACAATACGTGTAACATAAAATTTACCATTTTAACCGTTTTTAAGTGTCTGGAAGCATTAAGTCCACTCCCAGTGTTGTACAGCCATCACCACCAGCCACCTCCAGAATTTTGTCATCTTGGCAGACTGAAACTCTGTCCCCATTCAACACTCACTCCCCCTCCCCCTTCCCCAGTCCCTGGCACCCCCATTCTACTTCCCGTCTGGCGCTAGGGACCTCAAATGCGTGGGTCCTGCAGGATTTGTCCTTTTCTGACTGGCGTATTTCACTTTGCCTCATGTCGTCAGGGATCATCCGTGTTGTGGCATGCGTCAGCACGGCCTTCCTTTCATGGCTGAACAATCCCTTGTCATCTGTGTGGCATAATGTGTTTATCTACATAGCTGTGACGGACATTCGGTTGCCTCCACCTCTTGGCGAATGTGAACAAGGCCGCTATGAAGATGGTGTTGAGGGATCTCGTCAAGTAAATAAAAGTGGAATTGCTAGGTTAGGTTCTGTGTGTAATTTTTTTTTTTTAAGGGTTTCGCTCTATCGCCCAGGCTGGAGTGCAGTGGCACAATCATGGCTCACTGCAGCCTCCACCTCCTGGGCTCAAGCGATCCTCCTACCTCAGCCTCTCAAGTAGCTGGGACTACAGGCATGTACCACCACACCCGCCTAATTTTTAAATTATTTGTAGAGACGGGGTCTTGCCATGTTGTTCAGGCTGGTCATGAACTTCTGGGCTCAAGTGATCCTCCCGCCTCAGCCCCCGAAAGTGCTGGGGTTAGGCTAAGCCTGGCCTTGTGTGTGATTTTGAGGAACCGCCCTGCTGTTTTCCACAGTGAGGAATGCCACTTTCAAAATCTCTGTCACAGTTAGCCTTATCTGACCTGAAGGTGTCAGTCACCTTGAGGGCCAATGACAACTCTAAGTCACTGAGGTCTCTGAGTTGAGAGAGACCTAGAACTGAGGCTTGCAGGGCTGCCCACTGGAACAGGCTGGGGGCAGTGGCCAGGGACAGTGGGGTCTCCGAAAGGTCTGACACCTGGAAGCAGTGGCTGCAAAGCCAGTAAGTCCCCAGCCTCTGGCATCAGAGGGATGCTTGTGCTGAGAGTTGAGCTGTTAGAGCAGGGAGGAGGGAAGGGGAAGATACAGGGGGTGACCCGGTGTCCTCAAGTTGTCTCTTTAAAGGTGACAGACAAGGCTGAAAGAGGGAAGAGCCAGGGGCCACCGCATGGCCGTGACTGAGTTGGTGTGCCAGCCCCGAGGGCTGTTGGCATCCCACGCCTACCTTTGCCCGGCCGCTCTGTCCTGCCGCTAGCTGCAGGTGGCCCTAGTTGTTGGCCCAGTGTCTGAGGCTGAGCTGAGACTGGAGGTGCTGAAGTGACTTTGCTGTGGAATGTGATGAGGACAGCCTAGTCAGCCTGGAGCCCATGCGGCATGGAGGTGCGACTTGGAGCTCCTAAGAGGGGCTGGTGGCCTGGGTGGCAGGTGGGGCCCTCCCATGTCTGCACGCTTCTGCGGAGTGGCCAGGCAGGTGACATGTCAGGGCTCTCTGACCTGTGCAGATGGGAAATGCACGCGTGGGCTCGGCTTGGAGCCCTCCCGCGCTGCCACCTGTGGCCTGTGGTTGGTGTGTTTCTTACCTTGCTCTGCCCCTGGGGCCAGTGGTTCCCTCCTGTCCTTTAGGACATAGTCCAGTCCCCTGTCCCATGGATTCCATTGCCTCCTGGCCCTGCAGGGGCCACCAGTGTGCCCAGCTGCTCCTTGAGAGCTCTGCCCGCTGAATGCCCTTCCCTGGTGGGACCCCTCCCTTACACCGAGCTCCCTGGGGAACTGAGCCTTCCTGGCTTTTTGAGACTTCTTCATTTGGAGAAAAAGGAGCTGGTGCTGGGCCTCCCTTTGGAGACGACGCCTGGCCCCAAACCACCGGGAGAAGCCCAGCTTGTGGCCGGGATGAGCTGTCCTCTGCCTCGTCCTTCACAGACCAGATGGGGGTGAGGAAAGGACAGCAGTGGGGCCACCGAGGGACAGCAGAGCCGCAGGGCTTTGCGGCATCGCCCGGGACAGGAGATGCTCCGGAGCCTGCAGGGCTGGCAGCCTCGGGCACGACGCCGGGCGCAAAGGCCTGCGTTCACTGCACATCACGGGGGCAGGGTCAGCCTGAGCTGTGGCACGTCTCCAACGTGCTTGTTCCAGAAAGAAGAGCAGAAGCCCAGCGTCCGGCTTCGCTCTGCCTCTCATCACAACATCGGGAAGCGGCTAGGACCCCCTTCTGCTGTGCGCTGCATCGTGGGATGGTGGGGGGCGCGTGGCGACGGGTGTATGCTCCCAGCCACATTACCTGGTGTGGAAGTGGCTCAGCATTCACTGGTCTTGTGCCCTTGGCAGGGGCTCACCCTCAGGTTTACTTTCCTTATCTGAAAACCGTAGGCGGTAACAACACTCCTCCTCCGTGGGAAGCGCACGGGGTGAGTGGGATGATGGGCGTAGACGTGCTTATCTGCTGTTGTTTTAAATTTTATTGGTAAAACCTGCAAAAGGAGGGCTGGCAGGTCAGGAAACAAGCTGAGAGGACCACAACTGATGGAAAGAGTTGAGCCCGGCCCTGGGGGTCACTGAAGGCTTCCTGGACCCGGCGACCTGGTCTTGGATAAACCTTCCCTGTGGGAGGGAAGCTAACAGCATCCAGCGCTGGGGAAAGCTGCCGTGACCGAGCACACGCTGTGGCCGCACCTGCCTCCTCACTGCCCTACCAGGTGGACCCCAGCCCCTAGCCTGGGCACGAGGAGCAAAGGGCACCTCCAGCAGGGTGGGCGCTGCCAGGCCTCCAATGTCTGGCTGGGTGCTGGGAAGCTCCTGACAGGTGCGAGGCAGGAGCCAGGGACAGCTGTAGACCCCACGAGGCACACTAAGGAGTCCAGCTGATGCCGATGGGTTTGTGCTCCAGACTTCCAGATTTTTGAAGGATTTTGGAGGCTGACCTAGTGTTGCTAACTTGAAAATCTGCCAAGTAAGTAAGTTTTTTTTTTTTTTTGGTTTTGTTTTTGAGACAGAGTCTCGCTCTTTCGCCCAGGCTGGACTGCAGTGGCACTATCTCAGCTCACTGCAAGCTCCACCTCCCGGGTTCACGCCATTCTCCTGCCTCAGCCTCCCGAGTAGCTGGGACTACAGGCGCCCGCCACCACGCCTGGCTAATTTTTTGTATTTTTAGTAGAGACGGGGTTTCACCATGTTAGCCAGGATGGTCTCGATCTCCTGACCTCGTGATCCGCCTGCCTCGGCCTCCCAAAGTGTTGGGATTACAGGCGTGAGCCACCGTGCCCAGCCGTAAGTAAGATATTTTAAAAACATCTCTGCAAGTGAGAAGTCTGCAGGCCTCTTCCTGCTAGTCTCACTGGCTTGAGACCAGGGCCAATGCCAGGGGGGCCCCACTGACTCACCTTGTGACCTTGGGTAAGCAAGCCGGCACCACAGAGCCTCTGGGACGAGGGGGACACCCAGCCTCACGTGCCTGGGAACCTGGTGCAGCAGCCATCGGAGCCTCCTGGAAACTGGCCTCTTGAGTCGGCTGTGTATGCAGCAGCCCCTCCGCAGCCTTGGACAGAAGCTGGTGTCGAGGGCTGGAGAAGCTGCACAGGCCAAGGCCGGCTCTGCCCCTGCCGCCCGCCTGCGCGGTGGAAGCACAGACGTGAGGCGTTGGGATGGAAATTCCCATCTTCCAGGCACCCCAGGATGTTCACCCAGGGTTTCCACCCAACATGACCCTTTCCTTCCTAAAGGGCGGGCGTTAGGGACTGTTGTTCCGTTAGGTAGACACGGCCTGTAGTTATCTGTTTCAGAGGCCATTGCGGTTCCTGGGGCTCCCTGGCCCCAAGGTTGTCGGGGAAGAGCATGAGTTCCTGGTGGCGTCTGCCCCGGCTGCTCCATGAGAGGGGACTTCGCGCTCGCTGTGTGGGGCCCACTCTGGCCCTGAAGGCTTTTCTTACCCATGTGAGGTGTGTGGGGCTGCACGTGTCTCCTCTTCTGGCAATGACAGACCCGAGGCTCAGAGATGGGCAGTGACCAGCCTGGGTCACACAGAGTGGCAGTAGCTGCCGGCAATAGTTGTGACTTGGTGTTGTGTTTTGTTTTAGGCCAAATGCTTCCTGGGGAAATAAAATGAACAGATTTGCTACAAACGGTGTTTTTAAAAGAAGCAGTCATTGTCCCCAAAGACCAGAATCAACATTTAGCTCTAATATTTTTACTTTATGATTCTCAAAGAGGCCCACAGTTGAGTTTTGGCACTGCCTTCTGTAGTCAGAGTCCTGGAGATTCCTGGGCCCCAGGTGGCGGGGGGAAGGGTCCAGCACCTCGGCTCCAGGCATGTGTGCCAGAGGAAGCCCCAGCTGTGGGATCCCATCCGTTCCTGGAGCCCAGAACACTTCTCTCCCAGACGCCAGCTCATAGTCATCAGCCTGGATGGGGTGGCGGTCCCTCTGGTTTCAGCTGGGCCTCTGGCAGTGCTGCAGGCAGCGCTGCAGTGCTGGTTCCACACCCAGGCGGGCAGAGGCAGGTGGGGGCTGGGTGGCTGAGAGGCGGTGGCCAGGGAATGAGTGCGCACTTTGGGCAGTTACTTTCTGAAGTGGCTTTAGCGGTTGACTTTGAGGAAGAGGCCTCTCGGCAGAAGGAAAAGATTGAGGGAGTTATACAGTTTCCTCCCATTAAACCTTGTATTTATGGGTTACCCTCTTGTAGGAATGATGAATGCTTTCAGCCAGTGGCAGACTCCCAGCCAGCTGCTTAACCGTGGAAGGTGCTAAAAATGAAGGCCTGCTCCCTTGAAGAGCCACAGGCCCATCTTCTGCAGTCACTGCCTAGGAAAGGGCCACGCCAGCCCCCCCGGCGCATGAAGGCCAGGATGGGTGTGCGGCCAGGACAAGCGTCACAGAGGTGTCCTGGCCCTTGCTTTTCCAGCGGGTGGCAACATGGTAGAACTGGGTCCCCTCCTGCAGTGCCGTGGACTTGGCCTGGTCTCACACCCTGGCACAAGCCCGTTTTCTAGTCTGAATGAGGCGAGTTCAGGCATTCCTTGGCCTGCCCTGCTGTCTCCTGGGACATTCAGACAGCCCCTGAGTGCAGGGTTTATGGCAGTACCAGGTGGGCTCCTCTGGTCGCAGGTGGGGAATGAGAACAAAGTCCAAACCTCAGCCAGGGGTTCTGGCCTCAGCTCTGCCACCAGCTCACCCCAAGACCTTGTGCCAGCTTGTGCCTCTCTGGGTCTTCACTTTCTCATGTACAGAATCAGCATGTGTTGTTGCTTCAACATTGTCATCTCTCCCCTGAGCCCAGCTCATAAGACAGTGTGTGACTGAATGCCTTTGGGGAGGGTGGGTAACGGTGCTGTAGGAAGTACTCTAGGTCAGCCTTTGTAAAAACGTGAAGAGAATCTGTGCGGAACCCAAATCTGGCACCCTGATGGTGGAACTAACTTCTGCCCTTTGTCATCGTAGGAAGATATGGCTGCCCACGTTGGTGCTTCCCGGACTCCCCAAGAGGTGATGGAGCATTACGTGAGCATGTACATCCACGGGAACCTGGGGAAGGCCTGCATCCCCGACACCATCCCCAACCGCGTGACAGACCACACCTGTCCCAGCGGAGGCCCCCTCTCACCCAGCCTCACCACCCCGCTGCCCCCGCTGGACATCTCTGTGGCTGAGCAGCAGCAGCTGGGCTACATGCCGCTGCGGGATGATTACGAGATCGAGTATGACCAGGATGCCGAGACGCTCATCAGCGGGCTCTCTGTCAACTATGATGACGACGACGTGGAGATCGAGCTGAAGCGCGCCCACGTGGACATGTACGTGCGGAAGCTGAAAGAGAGACAGCGGCGGAAGAACATCGCCCGTGACTACAATCTGGTGCCAGCCTTCCTGGGGAAGGACAAGAAGGAGAAGGAAAAGGCGCTGAAGCGCAAGATCACCAAGGAGGAGAAGGAGCTGCGCCTGAAGCTGAGGCCGCTGTACCAGTTCATGTCATGCAAGGAGTTTGATGACCTTTTTGAAAACATGCACAAAGAAAAAATGCTCCGGGCCAAGATCCGAGAACTGCAGCGGTACCGGCGAAACGGGATCACCAAGATGGAAGAGTCGGCAGAGTACGAGGCAGCGCGGCATAAACGGGAGAAGAGGAAGGAGAACAAAAACCTAGCCGGCTCCAAACGGGGAAAGGAGGACGGCAAAGACAGCGAGTTCGCCGCCATTGAGAACCTTCCAGGCTTCGAGCTCCTGTCAGATCGCGAGAAGGTGCTCTGCAGCTCTTTAAACTTGAGTCCAGCCCGCTACGTGACTGTGAAGACTATTATAATTAAAGACCACCTCCAGAAGCGGCAAGGAATCCCCTCCAAAAGCCGCCTTCCTAGCTACCTGGACAAAGTCCTAAAGAAAAGGATTTTGAATTTCCTCACAGAAAGCGGCTGGATCTCCAGGGACGCGTCTTGAAGCTGAGACGCTTTGAAAGCCAGGGTGATGCTCAGACAGTGTGCCAGCCAAAATGACTTGGGGGAGGGGAGCCGCTTCCCCACTGTTGCTCTTTTTTAAACAAATTGAGTTCCTTTTTTTAAGATAGAAATTCTTTTCATGGTCCTCTGAAAGAAGCAATAGTAACAATCTTATATTGGATCATGGGGGAAGCAAATGTGTGTATTTTAAGTGAGTTCCTGCGAGTCATACACTGCGATGATGCTCCGCCTTTACCCGTTCAGTTGGGAGCTTATTGTGAGATTGGATCATTTCCTTTTGAGTGTTCTTCTCTTTGGTACAAAAGCTATTGTGGGTGACAGGAGCAGTGTTTTCCTGCTGGACCCGCAAGCCACCAGCTATTTCCTGGTGACACAAGCTCTTCTCAGGCGGGGCTGCCTGCAGGCTCCCGTTTTCTGAGCCCACGCTGCCCACAGCTGACCCCAGCGCAGCCCCGGGCACGCGGCACTTTACATGGGGGCAGCTTGGGCCCAGACTCCTCCGCTGTGTAGCAGATGAGGAAAATCAGGCCAGAGGACAACAGGCTGGCGTTTTGTTGGGAACTGAAGAGGAATCTGTTGAACACAGCGACCAGATGACCTTCCATTTCACCGGCGGCAGCAGTTTCAGCGTGCAGTTCCCAAACCCCAAAGCTGACCCTGCGCCCCATTTGAATACGGCCAGAGCCTGCTGGTTCACTTTGGGTAGAGCCGTGCCTCTTGGGCAGGCTCCCATAGTGACCACGTCCCCACGAATGGGAAAGCACGTTAGTGGGAGGGACGTAGGACACGTGTGGACCGCCAGGCCCTCTCAGTCCATTTTCCGGGGCTGCTCGGTGCTGCTGTTAAGACGTGAGTGCATTTCACTTGGAAGAACCCATTGTACAAAGTTCAAGGCTAAGAGTTCTGAATTCTGGCGTCAGCTTCCTCAGGATTTTCTTCAGTTGCAAGTACCTTTCCACTGAAAATATGAGCATGCCCGCCTGGCTAGTAGGCATCTGTAAGAGTGTCGCCAGGCCCGCGCCAGCTGAGGCCTCAGACTAGCCAGGCAAGAGCCGTCTGACCAGTTGGCTGGCGGTGGTTCTGGTGGAGCACGAGGGAGCCCGGGTGGTGCCCTGAGCCTCGAGCTGCTCTCTGTCACTGTCTTGAATCAGACTCAGAAATGGCTTCTTCCCAGCCCTGCCTACAAGTTTTTCTCTGGGGTCCTCTTTCAAGGATGTCCACGGTACCTTCCTCCTGAAACTTGAGGAAGTCTTTTGTCTTCCAGCTGCTCAGGGTTCTCTGGTCCAAGACCCTGCTTTAAAGAGAGTCTTTGGCGTGCTCAGACTCCAGCGCTCCGTTCTTCAAGGAGGTTGACTTGCCTCTCGGGCCCCGTAGGTACCAAGAGACTGTTTACCTCCCAGAATGTTTGGGCTTGAAGTTACATTAAAGTGAAGTTATTTGAAAGAAAGAAAACCTCATCATTTCTAAGGATGACTTAATTACTGTGCCTTTTCCTTTCTTTTTACACATCCTACTGTCCCTTAGGGTAAAATTTTCAGCATTAAATAAAACATTTCAAATATATTGTATATGGCTTTAGTTGTAAACTATACTGCATGCTGACAGAGAAGCGCTCTTTTAGCTAAGCCCAGAACTTCTCTTTTGACAATAAAGTACTGAGCAGTGGTATCATGAGGGCCACCTCCACATTGTCCCCTGCAGAATAAATGCGGATGACAGAAAGCTTATGCTGTCTACCACTGAACAGTGATGGAGATGGTGCTAAGTTTTTACAGTTGTCTTAGCCCCAGTGGTTCTCAAGGTGGGGCTCCTGGCCCAGCAGCAGCAACTTGTTTGTTAGAATGCAGACGCGCAGGCCCCACCTGGCCTCCTGAATCAAAATGGTGTGCGGCAGGGTGCAGCGAGCTGTTTTCACGAGGCCTCCAGGTGACTGGATGTAAGCTTGCTTGAGAACTATGGGTTTTAGCTATTCTGGTGTCTCCCTGATTTTCTACAGCGCCAGGATCCTAGTTTGGTGAGGTTTTAAATTTAATCTTATTTTTATATAAAATGATTGCCAGACGTACTATATTAAGCTTGAAGAAGCAGAAGATCCCTGTTAATGTGTATGGCCCAGGCCAAGAGCTGTCAAATGAAAAACTTTGTGCTGAAGCAGGTTTTTAGTATGTATATCTTTTTGATGGTATGAAGAATTTATTTAGGCTTGACTGTTTTAAAACACCATAATGAATGTATAATTAATTTATGTTAAAGTATTAACCCTTTGTCACAAAGGAATGGTAATGTGATTGGCTGCCTGTTAGCCCATCGACTATTCCCGTCACGGTAGTCCTTACCTCTGTCGGCAGCTCAGAGCCTCCACATTTTTATATTTAATTCTCATGATAAATTAGCCACCATAATCCCATGGAATTAGGTCTTGTTAAAATCTAGTCCGGGCGCAGTGGCTCACGCCTGTAATCCCAGCACTTTGGGAGGCCAAGGCGGGCTGATCACGAGGTCAAGAGATCGAGACCATCCTGGCCAACATGGTGAAACCCTGTCTCTACTAAAAATACAAAAATTAGCTGGGTGTGGTGGTGCATGCCTGTAGTCCCAGCTACTTGGGAGGCTGAGGTAGGAGAATTGCTTGAACCTGGGAGGCGGAGGTTGCGGTGAGCTGAGATCACGCCACTACACTCCAGCCTGGTGACAGAGCAAGACTCCATCTCAAAAAAAATCTAAGCAAACTATCTTTGAGTCAAAAAAAGTTGGATAACTCATCTATATTTGAAATAATGCTGTCTGAATGGCCAACATCCCAAGAATGTATTAAAAACAGCAACCCTGCCTACCGTTTTGATGACCTTTTTCCATATTAAACAAGTTGAGAACAAAAGAGTGTCACCGCTTGCTTCTTACCTCTGGTTCTGAAATCAGATGTCTTCTTGGAGCCACACAGAGCTAGGGGTGAGCCACAGTTCAAACACAGATACAGATTGTCACATGACGTACTTTTGGTACTTTGTATCAACCCAGTTTTTCCTCCAGAAGATTAAAGTTGCTTTGTCTTTTTTTTTTTTTTTTTTTGGGGAAGAGTCTTGTGCTTGTTGCTCAGGCTGGAGTTCAATGGCACAATCTTGGCTCACTGCAACCTCCGCCCCCCCGGATTCAAGCGATTCTCCTGCCTCAGCCTCCCAAGTAGCTGGGATTAACATGCACCCACCACCGCACCCAGCTAATTTTTTTGTATTTTTAGTAGAGACGGGGTTTCACCATGTTGGCCAGGCTGGTTTTGAACTCCTGACCTCAGGTGATTCACCTGCCTCAGCCTCCCAAAGTGCTGGGATTACAGGCGTGAGCCACTGCACCCGACCTAAAGTTGCTTTCTCTTAAGCAGAGACCCTTTCGTGCCAGGTGCTCTCCTCCCTCAAAGCAGCAGTACAGCCAGAGAAAGCCAAATGGGTCTGAGTCTTTCAGGAAGCCAGGCCGACTTTTCAGATGCCTCTGAGACTTCCAGTTCTGGTTTTCACTGTTCACACGTGACACTTCACTCATGCTGCAGTTATGCTAAATCCAGTAACTACTAGAAGGTAGCTAAACAAATCTTTAATTCCTACTGTAAATATGCACATAATTAAAAGACATTTTCCTATTACAGGTTGAGTATCCCCAAATCTGAAAGGCTGCAAAATCTGAAACTTTCTGAGTGCCTACATGGTGCTCAAAGGAGATGCTCATTTAGAGCATTTTGGATTTTGGGATTGGGGATACTTAACCAGCAAATACAATGCAAATAGTCAAGCAGAGAATCTCTTTTCAGTCAATGAGGGGCCACATATTAGAACACAGTTTGCACTGTACCTTTACTATGTTATGTTCAGATACACAGATACCATTGTGTTAACAGTTGCCTACAGTATCAGTACAGTAACGTGCCCTCCAGTCTAGAGCAACAGGCTACATACACCATATAGCCTAGGTGTGGAGGAGGCTCCACCACCTGTTTTTTAGGTCCATGTAGGTACACATGGTGTTCACAGGAAAAACTGCCTGACAGCGCATTTCTCAGAACACATCCCTGTGGTTAAGCCATGCTTGACTATATTCCAAAATCCGAAAACCCCCCAAGTTTGAAACAATTCTGGTTCTAAGCATTTCAGATGATAACCAACTTATAGTGACTATGGATGACTGAAGCTTACTGTAAAAAAATATTTTGCTACTTAAGCTATATTGCCTCTAGGTTACGAGTTAAGTGCTTTTTAGCAACTGCAGCTGTAGTTGAGACGGTAGGAGACTGCAAACATTCACAGAAATGAGTTGATAAATTACTTTTCTTAGCCTCCATTTAACTCGGGAGCTCCAGGGGTGATGATGCACTCACAACCCCACAGCGTGAAAACAGGCAGCGCTGGAGCTCCCAGTCATGTTTTCTTCAATACACGATGCTGCCTTTAGTTGTTTCTGACCAAATTAACTTAAGGCATCTTAAAGGTGGAACATGTTTGGGAATGGTATCCCAAGATGAAGTATTATGGGACCATTACTTGCGTCTTTTAAAATTAGAAGTGAAATAAACTGCCCCATCTTTCCTGTGCAGCAAATGGCTTTCACAAGTATCTTCCATTCTAGAAGCAAAGGCAGCGAAAGGTTCTTTTCTCTTTTTTGTAACAGACGCCAATCATTCAGCCTTTTTCTAAGCCCTGGATGACCGTGTAAATGAGGAACAGCCCTTTGGCAAGATGATTTTGCAAATCCTGTGCCCTTGCTGTGGCTCCTGGGTGTTTCGTATTCTTACCGGACGGGCTGCAGCTGCACTGGGGGAGTGTGGCTCTCCCTTTCTGTGTAGAAGCCTGTATATGTGTGTACGTGAATGTGCACGCACGCACGTGTCAAGCTGACAGCTTCTGGGCTGGAGTAGAGAATGGGAAGGCTAAGCCATGCTTGCCTCAGCGGCAAGGATCTCCATGAGAGGACACAAAATTGTTTTCAGAAAGTAGGAAAATAAACATTAGGGCTTTAATCCTCTTAAATAAAAATTTTAAATTAAACATTAACATTTAAAGTACACCAAGCGTGCAGTCCTATTTTGAGAAAGTCCATTTTGCCAGGGAATACAACTTGAGGTCATTAGTAACTAGTTGAATATGATTTAAATATGTCTGCATTTAGATGAACAGAACAGGGTAAAAGGAACTTTGCCAAGCCAAGCTCAATTCCTGGCCAAATAATGGGGGAGAACTGTCAGTGCCCACACCCATTTCTCAGTGGTCAGTTTCAGCCGCTGTTGACTGAAGACAAACGAACTCACTATGTTCTTCACAAAGATCATTTTTTTTAAGTAAGAAAAATGTTTCAACTCTCTTGCCTTTCCTTCAGCGAATGAAATGTGACGGGCTAAATACGCCAGTCACTCATGCGCCGCAGGGACACATGGTGCAGACTGGCGTGCCCAGGTAGCCAAACAGAATTCCCCAAGACCTTTTATTTGTTTAAAATACTTTGGTGTCAGCAGAGTCTGAGCAGACACGTTACTCATGATGCTCGGGAGACCAGGCAGGGCCCTGCTGAGCTCTTCTGAAAGTATGTGGAACTATTCAACGCGTGGCACTAAAAGGGAACAGACTCCCGAATTAGAGTTCATTAATGCAGTTGGGCAACCGGCTTTTCTGTTTAGCCACTGGTTACTTAAGGTTTCCAATAAGGTTTGGGAAAAGGTCACACGTACTCATAGATGAGAAACAATGAACCAGCCTTGAGAGTTACATCAAGTGAGTTTAAAAACACCCACCCCATCAACAGCAGCTAAGCTTCCTTCACCACCCCCACCAGGGCGGGTCTCAGAGTGCGCCCATGCAGCTTGTACCCCACTTTGCTAACTAGGGCCACTGTGCCTGGCTCCTTCCCCTCAACCGGTGTGTGGAACAAGGCCTCATGTTCATAAGGGTCGAACTTGGCTCCGACAGGGTTCAACTTGAGCAAGCCATGCTTTGTGAACACCTTCTGGATCTGGACTTCAGTCATGACCAGCCCCTCATAGAGGTTCTTCAGGTGAGGGTTATCGTCTTTAATTTCTTCTTTTGGAACACACTGTGTTGCCTTCTCCAGAACGTCTGCCACCTCCAACAAGTCCTTGCAGAAGGCTTGAATGCCTGGATGAAGTTAAAGAAGATCATTTGCACTCCATACCAACCGCACAGGGCAATTCCAAACTGAGCACTGCTGACCTGATGTGGAGGCTATTTAGTAACTTGTCAAATCAATCGCCTCAGAATTCCAATGGCTCAATAACTTTAAAAAACAACACAAAACTCTCAAAAGCTACTTGTGGGATGAGACCCAGAATTTACTAAATTTAGAATTCACTAAAATGTGAAGAAAGGAGTGCAGTAGAGGGGAAAATACCCTTGAGACATCCAAGCCCAGATGTCAAGCAAGCAGTAAGATTTAGGGGACTGGAACTCGGAAGATCCGAGTTTGAAGCTGAGACTTGTGTGTGGATGCCACTAAGCCCGTAAGAGTATGTAAGTCACCCAGGGAGCACAGCAAGGGGAGAGAAGAGGTCTGGTACTGAGTCCCAAGAGCCCAGGCATTTACAGGTCGGAAAGGGTAAGAACCAACAAAGCACATTACCACAAAGAGAGGCGGAATACCAAGAAACAGGCCACAGTATCCAGGAAAAAAAGTGTTTCAATGAGCGCCTCAGTCTCTGTGAATGCGACAGAGACTCTAGCTCTTAGTTTCCATGTGGCCTCTCACCGTCTGACCCAGGCAAGGCCATTTACCCTCCCTCGAGCCTTAGGTTCCACATCTCTAATACCCACTGTCAGTCACGCAGAGATCCAGAGCCAGCACTCAAACAACCAGCCTGTGGAGCTGGGAGCCTGGGGTTACGTACCAGCTTTGTGATGTGTGGCAGGTGACTAAACCTCAATGATCTCAACTGTAAAATGGGAAGGACAGTAACAAAAACATCCAAAGGTGGCAATGCATATAGCATGCTGGGAGTTCTGAAGTGATGCCAGTGTTACTTCCGGAGGGCTAAGGGGATGGGCATCAGAGGCTGACCTGCTGCAGGTTCCCACCAAGGTCTCTGCGTGGGGGAGGACACACCTATTTACAATTCTTCATGCTAGTCTCAGCTACTTGATTTCTGCTCCTCCAGACACCTTTGCTGTTGAGCCATCATAAAAAAAAATGCAGGGGATGCAACAGCTGGACCCCCCACCCCACAGCCTTGCTCTCTGACACTTCCGTATGCATGGCCTTCCCCTTCCCCACCCCATTATCTTCTTTCCGGAATCAACACCATGTTATGTTGAAAGTACCGTATAATTTTGCCTCCTCCACCAATTTCTGGCTCCTCTGCCGTAAGTTCTCAGTGTCTGCCAAAGCTCGTTTATATTTTTCCTAAAAGAGAAAAAAAGGGATATTTATATATATATATATATATATATATCTTTTTTTTTGAGACGGAATCTTGCTCTGTATGTCGCTCAGGCTGGAGTGCAGTGGCATGATCTCAGCTCACTGCAAGCTCCGCCTCCTGGGTTCACGCCATTCTCCTGCCTCAGCCTCCCGAGTAGCTGGGACTACAGGCGCCTGCCACCACGCCCAGCTAATTTTTTTGTATTTTTAGTAGAGATAGGGTTTCACCGTGTTAGCCAGGATGGTCTCCATCTCCTGACCTTGTGATCCGACCGCCTCGGCCTCCCAAAGTGCTGGGATTACAGGTGTGGGCCACCATGCCTGGCCGGGAGATTTATATTAATATGGAACAAAGTCATAGGAAAGCGAGCTTGATTGGAAAACGGCTGTGTAACTAACTACAAGTCAAAACAGAAGTAATATCACTGCCTTTGAGATGTGACTAAGGAGGGCAGCTTAATGAAAGCTTAATAAAAGCTGCACTCATGATCTTTTGCTATGCTGTGTTACCCAGAGGTGGCTCAGTTCAAACATTCCTTGTGTAATCATCATCTGAGTTCTAGTATATTCCTCATGTCTCACCACCTTCCGGTAAGCTCACTCATCTGAGCCTTTTTTTTTTTTTTCTGAGACAGGGTCTTGCTCTATCATCCAGGTTGAAGTGGTGTAATCTCGGCTCACTGCAGCCTCAACCTCCTGGGCTCAAGCAATTCTCCCACCTCAGCCTCCTGGGTTGCTGGGACTACAGGAGTGCACCACCACGCCCAGCTAATTTTTAATTTTTTTTAGAGATGGAGTCTCACTATGTTGCCCAGGCTGGTCTTGAACACCTGGGCTCAAGCAATCCTCTTGCCTCAACCTTCCAAAGTGCTATCAGAGGGGTAAGCCACTGCGCCCAGCTAGCTTTTCTCTTTTTAACATTTACTAAGTTGCTCTGTGGGGGCCTCTATACTGCATCCATTTTCAGTCTTCAGGTAATCACTGTACAGTGGCAAGGAGCAAGAGCTCCAAGTCCAGGGGGTTCTAGTTCGAGCCCTGGCTCCGCACCTGGCAGCCAGGATTAACATATGTAACGGGTTTGGAATGGTGCCAGCACTCAGGGTTTGATGTCTTTCTCAAATCCTTAAAGAACTTGATTTGTGCCACCTATGTGTTTTCACATGGAGTAATAATCCATGTTACTAGTTCATAAAACTCCTACCTGCCTATGAGAGCATCACATAAAACCACACTCCTGCTCCCAACTCTTGTACTTGCAATTTTCTGCTTCCTCTCCTAAGTCCCAGCCTAAACAACCATACTGAGCATTCCTCATTTGTAAAGATGATTTTAAGTTTTCATTCAATGACAAATAACAGCGTGTAAAGATTAGTCTCTTGCCAGAACCAGAGTTGCACAGGATTTGGGTTTTAGTCTTTGCTTTGGCAGTAACTTGCCACCTGGGCCCACTGCAGGCCATGGACAACGGCTTAACTCTGGCTTTAGTCTGTCACCAATGAAACCTGGAACCTTTATGTGGCCCAGGAGAGAAACAGTTCAGCCGAGCCCGCCCCCACAGGAGCCTCACAGTCCTCACCACAGTCTCCTTCAGCTGTTCCTCCAACTTGACCTTCTCTTCCAGGAGGGTCTTCTCTGTAGCAGGAGGATCTGCCTTCTGTTCACTCTGACCCATGTCCTCTTCCAGGTTCTGGCCACTGTTCTTTTGTTTCGTGGCTGTGCACAACAACCGGGGAGATGGCCTACAGGGAAGTCCACACGTGAGAAACGAAGACTTAGTTTTTGTGCTTATTAAAGTCAGATGTATGACTTTAGAAACTTAAAATAGCTTCAAACTATTTACTATTACTTGGGGAGAAAACATTTCTGTTAGATCTAATAAAGGCACACTGTACGTGACATATAGAAGCTATATTAGTAAATATAAAAGCTGTAAGTCATATACAATGTGCCTTTATTAGATCTAAGATAAACATATATATATTTTTTTAGAGACAGGATTGGTCTCTCTCTATATATCTATCTATCTATACATCTATCTATATCTATATGTATTTCTTTTTTTTTGAGAGAGAGAGTCTTGCTCTGTCACCCAAACTGAAGTGCAGTGCAACCTCCGTCTCGTGGGTTCAAGGGATACTCCCACCTCAACCTCCCCAGTTGCTCGTCACCACACCCGGCTAATTTTTGTATTTTTAGTAGCGATGGGGTTTCACTATGTTGGCCAGGCTAGTCTTGATATCCTGACCTTAAGTGATCTGCCCGCGTTGGCCTCCCAAAGTGCTAGGATTACAGGCGTGAGCCACCGCGCCTGGCCTCTCCATGTATTTTTAGAGACAGGGTTTCGCTGTCACCCAAGCTACAGTATGGTGGCACAATCATAACTCACTGTAACCCCGAACTCCTGGGCTCAAGTGTTCCTCCCACCTCAGCCTCCCAGAGTGCTGGGATTACAGGCATGAGCCACTGTGCCTGTCTTTTTTATAAGATCTTCTGTAAGTACATGCCTAAACTTACATGTCAATGTGCCAAGTTACAGTACTTGGTACAGAACAGTACTAACCTCCTCTTTCCATTCTAAGGTGACTGAGACAGTCTGCCCAGACCTAACCACGTACTTATGGAATAGCTACTACTAGAGTGAGGCTGGCCTACTGCTGATCCTGATGACAAAGATAGACCCAGCAGAGATCTTGCAAAAAAAAGGTATCTAAACACAAAGAACAGTAATTTGTGATTTAAAAGTGATTAAGACAGGTTCGCTGGCTCACGCCAGTAATCCCAGCACTTAGGGAGGCCAAAGCAGGTGGATCACTTGAGATCAGGAGTTCGGGACCAGCCTGACCAACATGGAGAAACCCCGTCTCTTCTAAAAATACAAAATTAGCCTGGCGTGGTGGTGCATGCCTGTAATCCCAGCTACTTGGGAGGCTGAGGCAGGAAAATCGCTTGAATCAGGGAGGCGCAGGTTGAGGTGAGCTGAGATCGCGCCACTGCACTCCAGCCTGGGCGACAAGAGGGAAACTCTGTCTCAAAAAAAAAAAAAAGTGATTAAAAAAAAAAAGGGAACTAAGTGCTTTGTGCTTTGGGAGGCTCAGAGTAGAAGGAGATACCTAGCTTGGGGAATGGAAAACCATGAAAGGCTTTGTAGGATAGGTAAGAGTTACGAAAAAGGGATCAGAGGTGGGACAATGGGATAGATGCAGCTTCAGGAAGATGAAACTGCTTGGACAAAGGCATGAAGACAGGAAAGCATGGGATATGTACCGGTGAAATAGACCAAGACCAAGTGATAAGCCCAGGTCACAAAGCCATCAACGAATGATAAAATAAAGTCTTAAAACCTAGATTTCTTCACCAGGACCAGAGGACCTCTTTTTTTTTTTTTTTGAGACGGAGTCTTGCTCTGTCACCCAGGCTGGAGTGCAGTGGTGCCATCTCGGCTCACTGCAAGCTCCGCCGCCCGGGTTCACGCCATTCTCCTGCCTCAGCCTGCCGAGTAGCTGGGACTATAGGCGTCCACCAACACGCTCGGCTAATTTTTTTGTATTTTTTTAGTAGAGACGGGGTTTCACTGTGTTAGCCAGGATGGTCTAGGATCTCCTGACCTCGTGATCCGCCCGCACCCGGCCAGGACCTCTTTTTAAATTAGGCCACAGTCCTATCTGAGAATAAGCTACATTCAATTTTCTTCCCAGATTAAAACTGCTTCAACGAATAGGAAGGTGAAGGCTGCCAGCACACAGAACTCAGTCAAGGCTGTTTATTGCAGCACTGCGAGCGACAAGTTGGAAACAATGTTTGTCAGCGAGCAAATGGTTGAATAAACTTGCTAACACAATCTGGAATATTATGCAGCTCCTAAAAATGAGTTAAACTGCCATTTATTGGATACACTTTGGATGTTCTGTTAAGAAATGCAACTTACAGAGAAATACACAAAACAGGATCCTATTTTTGTAAAGACAAACTAGAAATCCTGTGTACTTATTAATATCTTAGATCTGTGGAAAGAAGTGGAGTGGAAGCCTCCATTACAGTCTTGCCATGGGGGTGGAGAGCGATGACCATTTTATATTTTTACTCTTGTGAATTTAAAAAGCTAAGAATTTAAATAAAAACTGAGTGTACTGTTGTGAAGCCCACCTTCCTCTCCAGTTGTTCTGCCTGGGGGTGTGACAGCCACCAGCCTTTCTGCAGGTCAGCTCTTCACAGACCCCTTTCCGAAGCACAGCCAACACAAAGTGTGGCCAGGAATGTGCAACAGGACCCACACCCGGGGCCATCTCGTTCTGCAGAGGGAAACTGAGTCTCAGAAAGCCTAGTTACTCTGAGAGCTATGACTACCAGTCAGTTCTCCTGCCTTTCCCTAGTTGAGCATCTTTCCACAAAACTACCATTCTAGAGACAGAAATGATGCTGACTTGGTGGTCACTTTCCTGGCAATTAATTCCAATACAAAACCACCAATTACTTGACCAAAGTCTTTTTACTCAAGTATTCCACGTGGGTCGTTGCTCTTGGCTCCTGTGTTGTTAAGATATAATTTATTAAGCTAGCACTTACCCCTTAATCACCTAGACTGAAAGTGATCTTCACCTCACCTGCCTGCTCTCCTTCAGGAAAGAACTACATCTCACTGCCCAGCTTTTGGCCAATTTGGCCCTCAGTGGCTTCTCTAATCAATAACTTGGTTCTAGGCACTTCCTCCAGCAAGTACTTGCCATACTAACTTCTAAAGTAGAACTTTCAAAAAGCAGAAGGGGCAGATTTGAGGGGAAAAAAAAAAAGGGGCACTGTCTCGTGGCCCTCAGGCCCGAAATGTGCCCTTGTCTAAACAAACTCTTCGCCCAGCAGCAGCACAGGTTCGACTGCTCTTTTGACCTCAGACGCTGGAGAAGGCGGAGTGAAGGAATTCGAGGTCGAGTGGAAAAAGCCCGTGAACGGGCAACACGCACCTTGCGACACGAAGTTTCCCGAGCACCGCTGTGGCCCCGGCCTCGAGCTGCGGCACGGAAATGAGTAACCACAGCTCCTGCCCAGGGCACACCCGGCCCGGCTCGGCCTCGCTGCGTGACCTTGGACAAAGCTCGAGCTTCTTTGGTCGCTTCTTCAACCGCACAAGTTGCGGCTGCCTCTGCGCCCGTGAGCGCCGAGACCGTGAATGCGCGCGAGGCGTCGCCGCAGGCCCTGGACCACACGCGCACGTGGGCCACCGTACCTTCCGAGCCAAACGCCCCCCGCGCTGCGGTCCTCTCCTCCTGACACGGCGCCCGCCCGCTCCACGCTTCCCAAGCCCTGAGCTGGCAGCCTGGCAGCAGAGCAGGCCCCAGCGGGGCGGTCCGCGTCCCGCGGCGGGGAACCGCGAGCCCGGAGATGCCCAGCTCCGGGGCCGAGGCCGGGAAGGAGGCCCCGGGGCCGGGAAAGGCCCCCATCGGAGCGGGAGGTCGCGCTGCCACCTCCACCCAGGGAGACCAAGTGCCCCTTACCTGAGAGACAACGCCAAAGCAGGAAGACTGCGCCGCGCCAACCTCACGCACTGAGCCGCCATGACTGCCACTGCCCGTCGCAGTCGCCGCGCACGCACCAAGCGTGCGTGCAGGCAGCTATACCCACTTTTCTGCCCTACTACTTCGCCTCAGCCAATCCGTAATCGCTTTTCCTGTTATGGACAGGCAATAGTCACCAATAATTGTGGGTCACGGAAGAGCATCTTTCCCCACCCCCCGGTGGGCGGGGCCTGAGGCGTACCGGAGGCCCTGAAGAGGTGAAAGGTGAAGTGAGCATTGGGAGGAGCCTCCTGTGGGCGTGGCGATGCCGGGAGGAGCCAATGAGGAGGCAGCGTGAGGGGGCGGGGCCAGCGCCGGGGTGGGGCGCGCGCGTCGCGGGCCGGGAGGGACTTCAGAGCCTGGTTTTGGGTAGGAGTGAGGCGGCAGCTTGTCGTTTCCCGGCCCGCACCCGCCCTTGCGCTGACACCGCGGGCCTTCCTTTGCTCTGGGAACGAGCGTGGGGAGCCCTGTTCACCCTCACACCCCGGCTCCAGAGCGGCGCGGAGCACTCCATGTTTGCTAAATGAAAATGAAGTCTCGGCGCGAGCGCCACCCAAACGGCGGCGTAGTTGCTTGAGAACCGCGGAGGCAACCGCTTGGGAGGGCGCCCCGACCCCGAAGCTGCTTCTCCAGGCGCCCGAGGCGGAGAGAAGGCACTGGGGTCTCCGTCTCCACCAGTGATTTCTGGTGAAACAGGAAACAAAACCCGGGAAACAAATGGGACGAAATGTTGGCGGTTTTGATGCTGGATGATGGGAATATGGGCGTGTGTTTTGTACCTTTCTGTTATCTTCAGTTTTCTCAAAACACGAAAAACAGACTAAGAACAGCGCATAGAAAACATTGGGGCACAACTAAAGCTCATAAATGCACACGTTTTCATAACCTGACCGAGGTCCATGCTGCTGTAGCGCATACCCCCAAGAACAGAGGGCCGCGTGTTCTTATGGCCCCGGTGCCGGCCCCCAAGCGGGGTTCCCGCAGGAGATAGGGCCTGGCTCCCGCTTCAGCACCGCGTGGCCTGGAGTGCAGTTCTGGCGGCCAAGATCTGAGGGCTGTAGCCCGTGCCCTCACCAGGATCCCAGACTTAGAGTCCCTGCCCTCCCCGGGATCCCAGGGCTCGATCCTGTGCCCTCCCCGGGATCCCAGGGCTGGAGCCCATGCCCTCCCCAGGATCCCAGGGCGCGAGCTGGTGGCTTCTCAAGCGGAGTTTTGCCTGCTTGTTACATTAGTGAATGTAGGACCACTTGAGTAAAGGACCAAACCTTTATTCTTTTGCTTTTCTGCCATTGAAACCATTCAACCCATGCTGATTAATACCTACTGTTTGCCAGGTAATATGCCCCTTGCAGAAAGACGCAAACAGCTAAACCCCAAATGGGATGTTGTACAGGACAAATGACCGTGTCAATTAATACCAATAATTAAGATAATAGTATAATTATGATGATAATATAATTAATTCGAGCCTGGAGGAAACAAAAGAAAGTGGAACTGAACTATTAGAGAATAAATGAGCTTAAAAGACGTCATTGAATGGAATGTGTGGAACTTACTTGGATCATGATAGAATAAACTAGCTTAAACGGGGCATTTGAGAGATAGGTGGGGGAAATTGGAATATAAAGCTGGGTATTAGATGAAAACTGGGAGTATCGATACTTTTGGTAGGGAGCAGTAACGGCTGGTGGGTAAAATGTCCTAACCTTTAGAGATGCAAACGGAAGTATTTACAGCAAATTGCCCCTATGTCTGGTATTCGCTTTGTAAATTCTCCATGAAAAAAAATTCAAGGACAGGTGAAACACAAGTGGCAAATGTTAGTAACGGTTGAAGCTGGGTGATGAATGCCATAGGAGTTATGACGATTTTCTTTTGCATATGTTTGTAGTTTTCTGCGATAAAATTTATTTTATTTTATATATATATTTTGAGACAGAGTCTCATTCTGTTGCCCAGGCTGGAGTGCAGTGGCGCGATCTCAGCTCACTGCAAACTCTGCCTCCCGGTTCAAGCGATTCTCATGCCTCAGCCTCCCTAGTAGCTGGTATTAGAGGTGTGTGCCACCATGCTTGGCTAATTTTTCGTCTTTTTAGTAGAGACGGGGTTTCACCATGTTACCCAGGCTGGTCTCGAACTGCTGAGTTCAAGCAGTCCGGCCTCCTCAGCCTCCCAAAGTGCTAGGATTAGAGGCGTGAGCCACCACACCCAGCCTTTCTGCAATAAAATTTAAAAGTGTCTCGGCCGGGCACAGTGGCTCATGCCTGTAATCCCAGCACTTTGGGAGGCCGAGGCGGGTCGATCATCTGAGGTCAGGAATTCGAGACCAGCCTGGCCAACATGGTGAAAACCCGTCTGTACTAAAAAAATACAAAAAAAGAAAAAAATTACCTGGGCATGGTGGCGGGCACCTGTAATCCCAGCTACTCGGGAGGCTGAGGCAGGAGAATCGCTTGAACCCGGGAGGCAGAGGTTGCAGTGAGCCGAGATGGTACCACTGCACTCCAGCCTGGGCAATAGGGCAAGACTCCGTCTCAAAAAACAAACAAAAACAAAACAAAACAAAACAAAACAGTATCTCATGTTTCTTATTGGCTGTGACCAAGTAACTTCATTGCTTTCAACCTTGGATCTGCTCACCTGTAGAACTGAGACATTATTTGTTGTGAGATTTAAAAAAGAAACATGTTCATTTCCTTCCTTTGGGGCTCGGAAGGAATCAGATGGGCGTCTTGCAGCTCCGATCCTGATGAAGAATTGTAGCTGCTGTGCCTCAAGACAGATAAGCACAGGTCGTCCCAGAGGGGATGCCACCTTGGGGACTGTGAACCTCCGCTGAGGCCAGGCCATGCCCTGCCCTGTGTCTGTATCTGGAACTGCGGGATTTCTCTGATCTGCCAGGGAAAGGCCTGCCACCTCGTGGCCACTTCAGGAACTGCTCCAAAGGCAGTCTGCTCTTGGGAACCTACCTGGTCAGGTAGCTCCTTGAGGTCTGGAACTGCACCACAGTGCAAGTTATCTTCACGTGGAGGTGAAGCTGCCTGTATGGAAGACTCTTGGATCAGTCGTCTGAGCACATGTCCAGCAATGGGCATGGGTGGGCTAGCCAGGGACTGGGGGTGCCGGAAGAGCCGACTGTACAGCACGTGGTGCCCCTAACAAGGATTGAGTGGTGTTTTTAAAAAGAAAAAAAGGTCGTGCAGATGGTCTGACAGTCTGTCGACCGTGGGCGCGGTGCTCATAGCAGCTGAGCACTGCCGGGGTACCAGGCTGTGTGCTGGGTGCTTCAAAGATGTCCTCTTGTGGATCAGCCCATCTGTGGCGAGGAGGGGACCGGGCTCAGCCAGGTTAGGTGACTTGCACAAGGTCATGTGGGTGAAAGGAAGGCAGAACTCTTGTGTATTTCTCCTGACCCCAGATTCTGCGTCAAGGCTGAAGCCAGAACCCACACGTGTCCAGCGCAGGGTGATTGCTGCCATGAGCTGCATTGCTGTGATCCTCTGGCGAGGGCGTGGATTTTCATCCTTTTATTCAATTTTGAAAGAAGCAAATTTAGAAAGATACGATATGATGGGTGTGGCAGACAGAATTCTAAAGGTGGGCCCACTGATTCGTACCCCTGGCTGTTCAGTTAAACACTAGCCTAGGTGCTGCTGTGCAGGGACTTTGACGAAGGAATGAAAGTCCCAAGCCATCTGACCTTGAGATCAGAGATTATCTGGTGGGCTTGACCTCATGAGCCTAATGAAAGCAGGGAGCTTTTCCAGCTGTCAGCAGAAAAGAAGGTCAAATTCAATGTGTGAGAAAGGCTGGAATTAACATTGCTGGTTTGAAGGAGGAAGGGGTTGTGTGAGAAGGTGTGTGAGTGACTTATAGGAGCAGAGAGTGGCCCCCAGCCATGGAATGAGGACCCCAGGTCTGCAGGCACCAGGAGCTGGACTTTCAGGGCCACCTGAATGCACCCAGAAGCGGATTCTCCTCCAGAGCCTCCAGGTAAGAGTTCATTCCAGCCACCACCTTGATTTAGACCTTGTAAGACCTGGAGTGCAGAACCCAGTTTAATTCACTTCAGCCATATAATAACCCTGTGGGGCAGGCATTACTTTTTTTCTCCCCATTTTATCTTTATTTTGGACTTTGGTAGTCAAGTTTATTTATCATAAACCTTTGGTTCCCATTCTCACCCTTGTGCCTGCCTTATTCTTGGTCTGCTTCTGTTTGTTTAGTTGCTATAATCAACATCCCTGGACCCATCGCGCAGAAGAAACTAAGGTTCCCAGGTTAAGAGACTTGCCTGGAAAAGGGTTAACTGACAGCTTGGCAGCAGAGCCACCGCTCCTTCCCCCTTGCATGCTGGTTCCAAACCGAAAATGATGTTCTGGGTAAGAAAAAACAGCAGCATAAGGGACCACAGACATTCGAGTTGAAATAATTTGAAATAACTTTCTGCAAAAAGAGCCAGACTTCATGAGAGGTGGTTTAATTGGGATAATGAGTTGCACGGGGAATGAGCAAATGCAAAGTTAATTAACAGTCATTTCCCTGAGACTATTTGAAGGAGAGAGATGGCTGCCTGGACCTTGTGGAATCCAGGTGTGATTCAGGTGCCTGCCGTTGGCATGATCATTTCTTCCCTGTTGCAGCCAGGGCAGCTGCAGAGGTGGGTGTGAGGTGGGCCTGGGCTGGCCTGAAGGACAGGGAAGGAAGGAGGAGGCAAACCTCATGGAGCTCGAGGAGATCTTCTTAAAAGCCCATGGATGTGAGAGATAATTGGACTCAAAAGCTGATTAAATTGTTCCTTACAAGCCTGTGATTTGAGCCCTCCTGTGTGTGGGTCAAATCCATCATTAGGCAGCAAAAAAGTCAGAACTGTGAAAAGCACTGTGGGTGAGGATTGGTGAGAGGGAAGGTTTCTCATTATAAAAATAATGGATGCTTGTAGAAATGTTGGCAACGGAATGGTAGGATCATTTAAGAACATTAGCCCTTCTCCACTCTGGTTCCTCTCTCTTGCCCCTGTTTAGGAAATAGTGGGGTGGGGAACTCACTACCTTCCCTTGACGTTGCCCTTGGATTGATCGCAAAGCCACAACTGGAGCCAAAGGTATCATGAGGTGACAGCTCTGACCTTGTGGTCTGCCGGTGGGCAGAGGTGAAGGGAGCCTCTCTGAATTCTGGTCTCTTCGTTGGTACAGCGGGCCAGTACACTCGTGGTGTTGTCGCACTTTTTCCGGATGCTTACCACCGTCAGTGGCGTCGGTCACCACCATTGCGAGTGTTCAGGCAGTGGGTGCTATGGCAGACTTGCAGTGTGTGGCGCTTTCTCAGGAGCTGTGCTTGAGGGTGGAGGGGCTCCCTGGGGCTGAGGCTGGGGCTTACAGGCCTCCTGACCCTGTGCCCCTTTCCTTGCCACTGGAGGCCTGGCGTACCTGCTGCTCCTCTAGTTCCTAAGCCCCTCTGGATAGGGAACCACATCAACAGTAACTTCAGCCAGAGACGTTTATTTCTCCAGTATGCAAAAGTCCAGGGGTCGGCAGTCCATGGCTCCCTGACGTCTCTGTGGCCTCAGGTCATCAGGGACCCAGGCTCCTTCCAGCCTGCAGCTCTGTCCTCCGCAGGGTGTGGCCTGCACCTCACTGTGAGCATGGAGCTCCAGGAACATCCCAGACAGGAGTGGGCAGAAGGGCAGGGATGCAATGCAGCTGTCTCCTTATATCCTATTGGGCAAAATGTGGTCACATGCCACACCTGGCTGCAAAGGATGCTGGGAAATGTAGTTTTTATTCCCAAGGGTCCACTCCCTGCTGACAATTCTGTTCCTGCAGATGAAGGGAGAATGAATGCTTGGGGACACTAGCAACAGCTCCTCCCTAAGCCTCCGTGGCCCTTCTACCCCCACTTTCCTGGGCCCCCTCACTAATGGGATCTCATTGCCTTCCCTCAGTAGCCCATGAGACTGGGGGGGGTCCTGTTCGCTTATCTGACACCCCCGTAGTCTAGGGGGCCCGGTGCTCATTCTTCCCACCTCACTGTCAGTAAACTGAGGTGCAGAAAGGTGACCTGAGCCATCGTCGTCCACAGCCAGTGAGTGCTGGAGCCAGGGTTGGAGCCCAGGTCTTTGCCAGCCCCGCCTGCAGCATCTGCAGTGCAGAGACGCGGCCACGTGGGCACCTCCATGGCTGCTGTAACAGATGAGCACACCGAGGCTCAGAGCAATAAACATTCTATCCGCTCATGGTTCTGCAGGTCAGAGTCTGAAATCAGCCTCGCTGGGCTAATGTCAAGGTGTCGGCAGGGCTGTCTTCTTCTGGAGGCTTCAGGGGAGAATCTGTTTCCTTGCCTTTTGCAATTTCTAGGTGGTGCCTGTCTGCTGTGGCTCATGGCCCCTTCCTCCGTCGCTCCAGTCTCTCTCTCCATCCTCACATGGCCTTCTCCCTGCCCCTCCTGCTCCTTCTCAGTAGGACTTGCCCACAGGATCAGGACGGACTCCGCTTCTCAGAAGCCCTCATGCAATTGCCTTTGCACAGTGCCTTTGCCAGATAGAGTGACATTCACAGGTGCCAGGGATTAGGACGTGGGCATAACCGATGCCATGAGTCAGCCTTGAGGCAGGAAGGGCCAGCTGACCAAACCCTGAAGAGAAGTCCTGCCCCACGCTGCATTCTTGAGAAAGGAATGTCCCACTAAAGATGCTTGGGTGTCAGGGAGGACGGTTTCCACCATGCCCAGGGCCAGGGAAGGCCAGGACGGGTGTGGCCGGGGCCTTTCTTAGACCTGCCCTGCCCCACCTCTCTCCCTTGCCCCTGCAGGGGCAGCTCTTCTGAGCGGAGGCCCAAGTCCTTTCTGCCCCTGGAAGACTCCAGCCTCTCTGGCCCCCAACCATTCCTCTGTCACCCAAGGCTCAGGCAGGGGTGGGATGGGGTGGGAGCCTCCAAGACTCAGCACCATGGTCGACCTTCGTGACTCCCGCCCAAATTCCCCCACTCCTACTGTCCCGAGTGTGGGTTTCATCCCTGTGCCCTGATTCTGGGGGAAATTGAAACCTATTGTTTTGCCCAGCTCTTAAACAACTTAACAGAAAACTTTTTTTTTCTTTTTCTTTTTTTTTTTTGAGATGGAGTCTCACTCTGTTGCCCAGTCTGGAGTGCAGTGGCACGATCTCTGCTCACTGCAGCCTCCGCTTCCTGGGCTCAAGCGATTCTCCTGCCTCAGCCTCCTGAGTAGCTGGGATTACAGGTGCCCACCACCACACCTGGCTAATTTTTGTATGGTTTCGAACTCCTGACCTCAAATGATCTGTCCACCCTGGCCTCCCAAAGTGCTGGGATTACAGGTGTGAGCCACCAAGCCCAGCCCCGTTTGTTTTCTTAAAGCATCTTTGTGTGTCTTGGATTGGCAAAAGTGTATTTGAATGGAGCGAGATGAGAACAGACTTCCTCGTTATCACAGCACCTGCCCCCTGCTATGGCGGTGTGGACCCTGGGCCATGTCTTCCAGGGCCTCGTTTCTGTGCGTCCCCAAGTTGGGGAGTCTTCTGGGCTTGGGGAAGCTTAGATGCTACCTCTGTACTGGAGGATTTTGCGGCCAGGGTGTGTGATGGCCACCTCCCCCCAGGCTGTGCCCACAGCCCAGCCCTTTCTCCACCTGCCACTCCTCTCCACGGTGGAGAGTGTCACTATGGATGATCTCCCCAGCGGCTGGTGTCTGGAGGCCTCCTCAGTGGAGGATCAGCAGCACGGGGCAGAGGTCCGCTCTGTCTTCCACTGTCTCAGCAGCTCCGGCTGCCGAATGGGCAGGCACGTGAGGGCAGGCCTCTGGAGGTCTGCGCAGACGAGATCCAAGCTTCGCCTCTCACCGCCCTGGTTTCCAGTGATAGCTGCGTCCTGGATTTGACTGCTTCCTCTTAGGCAACCTAGAAAACACACCCTCTAAGGGAATTTTCCAAATGAAATTTCCCTTGCAACAGAAGGAAAGCCAGATGCCCTGCAGAGAGGCAAACTGAAAGTTGACCCAGGCCTCCAGGGAGAAGCCCCTCCACCCACCCTGTGACTGACCTTGAGCCCTGTCGCTTATCCGAGAAGCCCACAGCCTGACTGCTCCTGCGCTGTGTGCTCCCCTGCCCCCATGCGCTGCCCCACTGTGCGCTGGCCCCTGTGCACCGTCCCACTGTGTGCTGGCCCCCGTGTGCTGCCCCACTGTGCGCTGGCCCCTGTGCGCTGCCCCACTGTGTGCTGCCTCACTGTGCGCTGCCCCACTGTGCGCTGGCCCCTGCGCACTGCCTCACTGTGTGCTGGCCCCCGTGTGCTGCCCCCATGCGCCGCCCCACCATGCGTGCCTCACTGCGTGCTGGCCCCTGTGCGCTGTGCCACTGTGTGCTGGCCCGTGTGCGCTGCCCCACTGTGCGCTGCATGGTGGGCAACTCTAAACCTCACATCTGCAAGCAGAAGCACCTGGAGTGTGCAGCACACACTCGTGGTCCAAATACTGTTTCTCAAAAGTTGGATTGGAAACCATGACTAATGTTTTAAAGCATTTTTGAGGACAGTTTACTGCTGGTGAGTGGTGGCCATGGTGACGGTGGTGGGAGTGGTGGCGGGGAGGAAGAGAACCCCATTTGCCAGTTCTCCATCACAGTGCCGGTCTGCATTGTGGAGACCTACTGTGTGCCTGGGCCTCTTCCAGGCATCACACGCCCTAGTGCAGTGGGTCTTGCAGCCAGCGTGGTCGTTTTCTGTTGTTGGTCATTGTTTTGCTTGGTTTTGTTAGTGTGTTTTCACTCCCCAGCATGTGCTTGGACTCCCTTCCTCTATGCCCCCTGCCGCTGAGGACTGTGCCTGGGACCCAGGCCTTTTAAGGAAGCCCAGCCTTTGGTGACAGTGATTGATGCCAGGTCTGGGCATGTGACCTGGGCAAGGCCAGTCGGTTCCTTCCCTGGAAAGGCTATGTGGAGGCTGGGAAGAGCAGCTGTCCCTGCCATGGTCCCCTGGGTGGGAAGGGCACCCACCCCAGCCCCTGTATTCTCTGCCCCCTCCCCCACAGAGGGAGCCTCGCTGCTGCTGAAAGGCAGGGGAGACCAGACAAAGGGTCCTGTAGACACACCCTGGAAGTCTCAGTGCTGGTTCCAGTACCAAGCCCTTGGCTCTGCCAGCCTCTGCTCCACTCCTGCAAGGTGCCTCCAGCTCTGCCCCAGCACTGAAAAACCAACTACAGATTGGCTTCATTTGCTTCCCTTGGTTTGGGTTGAGCTTCTGTCACTTACAGCTGATGGCCTTCACCGAAATAAGTCTTAACAGCCACACCTGCGGCAGGCATCGTAACCCCAGTTGACAGACCAGGGTGGGTGGTGGGGTCACGCCCCAAGCTCTTTCCAGTACACACTTTCCTGTCCTTCGTGTCATCAGAGCACGCTGACATCCACAGTGGGCCTCTTTCACTGGGTCCCTGCAAGGGTTTTCTAGATGAGGGGGTGAAGCAGAGCTGTGGCCAGAGGATGCACAGCTGTGGACGGCCGGGCTGGGCTGGCCCCACACCTGGTACCACCGACCACCCAGGCTGCAGGCACCGAGGAGGATCCAGCTTACCTGCATGCAGGAGGGCAGGCGGGCAGATGAATGAGCTGCCAAGCATCAATGGGCAATGACAGAGATCAGGGCAGCCACAAACACCACACTGCCTGTGGGCTGCGGCCCCTGGAATCTCACAATTATCTTGCGTGAGGCGACGGTAGTAACTTCAGCAACAGTGGCGCAAGTGAGAAGAGCAGTCTCTGCAAGTGGAGCTGGGTTTGCTTGCTGGGCCTTGGGCTGAGCCCTCCAGGTTCATGATCTCAGCCCTGCAGCAGCTCTGCAAGGTGGGAGTGAGACTGGGGTGTGAGGTGGGGCTTCATCACCCTCTGCAGACAGGGATGGGTGGAGTGTCAGCCAGGTATGTCACTGAGGTATCAGCGAGGTGAGGGAAGCGGTTAAGGTCCCACCACACAGAGTGGAAAGAGATGGGAAGAAAACGTGTGTCTTGACCTCCTGCCATGGCTGGGCAGGTCTGTTAGAAAGACCAGCCATATTAGAACCAGGGCAGAATCTTCTGCATTATTCAGAAGGACGATTCCAATTGCACAAGTAGTAAATGAATACCTTCTTGTGAAAATCCAAACAGCATAGAGTGAGAGTCCCATTGCCTGCCCTGGTGCTAATGTGTCCTTCCACATGTGCTCCTAGGCGTCCACATGTATGCGTATGCACATATGCACATACACACACGTAGATAGATCACTTTGGTTTTATAAAAATGGCTTCCTACTATTTCAGTGTTCTACAGTTGCCCTCTAAAAAACTTATTTCCATATACATTCTTTTTTTTTTTTTTTTAAGAGACAGGATCTTGCTCTGTTGCCTAGGCTGGAATGCAGTGGCGTGATCTTGGCTTACTGCAGCCTTGACCTCCTGGATTCAAGGGATCCTCCTACAACAGCCTCCTGAGTAACTGGGGCCACAGGTGTGTGCCACCACGCCTGGCTAATTTTAAGTATTTTTTTTATTTTTAAATTTTTAATTTTTTTTAGTTAAAAAAAATTTTTTTTCTTTTTGAAACAGAGTCTCGCTCTGCCACCCAGGCTAGAGTGCAGTGGCATGATCACAGCTCACTGCAACCTCTGCCTTCCGGGTTCAAGTGATTCTGCTGAGTAGCTAGGACTACAGGCATGTGCCATCACACCCAGCTAATTTTTTTTTGTATTTTTAGTAGAGATGGGTTTTCACTATGTTGGCCAGGCTGGTATCGAACTCTGGACCTCAGATGATCCACCCACCTCGGCCTCCCAAAGTGCTAGGATTACAGACCTGAGCCACAGTGCCCGGCCAATTTTTTTTTCTTTTTTTTTTTAGACAGAGTCTTGCTCTGTCGCCCAGGCCGCAGTGCAGTGGCATGATCTTTGCTTACTGCAACCTCCATCTCCCAGGTTCAAGCAATTCTCCTGCCTCAGCCCCTGGGGTAGCTGGGATTACAGGCACGCGCCACCACGCCTGTCTAATTTTTGTATTTTTAGTAGAGATGGGGTGGGGTTTCACCATGTTGGCCAGGCTGGTCTCGAACTCCAGGTATTTAGCGACCTGCACTCCTTGGCCTCCCAAAGTGCTCGATTACAGACATGAGCCACCTCGCCCAGCCATAGTTTTCTTTTTCTTTCTTTCTCTCTCTTTTTTTTTTTTTGGGAAGTTTTTAGTTTCATTTTGTAGTTTTCTTCAAATTGCTTAGCAAGTAATTAGCTGCTGTAGTTTTTTTCTTTAACTTTTACTTTAAGTTCCGGGATATGTGTGCAAGAAGTGCAGGTTTGTTACATATGTAAATGTCTGCCATGGTGGCTGGCTGCATAGATCAACCCATCACCTAAGTATTAAGCCCAGCATCCATTAGCTATTCTTCCTGATGCTGTGCCTTCCTTTGCTCCCCCGTCCCGACAGGCCCCAGTGTGTGTTGTTCCCCTCCCTGTGTCCATGTGTTTTCATCATTCAGCTCCCACTTATAAGTGAGAACATGTGGTGTTTGGTTTTCTGTTTCTTTGTTAGTTTGCTGAGGATAATGGCTTCCAGCTCCATCCATGTTTCTGCAAAGGACATAATATTGTTCCTTTTTATGGCTACATAGTATTCCATGGCATATATGTACCACATTCTCTTTACCCAGTCTATCATTGATGGGCATTTGGATTGATTCCATGTCTTTGCTATTGTGACTAATGCTGCAGTGAACATACATGTGCATGTATCTTTATAATAGAATGATTTATATTCCTTTGGGTATATACCCAGTAATGGAATTGCTGGGTCAAATGGTGTTTCTGGTTCTAGACCTTTGAGGAATCACCACGCTGTCTTCCACAATGGTTGAACTAATCTACATTCCCACCAACAGTGTAAAAGTGTTCCTTCTTCTCTGCAGCCTTGCCAGCATCTGTTGTTTCTTGGCTTTTTAATAATTGCCATTCTGACTGGCGTGAGATGGTATCTCATTGTGGTTTTGATTTGCATTTCTCTAATGATCAGGAATGTTGAGCTTTTTTTTTCATACGTTTGTTGGCTGCATGAATGTTTTCTTTTGAAAAGTGTCTGTTCATGTCCTTTGCCCACTTTTTGATGGGGTTGTTTGTTTTTTTCTTGTAAATTGTTTAAGTTCCTTGTAGACTCTGGATATTAGACCTCTGTCAGATGGATAGATTGTAAAAATTTTCTCCCATTCTGTAGGCTGCCTTTCACTCTGATGATAGTTTCTTTTGTTGTGCAGAAGCTCTTTAATTTAATTAGATCTCATTTGTCATTTTTTGCTTTTGTTGCAATTGCTTTTGGCATTTTCATCATAAAATCTTTGTCCATGCCTATGTCCTGAATGGTATTCCCTAGATATTCTTCTAGGGTTTTTATAGTTTCAGGTTTTATATTTAGGTCTTTAATCCATCTTGAGTTAATTTTTGTATAAGGCATAAGGAAGGGGTCTAGTTTCAATGACTAGCTAGTTGTCCCACCACCATTTATTAAATAGGGAATCCTTTCCTTGTTGCTTATTTTTGTCAGGTTTGTTGAAGGTAAGATGGTTGTAGGTGTGTGGTCTTAGTTCTGACTTCTCTATTCTGTTCCATAGGTCTATGTGTCTGTTTTTGTACCACTACCATGCTGTTTTGGTTACTGTAGCCTTGCAGTATAGTTTGAAGTCAGGTAGCGTGATGCCTCCAGCTTTTTTATTTTTGCTTAGTATTGTCTTGGCTATTTGGGCTCTTTTTTTTGGTTCCATAGGAATTTTAGAATAGCTTTTTCCTAATTCTGTGAAGAATGTCAATGGCAGTTTAATGGGAATAGCATCGAATCTATAAATTATGTTTAGCAGTATGGGCATTTTCATGATATTGATTCTTCCCATCCATGAGCATGGAATGTTTTTCCATTTGTTTGTGTCCTCTCTGATTTCCTTGAGGGGTGGTTTGTAGTTCTCCTTGAAGAGGTCATTCACATCCCTAGTTAGCTGTGTTCCTAGGTATTTTATTCTCTTTGTAGCAATTGTGAATGGAAGTTCATTCATGATTTGGCTCTCTGCTTCCAGTCATAGTTTGTACATTCTTTGAAGAGAAGGGGTCTTGCTCTGTTGCTCAGGCTGATCTTGAACTCCTAGGCTCAAGGGATCCTCCAGCCTTGGCTTTACAAAGTGCTGGGATTACAGGTGTGAGCCACTGTGCCTGGTGAATACATTCTTTAATAGCAAACTGTTAATTTATTTAACCGTTTCCCTACTGATGAACATATTTAGGTTGCTTCCTTTTTTGTCATTAAAACCAAATTTCTTGGTTCTGCTTACTTCTCTCTTTTTTTTCTACCTTGAACAAATCTTATACTCCTTTTTCTCTTTTGGGTGAACTTTAGGGTTGGTTTCTCACTGCCACGAACATCTGTTGGAATTTTGACTGTGATAGGATTAAATGTATAGATTAATGGGGGAGCATTAAGCACCTTTATAATATCAAATCATCTCTTCCAGAAAAATGATATCATTTACTTTTATTCCTGTCTTCTTAAAAGGTTTTTAGAAAAGGTTTTGCTGTGTTCCTGCACATCTTTTTCTTTAGAGTTATCCCAGGTATTATGTGGGTTTTGTGGCTTTGGTGAATGGGATGCTCCATTACGTCTCACACTGGCCATTGCTTGGGTGTTGGAACCCTTTTGGTATTTATATGCTGACTTTATACCTGGTCACCTTCTGTTATATCCAAGGGGTAAAGTGGGCCCTGCATATTGGCCCCATGTTTTCACTTCTTCACAGCAGGCCGGGGCTGTTAGCTCAAAGCAAGCCAGCAGCAAACTCAAATTT
Organism: Homo sapiens; assembly: GCF_000001405.40. Lineage (NCBI taxonomy): Eukaryota > Metazoa > Chordata > Mammalia > Primates > Hominidae > Homo > Homo sapiens. The sequence goes on from NC_000004.12 coordinate 7,081,879, forward strand.
TCACACATCCATTTGCATTAAATGTAGCCCAGAGAAGCATATTGTTAGCCACTTAGAGCCTGCCAGCTTTGCACAGTCTGCCCCACTCCACCACACTGCACCCACCATCTGTCAGCCACAGATAAGGGGCTACAGAGAGGTCAAGACTTCAAATGGCTGCTGCCCTTTGGAGGTTTCTGACCCAGAGATTCACCTAGATAGGTAAGCCCTCACAGAGTCCCTTCTCCCGGAGTCCCCTTGCCCTCCCTCCCTTCTGGGTGTGGCCCAGTGCTGTCTCTCTGGAAAGTGTCCCAGCTGTCAAAAAGCAGCCCAAAGGAAGCTCACGGTGTGCCGGCGCCACCTCATGGTCATACCTCTTCCTTAATCAGCCCCGAAACTCCCAGTCTTGCCAGACCTTGCTGAATTCCTTTCTTATTTCAAATTGTGTTCAGTCAACATAACTTTATTTTTCGGGGACTGCACAGTCAGCCGTGGCTTCTCTGCATCTTCTTTTCTATTATTCACATTTCATTTTCTTGTCTCACTGCATTTACCTTGAGTTGGTGTTGAATTTTAGCAGCGATGGTGGCCCTCGTTGCCTTGTTCCTGTCTTTATTTATTTATATTTATATTTATTTATTTATTTATTTATTTATTTATTTATTTATTTATTTATTTTTGAGACGGAGTCTCCTTCTGTTGCCCAGGCTGGAGTGCAGTGGCACGATCTCAGCTCACTGCATCCTCTGCCTCCAAGGTTCAAGCAATTCTCTTGCCTCAGCCTCCCGAGTAGCTGGGATTACAGGCGCCCGCCACCACGCCCAGCTAGTTTTTGTATTTTTAATAGAGACAGGGTTTCACCATGTTGCGAGGCGTGTCTCAAACTCCTGACCTTAGGTGATCCACCCACCTCGGCCTCCCAAAGTGCTGGGATTACAGGTGTGAGCCGCCATGCCCGGCCCCTTGTTCCTGTCTTTAATGAGGTTGACTTGAAACTTTTGGCATTTAGTATGTTGCTTGCAGTAGGCTCCCAGTATTTAAGAGCGCGCTGCTCAAAATATATCCAGTATACCTCATTTTCTGTCATATCCCTATCTACTGCCTTACTCCACACCACCGATACATCTCACTTGGATGAGTACACCAAGCTCTTATCTCTTCCCCTACTTCCACACTTGAACTTTCTCTACCTCCCAATAGATTCTCTACAAAGCAGCTCAAGTTGTCGTACAAAATAATAAATCAGATCCCGGCTCTTTTTTGCCCAAAACCTGCCAGTGGCTTTTGCATCACACTAAGAATAAAACCCCAGCTCCCTTTACCAAAGACTTCAACAGTGTGTGCTGCGGGGTGGGTTCCCCGAGGGTGGCTGCCGAGATGGGGCTTCGGATGCAAGCTGTGACCGCGGATTATCCATTGCGGAGGGAAGGGAAGTGCAGCAGGCTTGGGCAGAGGAAGAGATTCCACGCCTCTGCCAGCCTAGGGGTAGGGTGGAATCTGGAGTGAAGACCCATCAGAACGCCCCCATGTGCCTGAGAGGGCTGGGCTTCCGTCCCCCACCTCCATCAGTCACCGGATGCAGGCGGCTTTGGAAGGGGGATGCTGAGCTTGCAGCTGAGGTGATTATATGGTCCCCGTTATACTTCACATTTTACTATTTTCTCCTGGCTTTAATGTCCTTCTTGCTGAAGTGCAATAGCAATGTCTTCAGTGAGATCTGTGGGGAGTACACTGCTTGGACATCTGAAAATGATGTTCTTTCACCCTTACCCTTGAATGCTAATTTAGCTCCATACACTCTAGATCGGGGTCAGCAAATGTCCCTGGCCAGAGAGTAAATACTTTAGTCTTTTCAGTCCTTATGATCTGTGTTACCACTCCACTGTTCTAGCACCAAAGCAGCTGTGGACAATATATAAATGAATGGCTGTGGCTGTGTGCCAATAAAGCTTTATTTATAAACACAAATGGTGGGCCTGTTTGCCAGTGGGCTGTATTTTGCTGCCCTCCCTGCCCCAGATTTCTATTTTTTTTTTTTTTTTTTTCAGATTTTTTATGATCATCTTTATTTTTTTTAGAGACTGGGTCTTGCTCTGTCACCCAGGCTGGAGTGCACAGGTGTGACCACAGCTCACTGCAGCCTGAACTCCTTAGCTCAAGTGATCCTCCCATCTCAGCCTCCTGAGTAGCTGGGATTACAGTTTTTTCAGAGTTTTGTGTCTGCTTCTAGGCTGAGTCCCCAGGTCCCAGGTGGAGCTGTACCTCTTGACTAAAGTACCCATGCTTAGCTTGTGTCCCGTTTTGCACGTTAGCAGCAGGAGGGTGCTTCCCGTGCTGCTCCATGGGTCAGCTTCCTGGGAAATCCCACCGGTCATGTCTCTCCCAGTATGGCTGGGACATAGAGAACAAGGGGGTGCACATGCCGCCTGAGTGTGTCATCAGAGGGGATTCTGTCTCCTCTGATGCCACGAATGGCTGCTGTTCCCACACAGGCTGTCTGGGTGGCAGTGCAGATTGGTGTGCCTTTTCTGAAGGGAAACCTGCCAGTGTGCACACAGGACCTTAACAATGTATACTTCCACATCCTGAAGTGTACACTGAGGAAATGCTCAGACAGGACACAAGTACTCTTCAGAGTGCTGCAGGAAGGGGGTCCCGATCCAGACCCCAAGAGAGGGTTCTTGGATCTCGTGCAAGAAAGAATTTAGGGCGAGTCCACGGAGAAAAGTGAAAGCAAGCTTATCAGAGAATTAAAGGAAGAAAAGAATGGCTACCCATAGAGCAGCCCCGAGGGCTGCTGGTTGCCCATTTTTATGGTTATTTCTGATGATATGCTAAACGAGGGGTGGATTGTTCATGCCTCCCCTTTCTAGACCATATAGGGTAACTTCCTGACATTGCCACTGCATTTGTAAACTGTCATGGCGCTGGTGGGAGTGTAGCAGTGAGGACGACCGGAGGTCACTCTCGGCTGGGTTTTGGCCGGCTCCTTTACTGCAACCTGTTTTATCAGCAAGGTCTTTCTGACCTGTATTTTATGCTGACCTCCTATCTCATCCTGTGACTTAGACTAACTAACCATCTGGGAATGCAGCCCAGTAAGTCTCAGCCTCATTTTATCCAGCTCCTATTCAAGGTGGAGTTGCTTTGGTTTACGTGCCTCTGACATTTCTCCCCTCCCTTTTATAAGAGAACCTTTAATCCTAAGGGTTGCAGAGGGATGAAGATCCATCTTCTGTAACTTCTTCAGGCTGAATAGGGATAATGATGTTCCTGCCTAACTCTGAGGTTCTCTTGCATTCAGGGTAGAGAAGAGCTCAGTTGGAAAGCATCAGTATGGTAGGGGGCATTCATAACTCTTGAGTTTTGACAAAAGGTGATATCTGCAAGATTAATAAGTGTTTAAGAAAACATTCAGTAAGCTTGTCCTATATTCCTACACAAAGAGTATAACAGCAATATATTCCATAAGAATAAACCAAAATAAGTAAAGTTATTCCAAGTAAACTAAATTAGAAGGCTTTTCATGAACTGGGCATGTTGGAACTAAGCTGACATGGGGTTGTTAGCTGATTGTAATGTGCCCAGAATTAGAATGCTGATCCAGATTTTTACATTACCCATCCCTCTTGTTTCTTCTGAGCAGCAGACAGAGATCGCTGGTTGGTTTACAGGAATAAGCAGGGTTAGCCTGAATTGCAGAAACAAACTTAAAAGCAACTAATGAGACTAGAATTTAATAAACAAGTGTACCATAGTTCTTGAAACATAATATTTCTCTCTCCAGTTTCTCATTTTTACTAAAAACAAATCATGGTAAGACTGATTTGCTTTATTACACTTGGCCTTTGGCCTGATTATTTGTATAAAGTGCAGCAAGAATAATTATTTTCCACAGAGGCTCTTTTAAAATTGGCTTTGCTGGAGCTCTGTTCCGTAGAAGGAATTTTAGGTAAGGCTTTTTAAAGCTAAGCTCAGCCGTAGTTTTGTACCCTCAAATACCTATGAGTTGAGTTAATTCCTCTCCTCTTGGGGTCCCAAGATAACTTGGGGCTCCTGGACCTGTCAGAAATTGACATTCTTTACTTACCACAGGTCAGAAACCCTATGCAGAGACTATTGCAGACAAGGTCAGACCAATTCTCCAAGGGGCTTTTATTGGCTTTACAAGTTAAGTTTGATTCCTTAAATGAAAGCACACCATGCCAGTTAAAGCCTTGGTAAAATTTCTCCAATTGTGTCCTGTTACAAAAGAAAACAGATTCTCACCCCTAACCCCCCACCCCCTTTTGTTTTTTTGAGATGGAGTCTCACTCTGTTGCCCAGGCTGGAATGCAGTGGCTTGATCTCAGCTCACTGCAACATCTGCCCCCTGGGTTCAAATAATTCTCCTGCCTCAGCCTCCTTAGTAGCTGGAATTACAGGCATGTGCTACCACACCTGGCTAATTTTTATATTTTTAGTAGAGATGGCCTTTTGCCTTTTTGGCCAGGCTGGTTTCGAATTCCTGACCTCAAGTGATCTGCCCACCTTGATCTCTCCAAGTGCTGGGATTACAGAAACGAGCCACTGAGCCCAGCCCAGAAAACAGATTCTTATCTCACTTATGCAAAAAACTATATTGCCATAAATTAAGAGTATTCACAAATAGTTTCCAAAGTTTGGAGAAATCAGGTAGAGAGAAACAAATATGCTCCAAATTTTGTTCACAGGAGTATAGTTTACTTAATTGCTAAAAGCTGTAAATAGCTCAAAAGTTTCCTTCACTCTGAAAAACAAAACAAAGAATCAGCAGCATTTTAAGCAAAGTTAAAAAGATTATTTCAGTTTTCTATTGGTTCAGTTAATTCAGTTAACTCCTGTTCTATTTGATATTCATGAACATTCCAGCTCTTCATGAGAGTTCTCAAAGTTGTTTCCTCTATTCTAAAGTTACAGTTCCAAAGTTATTAGAAACCTGTATTTAAGAACACCTGTTAGAGTTTTATAGTTGACTATAAGCCACCTTCTAAAGAGGATTAAAACAAGACAATGATTATCTGTGGATGATAAAAAGTTTTAGGACAGTCGCTATTAAAGCCACAATTAATAAGGAAATTTGGTTACTTCTGTGGCACAAAAATTTTTACATAACAATTAATAACTACACTAAGTCATATTAGAATTATGAGTTTCCCATAACTTTGGAACATATACCAATTATACCAAATCTTATAGTCTTTCACCAAAAACACATTTTCAACTTTTATTTTTGGCAAAAACCTTGGTAAGTTTGAGATTTTAATTATTTACTAGGTGTGGATCCTGCCTAGGACATACTAGGCAGAAGTGCAGACTTAGAGCTGACTCTCCAGCATAGCTAGGGGGCGTGGCTAACTCCACACGTCCCCAGGGCTTACCTGTCTGTAAAGCAGGCAAGTTGTACAGTAAGAGTCATAGTGGCATTTTATGAAGCATTTAGAAGGCCTGACAACCTTTGAATTGTACAACAACATTTCTTGCATAAATTCCTTTTCACAAATCCTCTCACGACTTAAACAACCTGAGACATTCTTGGACTTTCTGACTTGCCCTAAACATTTCTCCTTTTAAACAACCAGTCATTTTACTTTAGGACAAATTTTTTTTTTTCAAGATGGAGTCTCACTCTGTTGCCCAGGCTGGAGTGCAGTGGTGTAGTCTTGGCTCACTGCAACCTCCACCTCCCAGGTTCAAGCAGTTCTCCTGCCTCAGCCTCCCAAGTAACTGGGATTACAGTCTCGTGCCACCATGCCCCACTAATTTTTGTAATTTTTAGTAGAGATGGGGTTTCACCATGTTGGTCAAGTTGGTCTCGAACTCCTGACCTCAGGGTGATCTGCCCACCTTGGTCTTCCAAAGTGCTGGGATTATAGGCGTGAGATACCGCACCTGGCCTAGGACAAGAATTTACCATACAAGGATGTTTTATTTCCTTTTTTTTTTGAGATGGAGTTTCACTCCTGTTGCCCAGGCTGGAGTGCAGTGGTGCAATCTCGGCTTTCTGCAACCTCCACCTTCTGGGTTCAAGCAATGCTCCTGCCTCAGCTCCCAAGTAGCTGGGATTATAGGCATGTGCCACCATGCCCAGCTGATTTTGTATTTCTAGTAGAGATGGGGTTTCACCATGTTGGTCAGGCTGGTCTCAAACTCCTGACTTTAGGTGAGCCACCTGCCTCGGCCTCCCAAAATGCTGGGGTTACAGGCATGAGCCACCGTGCCTGGCCGAAGATCCTTTCTCGTAGAAAATCTTTCTTTATAATCTTCTTTGTATAGCTAGGAAGCATGGCTAATTCCACGTGTCCCCAGGCCTTATCTAGAACCTAATGGTTTTTTTTTTTTTTGAGATGGAGTCTCACTCTGTCACCCAGGCTGGAGTGCAGTGGCACGATCTCGGCTCACTGCAACCTCCGCCCTCCGAGTTCAAGCAATTCTCCTACCTCAGCCTCCCAAGTAGCAGGGATTACAGGCATCTGCCACTGCACCTGGCTAATTTTTTGTGTTTTTAGTAGAGATGGGGTTTTACCATCTTGGCTAGGCTGGTCTTGAACTCCTGACCTTGTGATCCACCTGCCTCAGCCTCCCAAAGTGCTGGGATTACAGGTGTGAGCCACCACGCCTGACCCTAATGGCTTTAAGGTAGGTAAATTGAACAAGTTTTCAAAGTGAAAGAAGCAGTTTATGACCTTAAAGCATTTAGCAAACTTAATATCTGACCTGCATAATTTAGACTAAATGTTTTTATCAATAATTTTTAAAGCTGTTTTTATTTCCCAAAGATTACTAAAGTTACATGAACTAAAAGGCGTTACAGTTTTTATTTTGCCTTCAAAATATTTAAGTGCTTATTTTTGTTTAAGCCAGTTAATTAGAGTTCTTTTATATAAACATTACACAGAACACATATATAGCTACACAGAAAGAAGAAGATTACTACAGTAGTTGTAAGATTTTTCATTTGCCAGTTTTTAAGTTTCTTAATTGGATTACTGGCTTTTGGGTGGAGCCCTTAGAAGAACAGGGCCAGGAAAGGGGTCTGTGGTGCCTCCTGTTTTTCTCAAGGAGTCCAGGCTGTTAGAGCTTGAATAGCCACTTTTAATGAAACTGATTTTTAACCATAGTACTCATTAATAAAGTCCTTTTAGAATTTCTTATGCCAAACGGCCAATATTTCTGGCCTTTGAACTTTACCAAAGGTAACCTCCCAGGGGCTTAGAGAAAGGAAAATTTAAGACAATCCACGGAGGAGGAGAAAATAGACAAGGACACGCAGATATTAAACCAGAAAGGACTTACTTCCAAGGTGGGGAATTGAATCAGGACCGTGACTGTGAAAGTGCAGAACCTTAGTTACTGAGCTCTAGCATGGGGCAGCCTCTGTTTCCCTTCCCAGAAGGGAATAGTTAATTTTGAACTTGCAAAGGCTTTTTATTTAATAGGATTTTTAGAGCTAACTATGACATGAACCCTAAAATTCCTGTTCCTTGGAAGGCAGAGACCAAAAGTACTGCCATGTGGTTACAAGGTCAAACTCCCAAGGACATAAAACAAGGTGGAGACTTCATCCAGATTTTTGTTTGTTTCAGGGACCTGCAGCCAAGTTTGTTACTGACCCAGCCTGCTGGGTCGTCTTGAAAAGTGGGCTTACCGGTGTTTTAAGGTCATGTTTTATCCTGAAGTACCCCTCAACACAGAAAAATGAATTCATAGCATAAAATACAACAGCTTAAAACTAGCCTTAGAATTCTTTTTCGCATTAATCAAAACTTGACAGAGGAGATAAACAGTTTTTTTTTTTTTCTCTCCCCATTCATTCAACCATTTGCACAGAGAGAGAAGCCAGAAATCTGACTGGTGAGAAATTCTTACCCTTTTGCCAATGTGCCAGGCTTCTGGGTTCCCTTTCCCTAAGCAGCCCTAGTGATCCAGCTTGTGGCACCTCGCCCTGGGGGTCAAGCCACATTATAAAGGACATTATTATTTTTTGTTCTGGCCAGAGCAGAATACATGTGATCAAACACAGACATTAGCCACTCTGCTTAGCACACAGTATGAAACTGGCAAGGCTTAAATTTGCCCCCAGATGGGCCCCGTCATCTTTAATCCAACTTCCAACTTGGAGTTTCAACACGTGGTCTCTGGGCAAGATGGTTGCCCTGAGTAACAGAAAAGATAGAAAAGGAAAAATAGAGAGGGAAAGTATTGCCTGAGGCAGGGTGGAGAAGGTGAAGAGCTTAGGGAGGCCAGAAAAGACCCACTCATTGCAGCCGACAATGAAAAGCTCAGGCGGCCGCTTGTGGGTAGCAAAGGAATCTTTTCCAGCCGTCCCATAGCTCTCAAGTTTCCCCGTTTAGGGAGGAAAAAGCTCCCCATGTCCCATGATCCTGTACACGCCTAACCCTGTCACCCACAGCCATCAGCAAAGAGTGCAAGGCAGATTATTCCGAAGAGAATAGCTTTTAACATCTCATAGTGCCAGAACTGTTCTTAGCTGAAAGGGACTGCACTGAGAGTCTTTAACCCCCTAAATCTTAGAAGGGACTCTAACCCTCCAACCCCCTAAATCTTAGAAGGGACTCTAACCCTCCAACCCCCTAAATCTTAGAAGGGACTCTAACCCTCCAACCCCCTAAATCTTAGAAGGGACTCTAACCCTCCAACCCCCTAAATCTTAGAAGGGACTCTAACCCTCCAACCCCCTAAATCTTAGAAGGGACTCTAACCCTCCAACCCCCTAAATCTTAGAAGGGACTCTAACCCTCCAAGCCCCTAAATCTTAGAAGGGACTCTAACCCTCCAAGCCCCTAAATCTTAGAAGGGACTCTAACCCTCCAAGCCCCTAAATCTTAGAAGGGACTCTAACCCTCCAAGCCCCTAAATCTTAGAAGGGACTCTAACCCTCCAAGCCCCTAAATCTTAGAAGGGACTCTAACCCTCTTAAATTGGGCCTCTAACCCAAGTTTGGTCAAGCATTCTTGCCTTTTATTAAGAGGGCCCTCTAACCCACTCTGTCTTAGGAGAGACTAACTTCCCTAAGTTGGGCCTCTAACCCAATCCCATTGTTTACCCAGGTACCCCACCACTTACCCAAAATCGTCCAATCAGTGCTGCAGTGTATTTCCTTTGGGTCAGGGGTCTCCTCAGTATTGTCCCTTTTGTGGTTTGTGAAAAAGATGTTACTGGACCCCACCACTTACCCAAAGTTAGCTTTTGGGTCAGGGGTTTCCGCAGTATAGTCCCTTCATGGTCACCAGAAAGATGTTACAGGAAAGGGGACCCGATCCAGACCCCAAGAGAGGGTTCTTGGAGCTTGCACAGGAAAGAATTCTGGGCAGTTCCACAGTGCAAAGTGAAAGCAAGTTTATTAGTGAAGGAATAAAAGCATGGCTACTCCATGGACAGAGCAGCTCTGAGGGCTGCTGGCTGCCCATTTTTATGGCTATTTCTTGATGATATGCGAAACAAAGGGGGGATTATTCATGCCTCCCCTTCCTGACGTTGCCATGGCATCTGTAAACTGTCATGGTGCTGGTGGGAGTGTAGCAGTGAGGACAACCAGAGGTCACTTTCATGGCCATTTTGGTTTTGGTGGGCTTTGGCCGGCTCCTTTACTGCAAACTGTTTTATCAGCAAGGTCTTTATGACCTGTATTTTGTGCCAACCTCCTATCTCATCCTGTGTCTTAGAATGCCTTAACCATCTGGGAATGCAGCCCAGTAGGTTTCAGCCTCATTTTACCCAGCGCCTATTCAAGATGGAGTTGCTCTGGTTCACACACCTCTGATAAGAGCATTATCACTTATAGCAAGGACTTGAAACAGCCGGCATCACAGAGCATGCTGGGGCAGGAAGTTAATGACACAGAAAATCTGGTACAGTTTTGTGAAAGTTGTGGGATAAAAGAGTATTCCTACACCATGATTTCAGTGATGTAGAAGAGCCTGGGAGAAAAGACACTGAAAGGTTGCTAGTGGTCACTTGCGGGGATTGGGATCTGGGCTAATTTTATTTTCTTCTTTGCACTTTTCTATTTTGTCCAACTTTTTTTTTTAATAATGGGCATATATTAACTTTTTAAAAAAAGTTTGTCTGACTTTATCTTTAATGAAAAGGTATTTTAAGGTATAATACATTAAATGTATATGTACATTAATATATAATATGTACATTACATACATAAATGTGTACGTTAGTACATAAAAATCTGAAATACATGCACATGGGAAAAAAGAATTGAAACCATATAAAAATACGTCTGGAGGACAGTTTCCCTCCTGTGCCTGTCTCTAAATTTCTTTCCAGGGCAACTGTCACTATCATTTCCTGTGGGTGCCTGTGGAGATATTTTATATAACAGTCATGAATATGTATACAACACCCACGTTTTTTCACAAATGTTGCATTTTATTCAGGCTTTTCTGCTCCTCATTTTCTTTCCCTTTTACTACATGAGAACTTAGCTCTATTTTTTATTTTATTTATTTATTTATTTATTTATTTTTTGTTTTTTTGAGATGGAGTTTCACTCTTATTGCCCAGGCTGGAGTGCAATGGCGTAATCTCGGCTGACTGCAACCTCTGCCTCTTGGGTTCAAGCCATTCTCCTACCTCAGCCTCTTGAGTAGCTGGGATTACAGGCACCTACCACTATGCCCAGCTAATTTTTTTTTGTATTTAGTAGAGACGGGGTTTAACCATGTTGGTCAGGCTGGTTTCAAACTCCTGACCTCAGGTGATCCAACCTGCATCGGCCTCCCAAAGTGCTGGGATTACAGGCGTGAGCCACCGCGCCAGGCCTATTTTTACTTTATTACTATTTTTTTTTGAGATGAAGTCTCGCGATTGTTGCCCAGGCTAGAGTTCAGTGGCGAAATCTTGGCTCACTGCAACCTCGGCCTCCCAGGTTCAAGCGATTCTCCTGCCTCAGCCCCTGAGTAGCTGGGATTACAGGTGCCCACCACCATGCCTGGCTAATTTTGGTATTTTTAGTAGAGACGAGGTTTCACCATGTTGGCCAGGCTGGTCTTGAACTCCTGACCTCAAGTGATCTGCCCGCCTCGGCCTCCCAAAGTGTTGGGATTACAGGTGTGAGCCACCACGCCCGGCCCAACTCTGTTTTTTAAATGTAACTAATACAACCCAAGACTGTTCATATCTACGCACACAGATCTACTCAGGCTTTTCAATGGCTTCATGGTGGTCTGTTATCTCAATGTAATCATAATTTCATCTGACTCCATATGTGGACATTTAAATGTTTCTAATCTTTGGCACAAGTGCTAATGTAGATGTATATACATGTGTAAATCACTAAGGGGATGTCAGATTGTTGTAATCACTTCCAGCAATCCAAAATCCACTTCTAGCAACAAGAAAAGTGACAGGAAGCCTACCTCGTTGGGGGAAGGGGGGAATGGTCTTTTTGATAAATAATTCTGGGTGAACTGGAGATTTGTATGGGAAAGGCTTGTCTTGATCCACCTCCCGCCACACCAAAAAACCCATTCCATACGGACTGCAGAGCTAAGTGTGAAAAGTGAAAACAAATCAAGCTTTTAGAGGAAAATATAGGAGGACGTCTTTGTATCCTTGGAGCAAATAAAGATTTCTTTCTTTTCTTTTCTTTTCTTTCTTTCTTTCTTTCTTTCTTTCTTTCTTTCTTTCTTTCTTTCTTTCTTTCTTTCTTTCCTTCTTTCCTTCTTTCCTTCTTTCCTTCTTTCCTTTCCTTCTTTCTTTCTTTTCTTTTCTTTTTTTGGGATGGAGTCTCATTCTGTCACCAGGCTGGAGTGTAACGGCATGGTCTTGGCTTACGGCAACCTCCATGCTCACAGGTTCAAGCGATTCTCTGGTCTCAGCCTCTCAAGTGGCTGGGATTACAGGCGCCCGCCACCACACCCAGCTAATTTTTTGTATTTTTATTAAGAGACGGGGTTTCACCGTGTTGGCCAGGCTGGTCTCAAACTCCTAACCTGCACTAACTCCTAACTCCCTAAACAGAAGTGCACTAACCTAACTCTGCCCGCCTTGGCCTCCCAAAGTGGTGGGATTACAGGTGTGAGCCATCACACCCGGCCTAAAGATTTCTTAAAACAGTGCTCAAAAGTGCTAACTGAGAAATTGATAAATTGAACTGTATTGAAAACAAGAAATTCTGTTCATCAACAGACACTGTCAAGAGAGTGGGAAGGATAGTTGCAATATATGTGTATATCCCCAACAGGACTTGTATTCAGCCAATACAGAGAACTAGAGCTTATGAAGGATAAGACAGACAACCCCATGGACAGATGGGGATACTTCACAGAAGAGGGTTGCTAAATTGTCAACCATCATGGAAGAAGTGTTCAGTTGCACTGATCATTAGGAAGATGCAAAGTAAAACCGCAACATGAAATCACTACATCCTCACCCGGCCCACGCCTGAAATGAAAAAGACAGCAAATATCAAAAGCTGGGGAGGATGTTTGTTGTAGTTTTGAGCTGTTAGGTTTTGGGGTAATATGTTATGTGGCAATAGCTAGCTAATGCATCTGAGTCATTTGGAGAGGGTTTTAGGAGTCATTGAGAAGATGAAATGGATACATTTTGGGACTCATTTTTAAGTAGCTTGGTCCTTTCTATCAAGATGCAATGAAAAATGAAAGCAATTATCTAGGTAATTTGACCAACGTAATATTAATTCCATTTGGAGTTTTCCAGTCAAAGTTTATGATGTGTCTTTTATTTTAATTGAATTTCTTTGTAATGGTCCTGATTCCCATTTCACTTGGCTGAGGCCAACTCGGCCTTGATCTCCAAATTTCCTTCCAGCGCTGGAAACCTCTTTGGCAATTGGGGGTAATCACCCCTCTGATGTTGCTGCATCCAACTGTAAGAGACGAAAGACATTTTTTCTGAGAAAAAGCTTGCACGCAAGAGAATGCAGCACTCACTAGCATGTCATAAAGACTCGGGCCTGACCTTTAAAACCGATTACCACGATATCCACACCAAGCTAAACAAAACAACGATTAGGGGGACAGAGCTGAGCAGGCTTTGGAAACCCCACACCAAGTGGTTTCACTTTGCCCTTTCTGTAAGACTGTTCCCTCTTAAAACACAGCATAATGTCCGAGGGGGCTTCCATCTGGAAAAATCGCCCTGGCCTTAAACCTCGTCAATGTAACGACACAGTCATCTTTCAAAGGAAAATTCCAAAGGCAAGGGCAGGCGCTCGCCCTTGAGTTTGGCTTCCTTTTACAGAATCTCTTTCTTGGCAGCAGCCACATGGCCGCAAGCTGTTTAGAAGTACAAGCCCTGGCTGGGGCGGTGGCTCACGCTTGTAATCCCGGCACTTTGGGAGGCTGAGGCAGGTGGATCACCTGATGTCAGGAGTTCAAGACCAGCCTGGCCAACATGGTGAAACCTTGTCTCTACTAAAAACACAACAAAAAAAATGAGCCAGGCATGGTGGCGGGCACCTGTAATCCCAGCTACTCAGGAGGCTGAGGCAGGAGAATTGCTTGAACCTGGGAGGCGGAGGTTGCAGTGAGCTGAGATCGTGCCATTGTGCTCCAGCCTGGACGACAAGAGCGAAACTCTGTCTCAAAAAAAAAAAAAAAAAAAAGTAAAAGTGCAAGTCCATCCCCACCCATGATGACAGTGAGTCCCAGGCACACGGAGGGGCAGTCCTCGTGCAGCTGGCAGGCTCTCAGAGGAGTTTTCTAGCCTCTGACGGTGTGTAGTCTCGGGGCGGGAAGGGGAGTGCCATGATGCCGGCTGTGGCCATGGCCACCCCTTTGTCCCCACATCGTCTAAGGATTTTCACCCCCACTTGCAAACACGGGAGATGCTCCTGGAGGTGGGACAGTGCCCGGTGTGCTGGGGAGGACCATTGGGGCTCGCTGCTGCTTCAGGGAGGGCACATCGTCTTCACAGCTAATTCCCACTGGGGTTTATTTGTTGCCCCTGTTTGTGTCTGTGGGGCTGGGGCTCAGCTCCACGTGGTCACCCAGGACCCAGTAGACAGGGTGGCCATTGCAGCAGGTGCCTGTGAGGAGAGGACACTCCCACAGAAGGAGCACATGTCGCCGGCACTCACGGCCCACTGGCCAGAGCTGGCCACGGCCCCCTTGCTGCTGGGGGAGCCCGATGGCTGTCTCAGCCACAGCCAGCCATGGTGGTGGCCTTGCCACCCGGCGGCATCCCCGGTGCTAGACACTAAGCTCCCAGAGGGCAGAGAACACAATGCTTTTGCTCCTCCTGCCTCCATGGTTTGGCCCTCATCTTCATTCCCACGAGGAGCCCTTTCTTCTGTGTGCACGCATGTGTCTCTGTGTATGTGTGTGTCTGCATGTGTGTGTGCATGTGTGTGCATGCGTTGGCACTGGGAGCCTCAATCGTGGTGTTATTTTTCAGATATAACCGACATCTGATTTCCCTCTGTGATTTTTTGGCTGCTTGTTTTTAGCCCCAGGATTATTTTCTCAATAGCACTCTAGCAGAGCTTTTATCCCAGCTGAATACAGTCTGCACGCAGGAAGTGTGAGCTGGTTCTGATATCGGTGGAATAGCTGGATTGTAAACCTGCGGCATGGGAGTCCTCAGGAGCTGCCTCATTTAGAAGCATCTGGGCTGCCATCCTTTTGAGCTTGTGCCTCCTTAACTGAGAAATGACAGAGCTGAGCAAAGCCGGGAAAGACGCAGGAAGGAGGCCTGGCAGCCCTGAATCAGTTTCTCCAAGAAACAGGCCTGAGGTTTGAAGAGATTCAGGTTAGAAATCAATGAGGAGATTTTTTGGTCTCCGCTAATTTTTTAGATAATCAGGTGAGATCCAAGTGTACCATGCTAAAGATTTTTGAACGTTAAAATTGCTTTTTCATTTTTGATGGGCCATTCTACTCCTGGGCATCTACCCAAAGGAGCTCAAAGTAGGGACTTGAGCAGACACGTCTTTGCCAATGTTCACAGCAGCACGGTTCACACTGGCCAAGAGGTGGAAACAACCCAGATGGCCAGCAGTGATGAATGGACACACAAAACGTGGTCTAAACATACAATGGAATATTATTCAGCCTTAAAAAAGAATGAAATTCTGACACGTTCTGCAATGTGGATGAGCCTTGAGGAGATTACGCTCAGTGAAATAAGCCCGACACAAAAGGACAGCTATTGTGTGGTTCTGCTGGTCTGAAATGTCCAGACTATGCAGGTCTTACACAGAGACAGAAAGTAGAATGGTGGGTGTCGGGGCTGGGGGAGGGCAGCTGGGAGCTAGTGTTTGATGGGGACAGAGTTTCTGTTTGGGAAGACAAGAATGTTCTGGAGGTGGATAATGGTGATGGTTGCACACCACTGTGAGTGTGCTTAATGCCTCTGAACTGTACACCTAAAAGTGGCTAAGATGGCAAATTTTATGTTATATATAGTTTGCCACAATTAAAAAAATTAATAATGTAAAAAACATACCTGGGATGGGTTTGCAAAAGTTCTGCCAGAAACAGGAATGGATGTGTTTAGGAGAATCTGGGCAGAGAACCAGGAATGAAAGCCAATTAAACCTCTTTGAGAACTCTTACTTAGGCAATTTTAATTTCTTCTAAGTAGTAAAATAGGTAAGACCAACAAATTAAATACTTCTTGCAAAAACAAAATTGACAAAATGTATGGCTCATTTACATTGTAAATCTACAATTAAGATGGGAAATAAACCAATTCTGGACACCTGAACCGGTGAGACGAGTTGAATTGTGTCCTCCAAAATTCATGTGTTGAAATTCAAACTCCCAGCATCCCAGAATGTGACCTGATTTGGAGATGGGGCCTTGGCTGAGACAGTCAACTTAAAATGAAATCATTAGGGTGGGCCTTAATCCAGTAGGACTGGTGTCCTTATAAAGAGGGGAAATTTGGAGACACACACACACAGGGAGAGCGCCGCATGAAGATGAAGGCAGAAACTGGGGAGATGCTTTCACAAGCCAAAGACTGCCCAGGCTTGTGAGCAAAAACAACCTCCAGAAGCTGGAAGAGAGCCTTGCACAGATTTCCTCCCAGAGCCCCTAGAAGGAACCCACCCTGCCAACACCTTGATTTGGAACTTGCAGCCTCCAAAACTGTGAGATGATAAATTTCTGTTGTTTAAGCCACCCAGTTGGTGGTACTTTGTTACAGCAGCCTTAGAAACTAATGCAAGTAAATAAAACACCAGAAAGATTTTCCTTTTCCCTGTATTGTGTTCGGATTTCCCTCTGCTCATGAAGACACCCCTCATATTGGCTTAGGGCCCACCGTAATCTCCAGTGTGATCTCATCTTAACTAATGACATCTGCACAGCCCCGTTCCCAAATAAGGTCAGAAGGACAGGTAGTGAGGGTTTGGACTTGAACGTCGTTTTTGAGGGTCCTAGTCAACCCATAACAGTCCACACTCTGGTTCCTCCAAGTTCATGTCCTTCCCGCAGGCAAAACGCCTTCATCCCATCCTAACATGCTCCGAAGGCTTAAGTATTCTAGGGTCAACTTGGAGTCCAAAATATCATCTAACTACCATTATTAACTCAAAGTTCCAAATCTCTGTTCTCCTCTGTTGTTTCAGGCCTTGCACAGAGGAGTGCTTGGTGAACATTTGGTGGAGGATACGGAAACCCACGTGGATTCCAGGTGCTGACTTTTGTGCCACTACAGAGTCTAGCGTACATTAGGAAGACGATGCCAACCACCACCATCTATTGACTTACTCAACGTTTACTGCACACCTACTGTGTGCAGGGGTCCTGGGGACCCCATAGATGAAAACATAAGCACATGATCAAATGGAAAGCTGGGCTTCGTCTATTACAGTGGGTACCATACAGTTTTACACTCGTGTACCTAAAACAACCTGGACAAGGCACGGGATTGATTTTCAATTTTGTAAAACAGAGCAAAAGTGCTTTTACTGATGTTTCTTTTCTTTTTCCTGAGATCTTATGTCCCTAGACAGAACTATAAAGCGTTTTTATATTAAAGGTCTGTGCCTCAGACTTTAAAAATATCTGTAGAATGTGTAGTAAAGTTATCCATTTCATTTGTGATAATGGTCATTTTTATTTTCTCTTTTGTTCCTGATCAATCTAACTATAATTTATAAATTTAACAATTTTCTCAAGAACGTTCTGTTTCATTGATGTTCTCTATTATTTTCTGTTCTCTGTTTCATTGATTTCAACTCTGATTTTTATTATTTCTTTTCTTCTTTTTATTTTAGGTTTCATTTGGTCTTTTCTAGTTAAGGTGGAAGCTGAGGTCAATAATTTTCCTTTCTTCTTTTCCTTAAAAAATTGTTGGCCAGGTGCGGTGGCTTATGCCTGTAATCCCAGCACTTTGGGAGGCTGAGGCAGTCTGATCACCTGAGGTCAGGAGTTTGAGACCAGCCTGGCCACATAGTGAAACCCCGTTTCTACTAAAAATACAAAATTAGCCAGGCGTGGTGGCGGGTGCCTGTAACACCAGCTACTCGGGAGGCTGAGGTGGAAGAATCACTTGAACCTGGGAGATGGAGGTTGCAGTGAGCCAAGACTGTGCCATTGCACTCCAGCCTGGGCAACAAGAACGAAAACCTGTCAAAAAAAAAAGAAAAAAAATTGTTTTAGGCTGGGCGTGGTGGCTCACACCTGTAATCCCAGTGCTTTGGGAGGCTGAGGCAGGCAGATCACTTGAGGTCAGGAGTTCGAGACCAGCCCGGCTAACATGGTGAAACCCCATCTCTACTAAAAATACAAAAATTAGCTGGGCATGGTGGCATGTGCCTGTAATTCCAGCTACTCAGGAGGCTGAGGCAGGAGAATCGCTTGAACCCGGGAGGTGGAGTTTGCAGTGAGCTGAGATTGCACCACTGCACTCCAGCCTGGGTGACAGAATGAGACTGTCTTAAAAAAAAATTGTTTTAAAAACAGCTTTATTGAGATATACTTCACATACAGTTCATCCTTTTAAAGTATGCGAGTCAGTGGGTAGTATATTCTTAGACAAGTTCAACCACCACTAAAATTAATTTTAGAACATTTTCTTCACCCCAAAAAGAAACCTATATTCATGACTTCAAATTTCTCCTTCCCCAGCTCCTGGCAACCAATAGTCGACTTTCTGTGTCTATAGATGTCCCTGTTGCAGACATTTCCTATAAGTGGAATCATATATGATCTTTTGTGTATAGCTTCCTTCACTGAACATAATGTTTTCAAGGTTCATTCCTGCTGTGTTAGGGCCTCCTTGCTTTTATGGCCAAATAAAATAATACTCCATTGTATGGGTAGGCCACGCTGTGTTTATCCATTCACCATTGGATGGACATCTGGTTTGTTTCTGCCTTTTGGCTATTATGAATAATGCTGCTATGAACATTTACATGTACATTTTATGTGGATGTATGTTTCCTTTTTTGTTTTTTTTCTTTTTTTTTGAGATGGAGTCTTGCTCTTTCACCTAGGCTAGAGTGCAGTGGCGTGATCTCAGCTCACCGCAACCTCCACCTCCGGGGTTCAAATGATTCTCCTGCCTCAGCCTCCTGAGTAGCTGGGATTACAGGTGCCTGGCACCACGCCTGGCTAATTTTTGTATTTTTAGTAGAGACAGGGTTTCACCACATTGGCCAGGCTGGTCTCGAACTCCTGACCTCATGATCCGCCCGCCTTGGCCTCCCAGATTGCTGGGATTACAGGTGTGAGCCGCTGCGCCCGGCCTGTTTTCACGTCTCTTGGGTGTGTACCTAGAGAGGGAATTGTGGGGTTCTATAGTAGCTCTGTGTTTCACCCGTGAAGAACTGCCACACTGTTTTCCAGAGCAGGTACAGCATTTTACCTTCCCACCAACGGTGTTATCAGGGTTCTTATTTTTGCACGCCTTCACCCACACTTATCTGCCTCTTTTTCCCGCTGACTTTTTGATTCTAGCCATTCAGTGCATGTGAAATGACATCTCGTTGTGGTCTTGATTTGCATTTCCCTGGCAACTAATAATGTCTAGCGTGTCTTCACGTGCTTGGACCATCTGTATATTTTCTTTGGAAGAATGTGTGTTTAGATCCTTTGCCCATTTTTAAATTGGGTTGTCTTTTTATTATCGAGTTACCTGAGTTCTTTACATATTCTGGATACAAAGCCCTTCTTAGAAATATGATTTGAAAATATTCTCTCCCATCCTGTTGGTTATCTTTTTACTTACTTACTTTTTTTTTTTTTGAGACAGGGTCTCACTCTTTTGCCTAGGCTGGAGTGCAGTGGTGCAATCTTGGCTTACTGCAACCTCTACCTCCCAGGTTCAAGCAATCCTTCCACCCCAGCCTCCTGAGTAGCTGGGACTACAGGCATGCACCATCACACCTGGCTAATTTTTATATTTTTTTTGTAGAGGCAGGGTTTTGCCATGTTGGCCAGGCTGATCTCGAACTCCTGGCCTCAAGTGATCGAACCGCTTTGGCCTCCCCAAGTGCTGGGATTACAGGCGTGAGCCACTGCACCCAGCCTATTTTCTTGATAGTGTCCTTTAGAGCACAACTGTTTTGAATTTGCTGAAATCCAATTTATTTATTCTTCCTTTTGTTGCTCATGCTTTGGTGTCAAGGCTAAGAAGCTGTTGCCTCCATGAGGTCCTGGAGACACGGCCCTCTGCTTCTTCTAAGAGCTTGATCATTCTAGTGCTTGCCTTTAGTTCTTTGTTTTTGAGGGAACAGAGGCCATTTAGCTTGGAGAAGGAGGGAGGGGTATGGTAGCTACTGGCAGACTCAGAGGGGCTGTCCTGGCATAGTGTCCAGAGGGCACTGGGACCCTGAGGACAGCTGGAGCCAGTGTGTGTGTGGGTGGGTGGGTGGGTGGGGGGGGGGGGCGGTGGTCAGCTCTAAGAATCTGGGGATGAAACACGCTGGGCAGGGAGGGGTCCTTTGGAGCTCTCGCCTCTCAGAAGCAGGACCCAAACCAACTCCCCAGCTCCCCCAGCATTCCCCCTCCAGCTTGAGGCAGGGCTGGTGTGGGGTGGGAGTGGGGAAGGAGCCCTGGTGAGTCAGATGGAGAACAAAGGGCCCACCTTGGTGGGAGGAGGGAGAGAGGAGGCCGAGGAGGGTGAACTATGCAGACAGGTGGCCTGCGAGGGGTGCTGTGCTGCCCTCGGGCTCTGGGCGAGGCCTCTATCCCACCGCAGGAAAACCCTCCTTGCAGGGAGCTCATCTTCCGCCTTTCAAAACTTCAGGGCGCTCCTCAGGCATCGCACAGGGTAACGGCTTGGACCAGCAGCAGCACTGGCTGTTCACAAGCATCTTGTGGTTTTTCAGAGCCCTGTCCTGCCGCTTGGGGCAGCACTTCCTCCCGCCGGGCCCTCTCCCTTCCTCTCTCCAGACGCCTAGTCCTCACATGGGCACCTTCCCTTTCCTCACCCTCCAGGGTCGCCCAAATCCCATAGCCCTTATCACGTGCTGTGGATGCCAACACGCAGCCAAGCCACTGTTTCTGGGGAGCAACCAGGGGATCGGGCAGCCCAGGTAAAGGCTGCGGTCCCAGAGCTGTGGGAAGGGAGGGGACAGGACAAGAAGGAAAGGAAGGAAAAGCGTGCGGAACCTGCAGTGCAATTGTTGGGGGAAGCCGGTGAGAAGTCAGGCTTGGTGAGGGCAGATACCTGTTTCTGCCTCCACAGGACGCTGCTCTCAGAAGGCAAAGAGCTCTTGGGCTGGGCATAGTGGCTTACGCCGGTAACCCCACCACTTTGGGAAGCCAAGGCAGGTGGATTACTTGAGGTCAAGAGCTCGAGACCAGCCTGGCCAACATGGTGAAACCTCTTCTCTACTAAAAATACAAAAATTAGCCGGGTGTGGTGGCACATGCCTGTAATCCCAGCCACTTGGGAAGCTGAGGCACGAGAATCGCTGAAACCCGGGAGGTGGAGGTTGCAGTGAGCTGAGATTGCACCACCGCACTCCAGCCTGGGCGACAGTGAGACTCCGTCTCAAAAACAAAAACAAAAATTAAAAATAAAAAGGCGAAGAGCTCTTGGTGGATGGAAGGACAGCTTCCAGTATTACCCAGGTCTCAGGTAAGCACTCTCTTGACTCTCTGGGACTCAGTTTCCCTGTCTCCTGCTGTGAGGTGACAGTTGCTGTGGTTGATCCATCCAACCTCACCCTGAGCAATTTTAGGGGCTGGGCCCTGAGCCCTGTCCAGGGCCGCAGAGGCAGGGGCGCTGTGATCCAGGGGCGTCTCTGCAGCGGCGGCGAGACGGTCGTGACAGTCCAACCTGTCAATCTCCCAGATGGGGGCAGTGAGGCCCAGAGAGAGGAGAGGACTAAACCGTCAGCGGGACTGTGAGTTCCCGGAGGCAGGGCTGAGTCTTTTATTTTTCTTTTCATGTCTGTATCCCCAGCACCCAGCAAATGGCGGGGCACTTACGAGGTCTTCGGAAGCTGCCTGGCTGCCTCGGGTGCAGTGTTTTGTGATAGAATCAAGAGTTGGAACCTGGACCTCTGCTTCTTGGCCCGCTTTCCACTGCGCCGGGCTCCGAGTTAATGGCGGAGAGGGCAGGGAGGTCCTGGGCCCCGCCCACCAGGCTTCCAATCACCAGTGCCCCGGCCCCGCCCTGCCCCGCCCTTGCCCCGAACCCCGCCCTTCCTTGGCTCCGCCCCTTCCCCGCCCTCGTCGCGGAGCCAGGTTCTACCCCGGGACATCTCGCTGGACTCAGCCTCCCACAGGATTCAGGAGTGCGGGGATGCTCTTTGTGCTGAGAACTCGCTGGTCAGGCTGGTCAGGCTGGTCAGGCTGCTTGGCCTCTTACTCCATCTGTAGAGTGGGCTCAGGCCTGATGGTGATCGTGTCTTGTTTTGTCACGCTGGGATTCGTGTCTCTGGTGACATTTTCCTGCTGTGTGTAGCACTTGGCCACGCAGATGACTGGACAGCTGCCAGGAGCACTGGCCGTGTGCACCAAACTCAGCTTGAGGAAGTCCTCGGGAGCAAAGTGCAAGTGGAAAACGCTGTGAGGGAAAAGCTGTGGGCGGGGAGTCAGGGGCCCAGGGCACGGGTCCAGTCCTGTCCCTGACTGGCTAGTCCACAAAAGCCTGTCCCCCGGCGTCAGTTTTCTGTGCCTGGATTACATGGCAGTTGAGTCCTAAACACTGAGGGACAGACGCTGCCTCTAGTTCCCGCATCTGGCTCAGTCCTTACAGAGGAGCTGTCTGGAGGACTGGCGGGGCTCTCGGCTTCTGTTCTCCCAAGCTCCTCCACCCTGCCTGTGGGCTCTGCCAGGAGCAAGCGCCTGACGACCCTCTCCTGATGTTCGCTTCCACTGGGGAGGTCCCCCTCCTCCTACTCAGAGGCAGAGTTTGTAGATGAGGTGGGTCGACAGGGGCCTACCATCTTCCCTCTGCCCCACGATGACAGACACCTGCCCAGGCTGTGGAGGCCCATGGTCAGTTTGTCCAGCGCTGGAGCTCATGTTAGGCATCTCACTGGCCTGCAGACAGAAGCCATGTTCTCCAAAATCCCTTTCCTTAGCAATAAGGGGGTATCTTGGTTTCCCATTTGCCAAGTCCTGTGTGTGGTTTCTCCCCTGAGTTGGAACACAGCAGAGGTGCTGTTGGCTGGCCACTCCATGCGTCCGGTCAGGTGGTTCCTCTCACCATCCTGGGTGGCTCCCTGCTGCCAATAGGATGAAGCTCACATCTCTAGGATAGCTGGCCCCATGCACCCCTGCCTGCACCCCAGCCTCAACCTTCTGCCTGCACCCCAGCCCTCAGCCACATTGAGCTCCTGCAGACCCTCTGCTTTGCTGCACTGGCCTTTGAAGATTCTGCTGACTTACCTGGAATGTTCTTTCCTCCCCTCCTGAACACCCCAACCGAAGCTCATTGCCTAGCTAATAGCTATCGTTTGACTCAGGTCCCAACCTGGTTGTCACCTCCCCCAGGAAGGATTCCTGGATTGCCCAAGCTAATTTAGGCATCGCCTCTGCCTTTCTCCATCGGGGTCCTGGCCACAGTGGGAGGTCTTTGCTTCTTGGGCTGAGGACAAGGGCCTGTCAGGGCTGTTGGGCAGAACTGTGACCCAGAGCTAGCAGGTGCCCCGGGAGGTCTGAGGGAACTGTTTTTCTCCTTTCCTCCCCTGTCACTGCCCCTGCCTGCCCCTCCCTTCCTTGTTGTCTTCATTCACCTCCTATACTCTTTTTTTTTGAGACAAGGTCTTACTCTGTCTCCCAGGCTGGAGCACAGTGGCGCAGTCTTGGCTCACTGCAACCTCTGCCTCCCGGGTTCAAGTGATTCTCCTGCCTCAGCCTCCCGAGTAGCTGGGATTACAGGCACATACCGCCAGGCCCCGCTAATTTTTGTATTTTTAGTAGAGATGGGGTTTCACCATATTGGCCAGGCTAGTATCCAACTCCTGACCTCAAATGATCTGCCTGCCTCGGCCTCCCAAAGTGTTGGGATTACAGGCATGAGCCACCGCGCCCGGCCACCCTCCTATACTCTTGATTCCCGACACACTGGGGTTAGTGACCGAGCTGCAGAGGGGCCTCCTTCAAGCCCCTGATCCCCTCGGATTCCAGCCTTCTCTCTGGGCCCTCCTTGCCTTGACTTCCTCCACGCCAGCCTTGAATTATGGGACCCGTCGGGCCCATTTGCCAGGTGTCTGGCCCCGTCTGGAAGCAAGTGGTTTGCTTCGAGGTGATGAACGTGGCTTGCTGGACTTGGCCCTGAGCCAGCACACGTTGTTCGGCTATGAGCCACCATGAGCCTTCCCCTGACTCTGCAAAAGAGTTCAGCCAAGAAAGAGGACTGAAATACATTCTCCCCGTTTTGTCTTTGTTTTGGGAAATATCTTGCACATGCTATTTATGTTTTTGAAAAAAATCAATGCAACAAATTGTGTGCAATATGCTCCTTAGCTAGAGGAGGTGGAATTATTCTTGCCCTGTTTTTTTAGTCCCACTGTCAAAGAAGACACCCTGTGGTAGCTACATCCCCCCTGACAGTGGCTGGTGGCCTTGGGAGATTTGTCTTCAGAAAGCCCAGGCGGAGCGGGAGTTTTGACTTTTTGTTTTGTTTTGTTTTGTTTTTGAGATAGAGTCTCACCTTGTTGCCCAGGCTGGAGTACAGTGGCACGATCTTGGCTCACTGAAACCTCCACCTCCCGGGTTCAAGCGATTCTCCTTGAGTAGCTGGGACTACAGGTGCCCGCCACCACACCCGGTTAATTTTTTTATTTTTTAGTAGAGACAGGGTTTCATGATGTTGGCCAAGCTGGTCTGGAACTCCTGACCTCAGGTGATCCACCCGCCTCGGCCTCCCAAAGTGCTGGGATTACAGGCCTGAGCCACCGCGCCTGGCCAAGTTTTGACTGTTTTGTGCCACTGGGCAAACACATTTGCACTCATTGGCCCATGAGTGTTTTGAGGAAAATATGTGAATATGTGTGCCCCAAATTACCCACTCTCTGGGGCTCTGCATTCAGCCTGGGCTGGTGGGGAACCCTGCCATCTCTGAGGCTGGTGGAGCAGCCATGGGGCGGGGTGAGGTAGAAATCCCCCTTCTTGGCCGGGCGAGGTGGCTCACCCCTATAATCTCAGCACTTTGGCAGGCCAAGGTGGGCAGATTGCTTCTGTCCAGGGGTTCCAGACCAGCCTGGGCAACATGGTGAAACCCCATCTCTACTAAAAATATAGAAGTTACCTGGATGTGATGGCACCTGCCTATAGTCCCAACTACTCAGTAGGCTGAGGCTGAGATGGGAGAATCAGCTGAGCCCTGGAGGTCAAGGCTGCAGTGAGCCAAGATTGCATCACTGCACTCCAGCCTGGGCAACAGAGTGAGTTCCCTGTCTCAAAAAAGAAGAAGAAAAAAAAAACCCGTTGTTGGCTGGGCACGGTGGCCCACTCCTGTAATCCCAGCACTTTGGGAGGTCAAGGCAGGTTGATCACTTGAGGTCAGGAGTTCGAGACCAGCCTGACCAACATGGTGAAATCCCGTCTCTACTAAAAAATACAAAATTAGCTGGGTGTGGTGGCACATGCCTGTAATCCCAGCTACTTAGGAGGCTGAGGGAGGAGAAATGCTTGAACCTGGGAGGCAGAGGTTGCAGTGAGCTGAGATTGCACATTGCACTCCAGCCTGGGCAACAAGAGCGAAACACCATCTCAAAAAACAAATCCCCCTTCACACACTCCCCCATCCCTGGGCTTGGCACTAGCAGCTGGGGACCTTGCGTTGTGACTCGGACAAGGCCCCTCACTCTGGGCCTGAGCACTCCACGCTGTTACAGCACTCCACACATTCTCTAGCTCCTGGGAGCACTCTAGCTCCCAGGAGCTAGAGAAGGTGATGATCAAGTGCACACTCCCATATATGATCCCCCAGGGCCCCATCTGGATTCCTGCTGGCCCTGGCTCTTCAGGAACCCATCATCTATGCTCTGAGCTGAGAGCATTCACTGGCCTCCTCTGGCCAGCCCTCTTTTGGGCTTGTGGGCACTAAGGCAGATATGAGGGCCGGACATCTGACCGTCCAGGACAGTGCCCAGCCTGGGGCTCCCTGCATGGGGTGAATGGCTGCCCCAGCTTTCGTTTTATAGGTCAGGGTGGGTTTTCTTTCCGCTTAAATGCCCCTCTGGTCCCCGAGAAGGCCCTGAGAAGACTACCTCCCCTGTGTGCAGGGTCCTTCCAGCTTTCTGAGACACTGGGGACTCAATGGATCTGGCGTGGGCTCTGGTGGGTGCCTGGAGACAAGGGGGCGTCCTGTGATGGGAGCCCGAGAGGGGCCAGCACAGGCTCCAGAGGAGGCGGGCAGAGGGACTTGCTGTCCCAGGGCTGGGGAGTGCCATGGAGAGGGCACCTGTGGCCCTGGGCTTCAGGGACTCCTGGGGCCTGGTGTCCTAGGCCTAGTGGCTTCCCAGAGCTCCCCACCAGCCCTCATTCCTTTCCCCAGCCAAACTCCCTTTTCTCCATCTTGGCTTTCAATCCACGGGGAAGTCAGAGACTAACTCAAACCATATCCCCAGTGGAGACACCTTTGTGGCCACTCGGTGGCTGAAGCTACTGCTTCTCTGGTTTCGAGTCATGTGCCTGTGTGTGGTGTGTGTGTGTCTGTATGTGAGTGTGTGTGTGCACATGTGTAGTCCTATCGGAGTCTCCCCTGAATCCCCATGGATGTGCCGGGGTTCCGCTCAGGACCCACAAACCTGATGGGGAGAGAGGTGGGCGTGCCTCTTTGGACTGCGGAGTGGAGACAGCTCATGCAGACTGCCCTAATGCCTCCTAGCCTAGAAGGCAGGGGTTGCGCTGATCGGCTCAAGGGTGGGCCGAGATTGGGTCCCAGGTCTGTGGCTCACAAACCACAACTTGGACAAGTTATTTAAGCAGTCTGGGCCTCAGTCATCTGTAAACAGGGGAGGAATGGCTCCTCCCTGGCCGAGTGGAAGAGAGGATGACATGCATCGCTCAGTGTGGGGTGAGAACGGCGCCTGTCCTGTTGACAGTGAGGATGAGAATGGCACCATTGCCCGGGTTCCCAGGCCACAGGAGGAGCATTTCCTGTCCGGCCTCGGACTCCCCCTGCCCTCCTCCCCGACATGCAGGGCAGCACCTGAGAGGCACGTGGTTCTTACTGCCCGACCCACTGGGCTCCGCTCCAGCCACCCCTACCATGCCTCGGCCCTTGTCCTCCCACTTTAAGCCGGCGTGACCTCTGTGGACACCACCTCCCCAGGACTGACTGACTGCGCGCAGATCTCCCGTCTCCTAACAGAGTCATGCGCATATCAGCCCCTTATTTAAAGCTTCATGGAATCCACCAAGCAGAGGCAGTCATTTTCCTATTCCCTCCCCCACCCCCAGATCCTTATTCTTTGGTGAATTTTTCGCTCAAAACATTGACCTTTGACCTGAGGTTTGCCAGGGGCAGCAGGAGGATGCCCTGCTGTCCAGCCTGTCCCCCGGGCAGCAGTGGCGGGTGGTGTCTGACTTTGAGGGCCAGCTTACTGCCTGCTCCCTGGTGCAGGTGTGCAGCAGTGCCCGCTGGTCTGGCCCTGGCTGCTTCCTCCACCCACCCCTCCTCTCTGCCCCCTGAGCCGCCAGGGCCAGCCCACCAGCCTCTCTCCCTGGGTTATTAAGCCGCCTCCTGCCTGGTCTTGGCAACTCCCTCCAATCTGCCTCTGTCCATCCCTTCCAGAGAAGGCTTTTAGATCACAGGTGGAACTGGCCCTCCCTCTCATTTCCAGCCATCCCTGTCCCCGCTCCATCCAGGGCCAGTCCAAACCCTGCAGGTGTTAGATGATTTCTGGGATCGGGGCCTGCTTTTCTCCATCTTCATCAGTGGCTGAATTTTGTATCTGGCACAGGCTTATTGTCTCCTCCTCCCTCACTGGAGCATCAGCTCATGAGGGTGGGGACCTGGCCACTGGTTTGTCTCTAGCGCCTAGACAGAACCTGGCAGGTGTAGGCACCACTCACCCGGTGAGGGAGAGAATGAATGAATGAATGAATGAATGAATGAATGACTGTCTCTCCAGGCGCTCCTTGCCAGGCCCCAATCCCTACCCTACTCTAGGCTCTTGCTGACACCCCAAGCCTGCTCCTGTCTTCCCATGCTGGTGGCTCCTCCCCATAAGGATAGAAGCCCTAGGCTGGCAGAACAGAGGTTTTGCTGAAGCAGGTGCACCCACCCGTGCCACTGGCTGAGCAGAATCCAGTCCAGAGGGGCTGCTACCTCCTTAATTTAGTAATCTGAGCTCTCTGTCCCCTGAGCAGGGTTAGGTGGAAGTTGGAGGCAGCTATCAGGAGGGGCTGAGACCCTTGCTATGTGCCCTGGGAGGGGATCCTCTCCCTCCTAGTCCTCGGAGCCCTTGGCAGATACAAATTGTTTGCATCTGCTCTAGACTCCAAGGGAGTAGGCCTTGCTGCCAGCTTGCCCTGGCCCCCAGGCCTCTCCCTGAATCCCTTCACTCCTTCCATTAACCGGGGATGGGGGTGGGGGCAGGAGGTCGGCCATGGGGCTCCTGTCCTGGATGGGGACACACAAGGCAGGAGCTACACGCTGCCAGATCCCAGAGCAGCTCAGCCTCCAGGGCACTGAGCTTAGGTGGGGGCCAGGATGCTTCCCCATGTCTTGAGGCATCTCAACAGGAGAAACAAAACAAAACAAAACACCTGATATGGTTTGGCCATGTCCCCACCCAAATCTCATCTTGAGTTGTAGCTCCTGCAATTCCCATGTGTCATGGGAGGAACCCAGTGGGAGATGATTGAATTTATGGGGGCAGGTCTTTCCTGTGCTGTTTTTGTGATAGTGAATGAGTCTCATGAGATCTGATGGTCTTAAAAATGGGAGTTTCCCTGCACAAGTTCTCTCTCTTGCTGCTACCATGTAAGAAGTGACTTTCACCTTCTACCATGATTGTGAGGCCTCCCCAGCCATGTGGAACTGTAAGTCCACTAAACCCCTTTCTTTTGTAAATTGCCCAGTCTCGGGTATGTCTTTATCAGCAGTGTGAAAATGGATGAATACAACACCTGGACATCAGCCAGAGAGAAGCAGCTAAGTGCATCCTGCAGCCCTGGGTGGGAGCACTCTAAATTGGACAGAACACATCACGGGTTATACTTTCCAAAAAGGCAAAATATGACATTTTATACAGCAAAATTCTAATTTTGTAGAAAATCAAGGAACGAGATGGAGGGACTATCTCAGGGTGTGGAGCAGAGGGCTCTCTACACAAGTCCTCAGGTCTCCTGGCCAGCACCTGTGTCTCTTCTGGGGCCACGCCAGGGCTTCCAGAGCCCTGTTGTCCGTGTGCACAGCAGCCGCTAGTGCCTGGAATGAGTGCACCCTGGGGGCAGCTCTTAGCCAGTGCTGAGCCTAGGATGGGGGCCACTCTGGGCTGGGCACCACTGTGGAGGGGCCTGGAGGGGGCAGGAGGAGAAGCTTGCCCCTGCCCTCACAGTGCTTACTGTCCATGGTTAGACAGGCAGTTTCTATGCTGACCTCCTCTGCAGAGTGGCCCATCACATGCCGTGCCTGCCCCTTTCCATGGGTTCATTCCAACCCTGACCCTCAGACTACAGGGTCCTTGAGGCTGAGGACTCTGTTGCCCTGTGTATCCCTAGCACTGATGCAGGGTCTGGCACCTAGCAGGTGCTGGACTAATGAGAGTTGAGTTGGATTCACTTGATGAAAGCTGGCTTCTGATCAGGGAGGGACATGTACCAAGCTGCCTGATGAGGGTGTGGCTATGGCCCGATGCTGGGGGCCCTGCAGAGGAGAAGCTGGACTCAGGAGGGCTGGACATGGGGTGGGGCAAAGACAGAGAAGGACGGCAGCCCTGGAGGATGGTGTGGGTGAGGGAGACCTGGGAGAAGGTGATCTCTGAGGGGACAGGGTGTCAAGAGGCTTGTCATGGGTGTGGCAGTGAATGCCTTGACTTCCCCGGCTCCTCCAGAACCTGCAGCAAAGTTCCTGGTACCAGGCCGTGCTCTGTGGTTGGGGAGCCCAAGGCTGGTGGGCCAGCTGCCATCAGGCCATTTTTGCATAAAGCAAGAGAGAGGCGAGGATGCCAAGATGTCATTTTGCTGGGCCTGGGGATGGCAGGTGACTTTAATTATTTCATTTCTGCATTTTCTAAATTTTCTGCAATGAACCTTTGCTGCTTTGTTTTTCTTATAAGGATGGAATGATAAGCAGTATTGGCAAACCAGGCAGCCCCATGGGTCTGTCTACCGTGGCATGGTTCAGGCCTCCTCCCAGCGGTAAGGGAACCATGACCTTGGCAATGCCTCGGCCTTCTGAGGCAGGGCCAGTGGGCTGAGACAGAGTGGCTCGAATGGTCGTCTGTGATGCGTGACTGCTGTGGAGTCACTAAGTGGTGGCCAGTGTGGCAGCAGTGGTGAAGGGGGACGCCCTCCTGGCCTTCTGTTCCCGCATCTTTGGGGACCAGGAGTGGCTTTGCTCCAGCTGTGCCAGCCCTGGAGCTGGCCATGAAGGTGCTGGGTGGGCACCCTCTCTTTCCTGGGCAACAATGGGCCTTGGACCACGTATCCTGACAGAATAGGGAGGACAAGGGGCTCACGGAAGCAGAGACTCAGCCAAGGCCCCAAAGCACAGGCACAGAGGGGCTGGGACGAGGGCCCAGGTCTCCTGACCCCCAGGGTAGCCACAAAAGACGGGTCCTGGCTTCATAGCACCTCCAGCAGGGAGTCACAGCTGTAATCGTTGAAGTTTCTGCCCCACCCAACGAGAGGCCATAGCTTATGGGTTGAATTGTGCACCCCAAATTCCTGTGTTGAAGCCCTAACCCCCAGTGTCATTTGGACCTTGAGAGCTTGTTTGGAGGTTCTAGCAGGGGAGTGCAGCTACTCATATACCCTTGACCGAAGACCGGTCCTCCTCTGTTGGGGATGGTCAATGGAGCATGCAGCTTTGGGAGGGACGCATGTGGAGCAGTGAGGGAGGAAGGGGACACCCGTCTAGCCAGCAAGATCAACCGAATCAACCCTGGCAATCAATGGCGTGACAGATGTCGCAGCCAGATCGCCCTCACATCCCCCCAGTATCATTTGGAATGAGGGTCTTGAAGGAGATAATTAAGGCAAAGTGAGGTCATGTGGGTGGGCCTCAATCCAATCTGACTGGTGTCTTTATAGGAAGAGGAGATTAGGACACAGACACATACAGAGGGAAGACCCTGTGAGGACCAAGGCTGAGGAGTGAGACCTCAGAAGGAACCAGCCCTGCTGGCACCTTGACCTTGGACCCCCAGCCTCCAGAAGTGTGAGGAAACCATTTCTGTTGTTTGAGCCCTGTGCTCTGCGAGGCTTTGTTATGGCTGCGCAGGAGGCCACTCTCCCTCCCCCTTGGCTTGCCCATCCCAGGAACAGGGAGCTCCTTGCCTGACCAGGAGGCCTCCGTGGACAACTCCGAGAGCAAGCTCTCCCTGTGACTGAGCCAACCACCCCTCCCACAGCTCCGGCCAGTGGCCCTTGTTCTGCCCCTGATTCCACCTGAATGGAGGGCATCATGCCAGGGTCCTCAACAAGCACGAGTCGCGGCCTGCACAGCCACCCTGGACCCCACTGCAGGAAGCTGTCAGAGGCTGCGGATCATAGAGGAGGGAGAATTTTGAGCAGGAGCATGCCATGGAAGGCTTCTCCAAGGAGGTGGCATTAGATGTGGGCCTGAAATAGGAGTTATTTTTTGAAGGTTTCATTTTATTTAATTAATTTTATTTATTTTTCTTAGAGTTGGAGTCTCCCTCTGTCACCCAGGCTGGAGTGCAGTGGTGCCATCATAGCTCACTGCAGCCTCGACCTCCTGGGCTCAAGCAGTTCTCCCAACTCAGCCCCCTGGGTAGCTGGGACCACAGGCGTGCACCGCCACACCTCGCTAATTAAACAGTTTTTTTCAAGAGACGGGGTCTCACTGTGTTGCCCAGGCTGGTCTTGAACTTCTGACCTAAGGGATCCTCCTGCCTCAGCCTCCTGAGTTGCTGGGATTATAGGCCTGAGCCACTGCATCTGGCTTATTTATTTATTTATTTACTTTTTATGTCAATTGTTATTTATTTTGCAAAAGCATCATCACAGAGACTCAATTTTTTTTTTTTTTTGAGACAGGGTCTCATTCTGTCACCCACGCTGGAGTGCAGTGGTGCCATCATGGCTCAGTACAACCTCTAACTCCTGGGCTAAAGGGATCCTCCAACCTCAGCCTCCTGAGTAGCTGGGACCACAGGTGTATGCTGCCACTTTACCTGGCTAATTCCTTTTATTATTTATAGAGATGGGGTCTCATTATGTTGCCCAGGCTGGTCTCAAAACTCCTGGCCTCAAGCCTTGACCTCCCAAAGCGCTGGGGTTACAGGCGAGAGCCACCACACCTGGCCAATATGAATTTTTTAAATTGATAGAAAAGAAGGCTCACTTATTAATCGATAAAAAAAAAGAGCCATAGATGGGAAGTGAACCTTCCCATGGGGAGAGTTCAGCTGGGGATTCTTGCCCCCCCAGCTCACCAAGTACAGAGCCATGTCCACCTGCCCGTTCCCCAGGACATCAGCAGGGCTAGCCCTGGACTTCTAGCCTCCCCTGGCTGTTCTGCTGGGTCTGGGTGATGTTCCAGTTGCCACGGCAAGTATGGGTTGTCTGTTATGGAGCACAATGATTAATGATCAATTATTATCTAATTATTAATGTCATTTCTTGGTGGAGTCCCCATGCCCTGTTGGGCCCTGAGCCCCTGGGTGAGGCAACGACATGAACAAAGGCACCGAGGAATCCCCACAAGGCAGGAGCTAAAATTCCAAGGGGTGACAATGATATTTGGGGGACTTAGTGCAATCAGAAAAAATGAAGTCAGAAAAATGGAAAAATGATCGCAGTGGGTGAGTGTTGACAGACTTGTGGGGACGGCCCTGATGTATGATTGAGGAGGAAAGGGCCAATGCGTAATAATCAAACTATTGATTTTTTTCCAGTCAAAAAGCATCAAACAAACTCTCTCTGCATGTGGGCATTTCTTGTATAGGCTTGCAGAGACCAGGAGCCCGTGGGAAGGCTGCGGGTCAGGCTGTGGTACCAGTCACACCAGGAGATGGCACACAGAGAGGGTGGACCGTAGGGCGAGGAGGGTAGGGACGGACTTTGCCCTCTCATGTCTTCGTTTTTTTGTTTGTTTGTTTGTTTGTTTTTTTTTTGAGACGGAGTCTCGCTCTGTCGCCCAGGCTGGAGTGCAGTGGCGCGATCTTGGCTCGCTGCAAGCTCTGCCTCCCGGGTTCATGCCATTCTCCTGCCTCAGCCTCCTGAGTAGCTGGGACTACAGGCGCTCGCCACCGCGCCCGGCTAATTTTTTTTGTATTTTTAGTAGAGACGGGGTTTTACCGTGGTCTCGATCTCCTGACCTCGTGATCCACCCGCCTCAGCCTCCCAAAGTGCTGGGATTACAAGCATGAGCCACTGCGCACGGCCCTTCGTATTGTTTTGATTCAATGTCAGTTGCACATTATTTACTTTAATTAATTTATTATTTATTTATTTATTTATTTTTTGAGACTGATTCTCGCTCTGTCACCCAGGCTGGAGTGCAATGGCACAATCTTGGCTCACTGCAACCTCCGCCTCCCGGGTTCAGGCAATTCTTCCGCCTCAGCCTCCCGAGTAACTGGGATTACAGGCACCTGCCACCACGCCTGGCTAATATTTGTATTTTTATAGAGACAAGGTTTTACCATGTTGGCCAGGTTGGTCTTGAACTACTGACCTCAGGTGATCCACCCGCCTTGGCCTCCCAAAATGCTGGGATTACAGGCAAGAGCCACCATGCCCGGCCTTATTTTATAACTTGAGAAACATCAAATAAGGAATTATTAGGCCAAGGCGAGTGGATCACCTGAGGTCAGTAGTTCAAGACCAACCTGGCCAACATGGCGAAATCCCGTCTCTACTAAAAATACAGAAATTAGCTGGGCGTGGTGGTGCACACCTGTAGTCCCAGCTACTCAGGAGGCTAAAGCAGGAGAACTGCTTGAATCCAGGAGGCAGAGGCTGCAGTGAGCCGAGATTGTGCCATTGCACCCCAGTCTGGGCAACAGAGTGAGATTCTGTCTAAACAACAACAAAAAAAGAATTATTAAACACGGAACGAAAAAAAGATGGAAAGAAGATATAAACCAGAGAGGGCGATATTAAAGGCAACATGGAGGCGCTGTGGAGTAAAGCGCAGGTGATGTGGAGGTGAGGAGGAGGTGAGGTGGAGGTGAGGAGGAGGTGAGGAGGAGGTGAGGAGGAGGTGATGTGGAGGTGAGGAGGAGGTGAGGAGGAGGTGAGGAGGAGGTGATGTGGAGGTGAGGAGGAGGTGAGGAGGAGGTGAGGAGGAGGTGATGTGGAGGTGAGGAGGAGGTGAGGAGGAGGGATGCTGAGCTGCTGGGGCGGGGATGTGGAGATACTGTAGTGGTGACGTACAGGTGATGTGACGGTGTTATGGAGGTGAGGGGATGGCATTGTGATGCTGTGGAGGTGACGTGGAGGTGACATGAAGGCATTGGATAGGTGATGTGGAGGTGACGACGTGCAGGTGCCGGGGAGGTGACGTGAGCGCAGTGTGGAGGTGATGTGGAGGGGATGAGGAAGGGCCGTGGGGTCATACTGTGATCCCAGTCCTGCTTCCACCAGCTTCTGCCATGGGACTCAGGCTTCAGGCTTATATTCCCCTTAGGAGATGGGGCTCACCAGGCTTCCCTCCGGGTCTGTGGGAGAATCCACCTAGCTGGCACGCCGAGCTCCAGGGTCATCACGGGGGCCGAATCACTTCTGAGAGGAGCAGGTGAGCGTCATGTCAGCTGGGACTCCCGCATCCATCCTGCTCCTTCGCTCTGCATGGCCGGTGACCCCAGTGGCTTCCTGGCCCCTCGCTGCTGTCACAGGCTGCACCTCGGGCTCTGTTACCTGAAGGGACTTCTCTGGGGATGTCTGGGGCAGGGGCCAAGGGCACCAGTGTTGGAGTTTGATGGACCCAGATTTTAACCCCCACTGGGCTGTGTGGCCAGGGGCAACTCACTTCTCCCCACCTCTTAGCCTCCATTTCGTCACCTAAAAACAATGGGGGACATCACAGGCCCCCAGGACATTGCATGGGTTCAGGGAGTGACAGCCCTGCACGGGGCTCATAGTGCACACTCAGTGGTAGCGGGCACAGTTGCTAGTATTGCTCCTGAAAGGGCACTGTACTGGGGTGAAGACGTGGACACCCTGTTCCAGGAATGTGCGCACATTGAGAAGCTGGCGTTTAGTTTGTGCCAAGGACATGTGTTGCTGGTGTCAGCTGTCCTCTTATCTGGACCCTGCAGCTCGTGGGCTAGGGGGCATTGGCCACTGATGTGGCTTCTCGGGGCTCTGTAAGATGAAGTATTAGGAACCCAAACACATCACTTGCCAGGTGTAAGATGACAGGGTGTCATGGGGACTGTGGCTGACTGGGTGGAGCCTGCAGACCCCATTCAAAGGCAGGACTGATACACAGCTTGCACGCACTGGCATGGCCACACCAGCTGTCAAGATGATCAAATGCTTCTGCACTGGGTGGTCAGAAGCTGTGGCCCTGAGCCCCTGATTGCACTCCTGCTGCCGTGGGCCCTCGGGAGTGCCTCTGGACTCAGCAGCTAAAGGGTCAGCCCCTGGCCAGCAGGGCCTTCTGGAACCTGCTCCAGCGCCAAGGCTTGAGTCCACTCTGATCGGTTGGTGCTGGGCTGTTGCAGTTATTAACGATTTCTGATTTCACTCCTGACTAAAGATATTCAGATTAACGTTTTTAAAAACATGGTGCTGACTCATTGGAACACATCCAAGTCTTGATTTGTCCTTGGTTGGGACCTCCAGTGTTGGGGTAAGGGGACATTGATGATGGGGGTCTTGGAGTTCCAGCCCTCACCTGGCCATGGCTAGAAGCACAAGCCCTGCTCTTTCTTCCCAGCTAGGGGTAGGCGGTCTTCATGCCTCTCCCGTATTCTCTGGTGGCTGTGGCTCTAAGCTCCTCTCTCTGGTCTTCTTCATTAAGGGCTACACTGGTTGCCCCTGGTGCTTATCTCCCCAAAGTTGGGGACCACGTTTTCCCCAGATTTCAGTTCTACATCAAGATTCTCAAAGGGGAGCTTGACCCTCCATCACAGCCCTCTTCTTCAACCCTCTCTCTCCCCACCCCTGCACAGATGCCCTTCCCTGCAGCCCACATGGACCCACCTTTAGTCCCTTGAACACAACAAGCAGTTTTGCAGTGCCCTGTTTTTGCTCTTGGTGTGAAATGCCCATTTTCTTTTGTTTGGGTGCCTTATTCATCCTCTGAGATCTGGATCTGGTGCTACCCGCTCCAGGAAGCCTTCCTAGACAATCCTTGTATGGGTTGGGTGCCTCCTGGGTCTCCTCAGACCTCAGTGCTTCTTTCTGTCACAGCCCTATTAACTTTTACCAATGTTGTGTCTGTGTTTCTGTTTTATTGGACTGACTTTCTTGAGGGTGGTGCCCAACACAGAGGAAGTAAATGCTTGTTGAGAGGATGGACAGACAAAAGTACAGAGGGATGGATGGATATTGGATGGATAGACAGATAGATGGATAGATGATGGATGAATGGATGGATGGAGGATAGATGGGTAATGGATGGATGGGTTGTTGGGTGGGTGGATGGAAGGATGGATGGACACAGGAATGGATAGATGGATGGTGGGTGGATGGATAGATGGAGGAAGGGGTGGATATTGGGTGGATAGATGCATGGATGATGGATGAGTGAATGGATGCGTGAATGATGGATAGGTGGGTTGGTGGGTGGGTGGATGGAAGGATGGATGGACTGAGGAATGGAGAGATGGATGGGAGATGGATGGATGATGGGTGGGTGAGTTGATTGGTAGGTAGATGGAAGGATGGATGGATGAAGGAATGTTTAGATGGACGGTGGATGGATGGATGGAGGGATGGAGGGATATTGGATGGATAAATGCATGGATGATGGATGAGTGGATGGATGGATGATGAATGATGGATGAATGGGTTGGTGAGTGGGTGGATGGATGGATGATAGAAGATGGATGAATGGGTTGGTGAGTGGATGGATGGAAGGATGGATGGATGGAGGAATGGAAAGATGGATGGAGGGATGGAGGGATATTGGATGGATAAATGCATGGATGATGGATGAGTGGATGGATGAGTGGATGGATGGATGATGGATGAATGTGTTGGTGAGTGGGTGGATGGATGGATGGATGATGGATGGATGGGTTGGTGAGTGGGTGGATGGAAGGATGGATGGATGGAGGAATGGAAAGATGAATGGTGGATGGATGGATGGATGGAGGGAAGGAGGGCTACTGGATGGATAAATGCATGGATGATGGATGAGTGGATGGATGGATGATGGATGAATGGGTTGGTGAGTGGGTGGATGGAAGGATGGATGGATGGAGGAATGGACTGAGGAATGGTGGATGGAGGGATGGAAGGATGCATGGATGCATGGTTATATGGATGGATGGATGGAAGTTTGCTTGAGTTCAGCATATTTTGTTGGCAAGTCTCTGTGGCAATGTGCTCTCTCTAGTCTCAGGTTTACATTTCATTTAGCTGAGCCATCCTACCCTTCTTTCACTTCTGCCCTTCCCTTTCTTTCAATGTCTAAGTCCTGGTCTATTGAGGGTTTTCTGGTTGCCCCAAGTCCCCTCCACCATCTTCCACAGGAGGCCTTAGGGATTTGATGCCAGTGTGGCTCCTCTGCAGTCCCAGGTTCTCAGGGTGAGCATGCAGTCTTGTGCTATACTCCTGCTACACTTCCAGCTCCTAAATTTGGCAACGTCCTGAGTCTGGATCAGGCAATACAGATGGCAGGGAGAAGGCTGGCTTGGTTGCTTTACTTGAAACAGGCTCTATGTAGCTGTGTGGTCTTGGAGAAATTGCTCATTTGCTCTGAGCCTCAGTTTCGTCATCTGCAGAATCTTGTGATTCTGTGGGAGAAAGAGACCAAGAATAAAGTGCAGTCATGTGAAGTTGCCATCCCCCTGGCAGAGGACGCGGGGTAGAGCTGGGGTCTTCTTCAGAAAGCTCACCTTCCCTCTTCCTCCCAGGGCTGCAGCTGATCAGCCTCCAGCATGCAGCGCAAGTCGGGCGTTTTGCTTCAGTAACGGAGAGGAAAATTGCAGTGGTGATGGTTTGAGTTGTGCTATCACTTAGCCTTCACACTCTGAGGGTCAGCAGTTTCTGAGGGTTTATAACCCAGGCACATTTTATAAATCAAAATATTATCAGAGCACAGTCAGAGCTGCACCCTTCAGCACCGAGAGGAAGTCAGTGAAGCAAGAAGCGCACACTGGGATCAGCCGTTTGCAGAGCCGAGGTCCTGCCTTGCCCTGCGGATGGCTCCCGGCCGCCTTGGGGAAGATGCTGAGAGACCGGGAAAGGCCTGGCGTCCAGAGCGTGTGTGGTGATCCATCAGCAGGGTGGCTGCCCCTCCTGCACCCTTGCCCCTGTTGTGAGCAAATGGCGTGCCTGCCACATTTGGGGACTGTAGGATTAATTGTGTGGGGTGTGCAGAAACACTGCTCCCCCTTGATGTGGTTGGGGTATGGACCTGGTGAGCATCCCCTGAAATCTGCCTCAGATCTGAGGGATGAGTGGGAGCTCTGGGAACAGGAGGGAGGCTGGGTACAGGCATCGGGTAGCTGTGGGAAGCCAGAGAGGCCTGGGAGGAGGAGAGAGGGAAGAATGAAGACGTGGGACAGGAAAACAGGCTGTGTGTCTAGAGCCCCCTCCTTGTAGTTCTGACTTCTGTATGCACGGGGGTGGGGTGGTTATAATCACTGGGTCTGAGCTGACCATTTGTAGGTAACGTAGAAAATGACTTTAGCTGCAAGTAGCAGAAGTAGCAGGCAGGTGCCTGCTAGGTTTGAACCCACAGGGATTCATGTTTCTCCTGAACAGAAAGTCTGGAGGGTTGGGCTGCTGCATGATGCCACCAGGGCTGAGGCTACTGTGTCTCCGGACATCACATCCATGTCCCAGTCAGGAAGGCGGAAGACAGGAAAAAGGCCGTTTTCCTCTTAAGTCTTTGCTTTTGCATTCAGGAAGGAAAGCTCCACCCAGCAGATTTTCCCTTACACCTCATTGGTTACAACTGGGTCATATGCCTGCCTTTTGACGAATCATGGGCCATGAGCAGTTACCAGGGCTGATGTGGACCAATCAGGATTTACCCCCTTTCACTGGGGGTGGGCCTTACCTCCCCTGCGATCTCGAAATCTCTGGGGGTTTCCTGACAGTTTGGGGTTTGGAAAACAGGATGGGTGGTGGCTACTGGGGAGGCGAAGGACAGCGCCTGCCACTCTACCCACCCTGGGCAAAGCATGTGACACACACGACTGATTTACGCCTCCAACCCTGTTTTCACGACCCCCATTAAACCCTCTCTGTGGGTGGGCACCCTTGCTTGCATACCTCCAGTGACGGGGAACTCTTCATCTGCCCAGGCCTGGAGGTTCGGGCCTGTCAGAAAGTTTTTCTTTGGACTGAACTGAATTCTGGCTCCATACGGTCCACCTGCCAGCGATGGGCCCTCCGTGGCCATTCTCCTCACTGCGGTGGCTTTTCCTGTGGTGGCCATTCTCCTCACCACGGTGGCCTTTCACATGGCAGAAGGCTGCTCCCACCGTCCTTACGAGTCAGATCTCCTTCAGGAAAGGCCCTGGCTTTTCCCACTGCTCCCTGTAGGCCACGGTCCCAGGCCCTGCAGCTTCCTCCTGGTAGAGTGGGGAGTGAGTTGGGGGGGAGCCGAGGCTGGGATGGCGAGGCCTGGAGCAAGGGTGCGTGCCTCCCAGCTCAGCTCTGCTCCTCACTCGCCCACACCAGGCACGGTGGACACCGGGAGGCCCTGCCCGCCTTGGAGGACCTCACAGTCCCTGAGGCCACTGGAAAGCAGCCACAATGGAAACCCAGACTGGAGAGTCTTGAGTGCACTCCAGGCTCTGGTCCAGGCGCCGAGAGAAAGAGCTCAGAGGAACGAGGCCTGCCAGCCACGGCCACAGTCAGGGCCGGCTCGTCCAGCCCCTGCCCTCATGCTGTCCAGTTGTGGACAGGGCCTCCTGCTGGGCACACGGGCTGAGCAGGAGCCTCTGCAGCCTTCCCGAGCCCCCGAGGCTTGGAGCAAGGAGTGAATAGGACCCTAGAGGTCTCCAGAAGGTGTCTCTCTCTCTCTCCGCCGTCTCCTCTTTCCTCTCTCTCTCTGCCATTTCTCTCTCTCAAGCTATACAAGATTCTGAAAAAACAAAAACAAAACAAAAACAAACAAACAAACAAACCCCAAAGCCACGTTGTGAATTTCCAGGGCCTGTGCTGAGCTGCCAGGGAAACCACAGCCTCTGGAAAGCAAACCCCAAGCCACTGGCGAGGCTCCTTCGGCCCAACCACGGGAGTGTCCGAGCAAAGATCCAGCCCTCCACCTCCCTCCCGACCCCCCACAGACAGAGCCCCGTCCCCAGGAAGGCCTGAAGAGGGGGTGCCAAGGCCGTCCTCAGCGGGGTGCCTGCGTGCAGAGGGCAGCCCGCTTTCTCCTGAGACACCCGAAAGCGGGTGCTGCTGTGCTGGGAGACTCTGAGCATCACCGTTTCTCCTAGACCCTGCCAAGGTGAGGGCTGCGTCCCCAGCTCTGATGGACGGCAGGGGCAGGAAATGACGGCGAGCAGAGGCCTGAGGACACGGAGGGGCTGGGCAGGCTTGCCTGCCCTTGGCTGGCTCACGGTGCAGACGGAGCCCCCACCACAGGCCACCGCCTGGTCCCTGCTGGGAGGCACAAGCTGCAGGGAACCTTTAAGGTCAGGTGAGGTCCCCTCCCTCCCTCCCTGTGTGTCCTCCCTCCCTCCCTCCTTCCTGCAGCGGAGTAGGTGGTTAAGAGCTTATGCTCTGGAGTGAGACAGCTCCGAGGGCCATCTCAACCTGCCATTTCCCAGCCTGTGGCCTCAGACGACCTATTCTGCCTCCCTGGGCCATGATGTCCTCACCTCTGAATGGGGCTCCTAACCTCCAGCTCTGTAAGTCATGCTGCCACCACAGGTGACGCCAGCCTCCAACCAGGGCCTTGAAGCAAAGGCCTATTTCTTGCTCAACTTCAGTGCCCCTCACGGGTCCAGAGAGGCCTGGCTTTTTGTCTTTGGGTTCCCAAAAGCCAACCTTGAGATAAAGCTTTGCGTGCGAGTAGGTTATTTGGGAGACGATCCCGGGAAGTGCCAGCAGGAAAGTGGAGGAAAGAGAGAGGGAAGGGAAGGAAGCCAAGCAGGGGCGCCTTCTCCGGGGCAGGTGATCACCGTGGGTCACTGGAGAGAGGGAGGGGAAGGAAGCCAAGCAGGGGCACCTTCTCCGGGGCAGGTGATCACCGTGGGTCACTGGAGAGAGGGAGGGGAAGGAAGCCAAGCAGGGGCGCCTTCTCCGGGGCTGGTGATCACCGTGGGTCACTGGAGAGAGGGAGGGGAAGGAAGCCAAGCAGGGGCACCTTCTCCGGGGCAGATGATCACCGTGGGTCACTGGAGAGAGGGAGGGGAAGGAAGCCAAGCAGGGGCGCCTTCTCCGGGGCAGGTGATCACCGTGGGTCACTGGGCTCATTCCCACTGCGAGACGGTGTGGAACCTGCCTTGGAGCTGCACTGCCCAGGGGCAAGAAAGCTGGGAATACTCC
The DNA here is from genome assembly GCF_000001405.40 of Homo sapiens. NCBI lineage: Eukaryota > Metazoa > Chordata > Mammalia > Primates > Hominidae > Homo > Homo sapiens. Next base: position 7,123,059 of record NC_000004.12, read on the forward strand.
TGCCCATCACAGCCTGGGGGCTGGTCCCACAGGTGGCAACTCCCCAGCATGCCCAGCCTGCCCTGCACAAAGACACAGGTGGCAGACTCTGAGCAGAGAGAACTCTTTTTCTCCTTTTTTCTTTTTTTTTGAGATGGAGACTTGCTCTGTCGCCCAGGCTGGAGTACAGTGGCGCGATCTCGGCTCACTGCAACCTCTGCCTCCCCGGTTCAAGTGATTCTCCTGCCTCAGCCTCCTGAGTAGCTGGGATTACAGGTGCCCACCACCATACCCGGCGAATTTTTTGTATTTTTACTCTAGACGGGGTTTCACAGTGTTGACCAGGCTGGTCTCAAACTCTTGAGCTCAGGTGATCCACCCGCCTCGGCCTCCCAAAGTGCTGGGATTACAGGTGTGAGCCACCACGCCCGGCGGAGAAACTCTTATCAAATTTTTAACCTTGTGCTTTGTGGCTGTGTCGTTCACAGACAATTGTTGTTTTACTCTGATACTATCCTGGATGCTTCTGGAATAGCTACAATACAAAATTGCAAGAGATTCTTGGAAAAGACAGTACCCCTGCTGGGATTCTCCAGCCCAGTAGTCTCCTTTTGGTCGATATGAAGACAATTGATCCCCAATCTCCTTTCTTTTCTTCCTTCCTCCCTCCCTGTTTCTTCCCGCTGATCTTTCAGCATATATTTAAGCCCCTGGTTTTAGCGTCAGGTGCTCAGGGTTCAGAGGTGAATGAATCACCACCCTGCCTTTATGTAGGAGGTCATTCCAGTTCCAAAGCAGGGTGCCAGAGGTGTGTGATGACCCGGGTGTGAAAGGAGCCTGGAGGTGGAGAGGCCGCCAGGTGGGAGGAAGAGTTCCTGGCTCACATAATTAGGAGGTGCAGCTGCTGAGCTCTGGGCTCTGCTGAATCTGGAAGGTGGGAGCCCCGGGTTTGTGCCAAATTTATTACTTTTTGGTTGGACAGTGAAGTAAATCTCATCCGTACTCCATCCCCATCTCCAAAATGGGCCAATATGTACCTGCCAGGTTGTTTTGAAGACCAAATAAGACAGCTGCTGTCTAAGATCTTTGTAAATAACAAAAACCTGTACTGATTGTTGCCTTGTTGAATCCTACCTCCTTGTGTAAATGAATGTTCCTGTTGAAACGTTTTTTTTCAGAGTGCAAAACTAAAACACATGCATTGAAAAAACTGGAACCAACGCAGGGCAGGCGAGCCCCAAAGTGGAGCTTGGCCTGCAAGGGTTCCTGGCTTTGCTCAGGAACTACTTCAAGCACAAGGCAGAGGTAGTAGAAAACAGCTTTATTGAAGTGGCAGTGTTACAGCTCCGTGTCTGCTCCCGCAGAGCAGGGCTACCCCGTGGGCAGAGAGTAGCAGCCATATTTATACCCACTTTATTTTTTTTCCAGCCTGGTGTCGCCCAGGCTGGAGTGCAGTGGCGCGATCTCGGCTCACTGCAACCTCCGCCTCCCGGTTTCAAGCGATCCTCCTGCCTCAGCCTCCTGAGTAGCTGGAATTACAGGTGCCCGCCACCACGCCCGGCTAATTTTTGTATTTTTAGTACAGATGGGGTTTCACCATCTTGGCCAGGCTGATCTTGAACTCCTGACCTCCCAAAGTGTTGGTATTACAGGCGTGAGCCACCACGCCCGGCCTATACCCACTTTTAATTGCATACTGATTAAGGAGCAGTTCATGCAGAAATTTCTAGGGAAGGGGTAGTAATTGTTGGGCCATTGCTATGAAAAAGAGCGGTAACGCCCGGGTGTTGCCATGGCAATGGTAAATCGATATGGCCTACTGGTGGGCATGCCTGATTGAAAGCTGCTTTGGCCCAGCCCTATTTTAGCTAGTCCTCAATCTGGTCTTGTGCCCAAGCCCGGTCTCTGGAGTCCAGTCCCGTCTCCTACCTCAGGACCACATATAAGTTGATAAAGTACAACGTGGAAAGACTCACTCTGAACCTCAAAGACTGCTGCTGCTAACACTGTAACTTCTGCAAACGCAGAAACAGCTAAAAGGCAAGGAGGCTCAGCTGGGGTGGCTGGGCCAGCCCTGGCCTGCCTCCACTCACTAGCTGTGCGTTCTTGGCAAGTCACGGGAGCAATTGCAACCTTGCTGGTGTCACACTTATGGTAGAGAGGAGAACGGCGCCACCTCACTGCCTTCGTGAAGGTTGAGCGATCTCATCGCCTGGCTTGGTGAGGGTGAGTACTCAGGCAGTGCTGCTGGGTCCACAGCTGTGGTTTCAAAGTGAGGGAGATATTTTGCTGAGCCGACTTGAGTCATGACTAGTGTTTTGCAAAGGTCAAAGGATTCCTGTCATGATTCCAAGAGCAGTTTCCACGGCAAATAAGCCGGGCGTGTTGGGCTTCCCAGTTTTGTTTGCTGAAGTCGCCTAACGTTACCCATGCCATATATTTCAAGTCTATGCTTTCCAGGTTTTTGTTTTAAATTGTGGTAAACACCTAACATAAAATTTACCATCTTAACCATTTGTAAGCATATAGTTCAGTGAAATTAAATACATTCACGATGTTATGCAGTGATCAGCACCATTTGTCTCTAGAATTCTCTCCATCTTCCCAAACTGAAATATGTCCCTATTAAATAACAACTCCCTAGGCCCGGCGCCATGGCTCACGCCTGTAATCCCAGCACTTTGGGAGGCTGAGGCAGGTGGATCACCTCAGGTCAGGAGTTTGAGACCAGCCTGGCCAACATGGTGAAACCCCGTCTCTACGAAAAATACAAAAATTAGCCGGGTGTGGTGGGGGGCGCCTGTAATTCCAGCTACTCAGGAGGCTGAGGCAGGGGAATCACCTGAACCCGGGAGGCGGAGGTTGCAGGGAGCCGAGATCGAGCCACTGCAGTCCGGTCTGGGCGACGGAGCCAGACTCCGTCTCAAAACAAACAGCCTGAAGAACCCAGCAGCTCCCCATCCCCCTCCCCGCCCCGGCACTCAGCGTTCCTCTTTCTGCTCTGTGAGTGTGACTGCCCTAGGGGCCTCATGTCAGTGGGATCACAGAGCATGTGTCCTTTGGTGACAGCTTATTTCTCTTAGCGTAACGTCCTCAATGTCACGATGTCCATGCTGTAGCATACGTCAGAATTTTCAGTTTCTTTTTTTTCTTTTTGAGACAGAGTCTCCCTCTGTCGCCAGAGTGGAGTGCAGTGGCGCAATCTTGGCTCACTGCAACCTCTGCCTGCTGGGTTCAAGCGATTCTCCTGCCTCAGCCTCCTGAGTAGCTGGGATTACAGGCACACGCCACCATGCCCAGCTAATTTTTGTATTTTTAGTAGAGACGGGTTTCACCATGCTGGTCAGGCTGGTCTCAAACTCCTGACCTCGTGATCCACCCGCCTCAGCCTCCCAAAGTTCTGGGATTACAGGCATGAACCACCTCGCCGGCCTTGCTGCCACCTTTCGGCGATTGTGAAGAATCCTGCAATGCACACGGGTGTGCACATGTTTCTATGAGACCACCTTTCAATCATTTGGGGTTTACATCCATCCAGAATTTTTTTAAAGCACTCTTTGAGGGCCAGGTCTGGTGTTAGGTGTTGAGGGTAAGGAGGTGAGGAGGACGAGGTTCCTGTTCCTAAGGAGCCTTGGTCTGGAGGGAGAGACCACTGGGTGTGGAGACACCAGTGCATTCATCTCCACAGCGCTTTTGACTTTAATATGCTCTCACCTCTGTTATTTAATCCATTTTATAGTGGGGAAACTGAGTCACAAGAAGATGCAATGCCCTGGCTAAGATCACCTGGGCAGTTAGTTATAAAACGAGTGCCAGAATTCAGGTCTATGGAGCCCAATGCACTGAAGTATTATCAAGTAAGTCCCCCAGGCAGCTGGTTTTTGGACATTTTTGGCAGAGGCTGCAAATGCAGGTCACCGAAAGCAGCTCATGCCAGCTCCAGCAGAGAGGGACAGACGCTCAGGTGATTGGGACATCCAGGGGTCGGGGCTGGCTGTGGGCTCTGCCAGAACGGGGGCCTGGGGCTGTTTTCTCGCCTCTCTCTCCACCTCCTGGGTCTGCTATCCTTTCTGCCTTGGTTTCATTTTGCAATTCTTCCATGCAGCTGGGGAAGCTGACTGCCAGCAAGCTGGGTCTCTGTAGCCCTTAGGACTCAGATCCCAGAGCAGAGCAAGCCCCCGCACCTGCGCCCTGCCTTCCTGGGCCTGTGCAGCAGATTCTAAGAGACACTCTTTCAGACCCAGGTTGGTGGCCAGACTCACACGAACCAGTCAAGGAGCCGAGCAGATGGTGGTTTAGTTGGGAGGCACTGGGCAGGCCCCAGGGTAAGGGTGGAGAAGCAGGCTGGCAGGAAAGGCATGGCTTTCCCCACAGGGTGAGGAGAGCTGGGCCACGGAGCCCAGGCAAGAATGGAACAGGAGCGAAGAGTCTATTATGGGCAGCAGAGCCCCACACACTTTTCATCTTCTTTGTGTGCGAACCCACTCTGAAAACTGATTGAAGTCAAAATAGCTGCCTTTTCAAGTACCTCGTGAAAGTTTAGCATCCAAAGGGATTTCTGTACGAAAACCTTTCATGTTTTTTGGTTCAATATTTTAACTTCGTCTTTTATTGTAGATGCAGTCGTCTGCCAACTTTTCAGAGCGGGCAGCCCTCCTGCTCTCTTCCTCCGTGTCGCCTGCTGGCCCTGCCCGCAATGTGTGTCCCAGTGGATGTGCTGCTGGGGGAGGGTGCCGGGACCTGCGGCCCGAACGCGGGGGCTGCTGGCCTGTGGTTTGTGAGTGGCTCCACGCCAGGGTGTGACATGGAAATAGTCCTGCTCAGCTCACCGTGGTGAGGCTGAAATAAAAATAACGCCGATGAGAGTGCTTGACAACCCGAGAGACGGAGTCAGTGTAGGGGGGATCAGTCACCTTTTTTCCTCTGGCCCACTCTTCTAGAGGGTGGCTTAGGCCCCAGCGGCCCATCCCTGCAGGGACTTTTGCAGAGCTGCTGGCTGCTGGGGGCTTTCCTTGGCTTCTGCAAAAACCTCAAGTCTTTGGGAAGCTGATGCTCTGAGGCCTGGGCCTGGGCCTGCAGCAAGGGAGGAAAGAGGGTAGGAAGCCTGGCTTGGAGATGCCGTGTCAGGGTAGGCGAGGGAGAGCTCGGGGGTGCAGAGGGTTCTGCTCCAGAACCAGCGAGGGCTGTGGTGCCACTCACTGATCTAAGTGGGGACTGTGCAGGGGAGGGAACCAGACTTCCATTTTTGCTGTGCACGTGCCTGTGGGAGCCAAGAGGAGGCATCAGCCTGACCTTCAGATCCACAGCACCTGTTTTGTTCATGGCACTTTCTGAGGCTGCTAGTCACGGCCCCTCTTCTGTGGCGGGTCAGGAACCTGATTTTTGTTTCCCGCCAACCCACCCCACGTGTCTCCATCTCCCAAATGGGTTTTAAGCTCTGGCGAGGTGCTGGCCCTGTTTTAGGTGCTGGGGATATAGCTGTAAACAAAACAGCCAGAAGCCCCGCCCTTGTGATGTGTATTGTGTGTGTGTGTGTGTGTGTGTGTGTCAGGGGGTGGGGAGTGACAGCAAACAATAAACTCATCGCTGCCTATGCCAGGAGACACACTGGTGCGGGGAGGAAGGGGAGGGTGGGGAATGGGGCCCGGGTGCTGGGGGCTTCAGGTAGGGACTGGGCTCCTCAGAGAGGTGTGAGAGCCAAGGGAGGAGGAGAGAGCGCGTTAACTGAGGGCTTCCTGGGGGAAGAGAGTCTAAGAGGAGGGAGGGGTAGTGGGCGAGAGCCCATGCTCTCCCTGGCGGGCAGCCACGGTCACGGTTTCCGCCTTCACCTCATCCTACGATCACCAGCCCAGTGCCTCTTGATCTTGGCTAGGAAATAGGGTTGCCTGGTAAAACGCAAGATGCCCAGTTATATTTGAATTCCAGACAAACAATGAATATTTTAAATATAAGTATATCCCAAATACTTAAATATAAGTATATCCCAAATTTAGCCGAAATAAACTTCGACTAAAAAATTATTTGTTTACCTGAAATTCAGATTTAACTGGGCATCCTGTGTTTTTATGAAATCAGCAACCCTGTCAAGGAGAGGAGGCCCACGAGAGAATCTCGCACAGGGCTGGGGTTGCCAGTGCCGCTGGGCTGCCGCTGTGTTTCTGATGATCTGTATCTGAGTTACTTTATTCATATCTAGCAAATTGTTTCTACAAAGCTTATCTTATTTTCCACCTGTTTCTTTATTGATTCAACTTTATTGATTCAATTGTCTCTTTATTGAAGCGCCTACTCTGTGCCGGCCATGGTGGAGGCAGGAGCTGGGCCCTCCCCGGTTGCTGGGAGGAGACATCCACCGGGAGTGCCCTCCCCAGCGCACCGTCACGGTTCCCTCTCGCACGGCAGCCCAGTGAGACCTGGGCCCGTGGGCCTCGCCACTCTGCACGGCTGCTGCCTGGAGCATGGTCCTGGACATGGCAGGCTTTCGAGAAATATTTGTTATGTGAGTGACTCTGAAAATGTGCACCAAGCAGTAACAGTTTCTCATGAGACTCAGCCGGTGCTGGGGCAGGGTCATGGAGTCAGCGCAGCCCTTGCTTGGGTAATTTTTTAGGAAATACTTTTGGGGAGATGTGTTCATGCGAGATTGCACCTTTCAGCTGTTGCCCTGACAGCCGCTGGGGTTCCCTCGCGTCATCAGTGATCACTGTCTGCTGCGCCCCGCGGGTTCTGGGGTGGCTTCCTGCAAATGTGTCACTGGGGCTGCTGTAAGCTTCACACCCTGGGTTCTCCTCTCCCTCCCTGGAATCAGGAGTCTCAAGGTGGCTTCACACAGAACTGCCAGCCTCTGCCTGTGAGTTGGGGTCCTGGATTTAAAGGAGAGCCCTGGCCTGAACTTGGCGAAGTGTGTGGGTTCACACAGAAGGCAGAGCAGGCTGGGGGCGCCAGAACGGCCGTTCCCCGCCAGTGTGGAGTAAATGACTTTGGGCAGGACGGAGCTCTGTTTCCACACGGTGCAAGGTGCAGCTGTGAGCGTGAGAGGGGACAACTGGCAGGGCAGGGGCAGTAAGCTGGTGACGTCCAGGCTGCCGTGGGCCCCCCGGGCAGTCCGTCTCTGCTGAGTGGCTCTATTGCGGCCTGCAGGAGGTGGAGCTGCTGAAGTGTGTGTTGGGGGTGTTTGGAATGAGAATTTGGCAGGCACATGACTGAGTGGGATTTTTATGGAGTGTCTCCTGCTTTGGGGCCCCGGCCTGCACCTTTGCAGGCATGCAAGGCCCCCGCCCAGGCCCACTTCCCTGCATCTGGCTCGCACCTCCTTCCAGGCCCAGGCCCGGGTCTAGAAGTCAGCCCCTCCAGAGAGAAAGCTAAACCCCACCAGCTCCCCGCACGCAGCAGCCCAGGGGCCACCAGGGGTTGCGTTCCGGGGCTGGGCTGTCGCTTTCCTAGAAAGGCAGAGCAGCTCCGGGATGAGCTTGGTGTCTGGCTATGGAAGCAGAAAGCCCCGCAGAGTCGAATCCCCCAACCTGCACGGCCCCATGCTGGAGAGGCACGGCACACCCACTCCTTTGCGTGCATCTGGCATCCCCAAGGCCTGGGGCTTCCAAGTGTGACATATCTGTGTGTCTGTCAGTGTGATGTGGGTGCGTATGTCGAGTGTGGTGTGAGTGTGTATGTGTGAGAGAGTATGGTGTGTGGTGTGTGTGTGTGTGAGTGTGTGGGTGTGGATGTGTGTGTGGGTGTGAATGTGGTGTGTTGTGTGGTGTGTGTTTTGTGTGTCAGTGTGGTGTGTGGTGTGTATGTTGAGTGTGGTGTGTGTGGTGTGAGGGTGTGAATGTGGTGAGTGTGGTGTGTGTGTGGGTGCGAATGTGGTGTGTTGTGTGTTTTGTGTGTCAGTGTGGTGTGTGGTGTGTAAGGATGTTGAGTGGTGTGTGTGGTGTGAAGGTGTGAATGTGGTGAGTGTGCTGAGTGCAGTGTGTGTGAGTGTGGCATGTGGTGTGTAAGTGTGTTGAGTGGTGATTGTGATGAGTGTGGTACGAGTGTGAGTGTGGTGTTTGAATGTGGTGTGTTTAGTGTGAGTGTGTAGTGTGTGTGGTGTGTGTGTTGAATGTGGTGTGTGGAATGTGGTGTGTGAGAATGTGTGAGTGTGGTGAGTGTGATGTGCGTGTGAGTGTGAATGTGGTGTGTTGTGTGGTGTGTTTTGTGTGTCAGTGAGGTGTGTGGTATGTATGTTGAGTGTGGTGTGTGTGGTATGTGTGAATGTGTGTGTTGAGTGTGGTGTGAGTGTGGGTGTGAATGTGGTGTTGTGTGGTGTATGTTTTGTGTGTCAGTGTGGTGTGTATGTTGAGTGTGTTGAGTGTGGTGTCAGGGTGTGTAAGTCAGTGTGGTTAGTGTGGTGTGTGTGAGTGTGGCATGTGGTGTGTAAGTGTGTTGAGTGTGGTGAGATGAGTGTGATGTGAGTGTGTGAATAGTGAGTGTGTTGAGTGTGGTGTGTGTGTGGGTGAGAATGTGGTGTCTTGTGTGTTTTGTGTCAGTGGTGTGTGGTGTGTAAGAATGTAGAGTGTGTTGAGTGGTGTGTGTGTTGTGAGTGTGGATGTGAGTGTGTTGAGTGTGTGTGTGAATGTGGCATGTGGTGTGTGTGTTGAGTGTGGTGAGTGTGATGAGTGTGGTGTGAGTGTGTGAATGTGAGTGTGTTGAATGTGGTGTGTTCAGTGTAGTGTGTGTGAATGTGGTATGTGATGTGTGTGGTGAGTTTGTTGAATGTGTGGTGAGTGGTGTGGGTGTGTGAATGTGGTGTGTTGTGGTGTGGTGTGTGTTTTGTGTGTCAGTGTGGCGTGTGGTGTGTATGTTGAGTGGTGTGTGTGGGTGTGAATGTGGTGCGTTGTGTGGTGTGTGTTTTGTGTGTGAGTGTGGTGTGTGGTGCGTAAGTATGTTGAGTGTGGTGTGTGTGTGAATGTGGCACATGGTGTGGTGTGTAAGTGTGTTGAGTGTGGTGTGATGAGTGTGGCGTGAGTGTGTGAATATGTGTAAGTGTGTTGAGTGTGGCATGTGTCCTTTCTGACCCGGGGCCTGTGCAGGGGGTGAAGGTTGGAGGCTGGGCAGTGCCAGGTCACAGGTGGCCCCAGGGAGTAGAGATGGGCGAGGTCGCGGAGGGAAACTAGGACCGTCTCAGGCCAGTGCCCCCGTTTGGAGCTTTTGGATGTTAACGTGAGGGGGCTGGTCGGGGGAGTCCGTCCAGCCTCCAGCTCCAGGGGACAGAGGACCCGTGGCCAGGTCCTCGTGCCCGCGATGGCAGAGATGGTACGAGCCAGACCAGGGGAGAAAGTACCTGCCAGTGTGAGCTGCCCTCTGAGAGTTGCCACGTCGCCACGCAGCCACCTAAAGTGCTAGACTAGGGGGCTTCTGAGGCAGAGGCTCTGGTAAACACTGAAGAATTAAAACCTGGAGTATATTAAAGTAAAAACACCAACCACAGCCCTTACTGTCTGAGGTTTGTGGGGGTGTTTTTGTTTTTTGAGACAGGGTTTCACTCCCATTGCCCAAGCTGGAGTGCAGTGGCATGATCTCTGCTCACTGCGACTTCTGCCTCCTGGGCTCAAGTGATTCTCCTGCCTTAGATCCCGAAGTAGCTGGGATTACAGGTGCACACCACTGTGCCTGGCTAATTTTTGTATTTTTGTAGAGATGGGTTTTTGCCATGTTGCCCAGGCTGGTCTTGAACTTCTGAGCTCAAGTGAGCTGCCTGCCTTGGTCTCCCAAAGTGCCGGGATTGCATGAGGTCTTTTTAACACATGTGCTTGCTGCCTGCTGATGGAAGGAAATCAACTTTGGGATTCCTAAAACAGGAATGTTTTCCCCAGTAGCAACCTCATAGCAAACACCTCCTCACTGGGACAGTCCTGCTCATGCCGCTGCACCTCTGACCCTATGCTGTTCCTGTGGTTATGCTGTCTGCCTGGAACAGCCTGGAACATCTGGCTTTCTTCTCATACTTATCCTTCAAGGTCCAATTCACATGTCACCTCCTCCCAGAAGTTTCTCTTGCCCTCCAGGTCTTCCCCTGAGCTCACCTGGGTACACCTGCAGCAAAGCAATCACCATACCCTGTTGTCACCATGTATCAGTCAGCAACTGCTGCAATAATGCTGTGTAACAAATTACTTCAAACATCTGGTGGCTCCTAATAAGAAGGTGGCTTATTTTTCTCACTCCTGGGGCTTCAGAGTGGCTGCAGCCTGTCTGACTCAGGCTGTGGGGCAGCAGGGTTTGGCTCCAGGCCTTGGGTTGGTTTTGGGTCTCTACCATGTGTCTCATTCTGGGACCCAGGCTCATGGCAGATCACCAGAGCACAAGAAGCCAAATGTAACAGTGCAAGTGTGTGTAAGGCCTTGGCTCACATCTCATCCTTGAGTAATCCATTGGCCACATCCTTTGCAAGGCCAAGCCAAAGCTGGTGGGGCAGAGGGATGTCTGTCACTGCAGTGTGTGTACCGTCTCCTCCACTAGACTGTGGATTTCTTAGGGCTGGCGTCTGAGTCTCTTGTGTGGTCCCAATGCCAGTGAAGAGTGGGTACCCAGAGATCTTGAAGAACTGAATCCATGCCCTCTGCCACTAAGGCCACCGGCTTGCCTATTACTGCCCCATCAACAGCTGGTGGGATCTGTCCACACAAGACCTCCTCCATCAGGGCTGCCTTCAGTTAAATACAGTCCCCTCTCCCTCACGCGTCTTATTCATTACTGCTAGTCCCGATTCTTCCTATACAGGAAGTAAACGCATTGTCCTGATGGGAGGAATGGGTCATGGAAGTTTAATTCCTTTGCCTCAGGATACATAGTGGCATTGTGCACATAGTAGGCACCTTATTGGTGTTGGATAGCTGAAAGGCAGAGTGGCAATTTGAAGAATCATCTAATTCAAGAAGTTTTGCATGCAGGCCACCAAGTGGACATGAGCAGAAGTGTCCAGGTGGTGCTCACACATAGTAGGTGCTTTATTAATGTAGGCTAGTTGAATGGCAGAGCTGGGATTTGAAGCACTGACTCTTGATTCAAGTAGTGTTCAGGGCAGGTCACTAAGAGGGCAGGTGTGGAAGTGTCTGGGTGGCACCTGCTCATAGTAGGTGCTTTATTAATGTTGGCTAGCTGAACAGCAGAGATGGGATTTGAAGCATTGTCTCTTGACTCAAGCAGTGTTCAGTGCAGGCCTCTAAGTGGGTAGGTATGGAAGTGCCCGGGTGGTGCTCGCACATAGTAGGTGCTTTATTAATGTTGGCTAGCTGAAAGGTGGAGCTGGAATTTGAAGCACTGACTCTTGATTCAAGTAGTGTTCAGGGCAGGTCACTAAGAGGGCAGGTGTGGAAGTGTCTGGGTGGCACCTGCTCATAGTAGGTGCTTTATTAATGTTGGCTAGCTGAAAGGTGGAGCTGGAATTTGAAGCCATGATTCTAGCTATGTTCAGTGCAGGCCACTAAGTGGACAGGTGTGGAAGGCTTTGCATGTGGTAGGTGCCTTTTCAATGCTGACTAGTTGAAAGCCAGAGCTGGGATTCAAAGCACCATCTGATTCAAGAAGCGTTCCGTGTGGGACACCAAGCAGATATGTGTGGAGGTACTGGGTGTGGCTTGCACACAGTAGGCACTTAAGCAGCATTCCTTCCCTTCCCTGTGTCTGGTGGAACCCTCTGGAAAGGAACTTCCTCACAGCCCCCATTTCTTCAAGCCTTTGCTCCCTGCCCTGTCTCTGCATCCTCCCTCCCTGGCCTCTCTCCCTGTGGGGCGGGGTACGCCTTCCTCTGAGTGCATCATTTCCCCTGAATGCCAAGACACTCAGAGCAGAGGGCGGGGATGAGGTTGCCAAAAATGCAGGCTTGAAACCAGAGATGTTTTTCAAGGAGGAAAAGAATGTTAAAATCTTGGCCTAAGAGTTTTCCTCCCAGAAGAAAGCGAGTACCAGTGGCTCCTTGGCTTCTCTCCAGCTCGCCTCTTTGGAACTGAGTCGGGGAGAGGAAGTTGGGGCTTGAGAGTGGCTTTATTTTGCCCTGCAGCTTCACCCCCGCTCCTCAACTCTGCGCCTCAGCTCGTTCTCCCACCTTCCAGGAATGACCTTTCCCTGCTCAGCCCCAGGGATCAGCTTGAAAGCATCCTCCTCCTCCATGAAGCCTGCCTGGGCACTTCAGCCCCGCTGCACTGCATGCTCACAGGGTGAGGGGCAGGCAAGTGAATTGCACTGAGACACAGACAGCCCTGGGTTTGAGTCCAGGCTCTGCTGGCCATGTGAGCTTGAACAAGTCCCCAGCGTGCCTGGGCCTCAGTTTCCTAGGTGTACAATGGGCATGGTGAGGGCAGCACTTGCCGAGGCGCCCCTGAGAGGGTAGAACAGCGTCTGTCCCCAGTCATGCTTGGCTCTGGCTGGCAGCAGGAAGTGCCTGTCTGTCTCTGTCACTGGGTTTCTACAGAGGCCTCCTGATGCCTCGCCTTTTGCGACCTGCCCCGGCTGAAGAAGGGGCTTGCGGGAGCTCGGCTCTGTGGTTTCTGGACAGGCTCCCATCCCTGCAGCTGGAAAAACAAGACAGAGCTCGTATGCACCTCCCAGGCTGGGGCTGCAGACCTGCCCAGTGGTTTCCCCGGGACCCCCGCAGGCTCGACATTTCTCCCTCACTGCTCCCCGCACGGTGCTCTGAGATTTCTTCAGATGACTTTATTAAAGGCAGGTGCTCTCAGATGACTTTATTAAAGGCAGGTGCTCATCGTCATCTGGCAAAGGCTTTATTTAAATTAACATAGCAAAGAGGAATATCAATTAACAGCCTTGCAGCCCTGAGATGAGACAGTCTTGAGGCCAGTGACCTGGTCACTGGGTTTTAAGAGTTACAGAGACATTTTGCTAATCAGCATAGAAGTTTCTCCCTTCCCTGGAGAAAGAGGGATAATTTGGACAGGAACAGACCTGGGGCGTGAACCACCCAATGTGTAGGGAGGCAGCAGGATGAATTGTAAATGCCCACGTTTGGGACCTGTCTGAATTCCTGCTATGCCCCTGGCTGTCTGGGGGCCATGGGCAAGTTGCTGCCTTGATCTGCACCCCAGGCCTCTCGTCTGGGAAAAGAGAATATTCTTTCCTCAGAGAACCGTGCAGATTAGAAGAGACGGTGTGGCGAACTGTCTAGTCTGCTGAGGATCTCAGAAGGTGCCCGAGCCCCTCTGTAGGGGCCCTGAATACATGTCCAGGCAAACGCCTTAAAATGTAAATTTCAGCCTGGGACTCTTGGTCAAAGGCTTCTGACTTTGAGAATTAAGTCAAAACTCTTCTGCTTGGTGTTCCAGTCCCTCCTGCTTGTGAGCCCTGCTGTCCCCTTGCGTGGTGCCCCTGGAAATTCCTACCTTGCACTCAGCTTCCTGGTCTCTCACCTGGAGAGGGGTGGTTCACTCTCGGAGCTACCCTGCCTCTCCTGTGTAGCACTCCCAGCTCAGGCATTTTAACTTATTTATCTCGTCTACTGTCTCTCCTTCAGAACTGGGCTTCTCGACCTCAGCACTATTGCATTTTGGGTGGGATAACGCTTTGTGAATAAGTGGGGCTGCCCTGTGTGCTGGAGGGTGTTTAGCAAGACCCCGCCTCCACCTGTAAGATTCTAGTGACACCTCCCATTTTCCCCAGGGTTATGAAAACAAACAAAAAAAATGTCTCCAGTCATTGCCAAGCGTCACGTGGGCGACAGACCCGCCCAGGTTGAGACCCGCTGCTCTAGAACGTCTGCCGCGAGCAGGCAGGGGGCTTGGTTTGTTGTGTTGACTGTAGGGTCTGCCTTGCTTCCCCAGCCTGGGGCAGGGCCTGGCATGTAGGCAGCGCTGAATCAGTCCTTGCTGAGTGTTACTGAGCAACAGAACACCTGCTATACTTGCCAGGCATGCAGCAGACCCCACGGCAGGTTGTGTCACCCCATTTACAGATGAGGAAACTGAGGCCCAGTAAAGCACCAGCTGCAGGTAAGAGTGTGGGCAAGGAGGTGATAGGAACAGGTCTTGCTGTAACCTAATGGCCTCTTTGGTGTGTTAGGGGCGGGGACCACTTTGAGCTAGCAGATGCTAGGTGTTGGAGGGGCTACAGGAAAGGTGACCTTGTCAAGGAGTGAATGAGTGTCTCTTCTTAGTTCTCAAGCTGACAAATAACAGCAGACAGCACATTAGCGGGAAAGACAACTGGAGACCTTTCCCCCAGGCTGGTATGGAGATCTTTCCCCCAGGCTGGTATGGAAACCTGCGGAGGGCTGAGACCCCCAGTCTGCAGGCGGGGCTTTGGGTGGGTCAGCCTGCCTGTCTTGGCACGAATAACCTTGGCTCGCCCATCCTGATGGGCTGGGGTCTCCTGAGAAAGCCTCTTGGATGCCAAAGGGCCTGGTGGGCTCCGGCGTTGATTGATGGGCTCTGGGAGTCAGTCCACAGTCAATCTGTATCAGCGCAGGGCCCGATTTGAAATTCAAATTCCAACTAACCAGAAAATGAATATGAATTTCATATTTTGTTATTTTCACCGACCGGGCTGCGTCTCTGCCAGTGGCGCGGGGGTGCGGCAGGCTCCACTGCAGAGGATACTCATGACTTCCCACCCCCACCGCAGCCCACACTGCGGAAGGTTGGAGGAAACATCTCCTCTCATTGGGTATTTCACCTTTGGGTAGACGGCGAAGTAGAACCCAGAGATGACTGGGGCCACCCTGCCTCAGTGAGGGTAAAAGGGGACCTCCAAAGACAGGGTGTCTCATGTCCCATCCCCAGTATCGCTGCATTCCAGAGTGGCCCCAAGGCCTGGCCTTGGAACCTGGAGAGTGGGCTCTGCTGGAACAGGGAGGTGGTGGGCACCGCGAGAGGCTGGGCGACCCTGGCCAGGCCTGGAAGTAGAGCCGGGAGGTCCATGGCCCCTTCGGGCTGCCTTGATCTCCTGACGAAAGCTTGGGAATGCACCTGTCAGAGGAGGTCCACAGACCGACCGCCTCGGGGCTGGCACGTCCCGCCCTTGCTGTAGAACCCAGCGCCACCCTGGCTCTGCTGTCCCCACACTGTTCCTTCCTGCCATGGGATGGGGTTGTGACCAGGTTTCCATCTCCAGCCTCATCCCCATCTCTTCTCCTAGCCCCACGCAGAGCCCCCAGGCTGCTCCTGTACTCAGTAACCTTCGGTGGCTCCCTATTGCCTGAGAGGCAAGAAGCCATCAAGCTGTGGGGCCATAGCTTGGCTCCGTCAGTTTATTAGCTGAGTGGCCTTGGACAAGTTTCTTAGCCTCTTTGTGCCTCAGTTTCCTCATCTGTACGGGGGGATAAGAGCACCCCCCTCACAGGTGAGTTAACACACATGGATGCCCGCCCTGGCGGTGCCTGGTGCAGCGAGCGGGGCTTCTCTCGCTTTCATTGCTGACCCAGGGCGAGTGCTCCCTGGCCTCCTTCCCACCATTCACCTCCTTGCACCTGGATGGGGGCAAGGACTCCGGCCCCTACACCCTCCCACCGGTCCTTGGCACCTGCTGTCCCTCTGCCAACGCTCTGTCCCTGTGTCCCTCTGCCCACACATCCCTTCTTTTAGTTTGCCTGACACCGACGCATCATCCTTCCAGGATTCACTCAGGAGTTCTCTCCCCGGGAAGCACCCTCGGCCCTGCTAGCATCTTCGGCCTTGGCCTGGCTGCCACAGTGGTCTGGGGAGCAGGTGGTGCTCTCGAGTCCTCCGTGTCTCATGGAGCATAGGCTCCTTGAGGGCAGGGCTGGGTCATGATCACCTTCCCCATCATTGCTCCTGAGCATGGAGCTGGCCAAGCTGGGACTTGCTGGGGCTGAGTGGCCCCTCTGCCCAGAGAGTCTTCTCTGGTGAGTCTGTACTCATCACTACCAGCCTGGCTCAGCCTTGCCCCGAGCTTCAGGGGGCACCCACTGGAGGTGGGCTACCTCTGAGCCTCTGGTTTCCCAATGGCATCCCCAGCTCTGGAGCTGGGGACCTGTGGGTACTGTCTCCTCCCCACCATCCTTGCTTCCAGGGCTCACCAGGAGAGGGCTGAGCATCCTCCAGGGTCTGGCGCTCCTGAGCACCGTCCTGGGCTCTGTGGTAGGAGCTGCAGCCTCCCCATAGTGCCACATATAATAGACTGCATGTGCCTATTATTATTGGACCACTTGGCAAGTGCGAGGAGGACTGTGTTGGAAGGAGCATCTGTCTGTATCTTGTGGGCTCCATGAAGCAGGGACCAGGACCAGGTCTGCCTGATTCCCCACGGTGTCCCTAGCACCTGCCAGTGCCTGGCATGTAGTGGGTGCTGGTTACTGAGTAGGTTAATGAGTATTTCCCAGAGTCACCCTTGTTTCGACTTAACCTGCCCAGGGTGGGACCAGAAGGCAGCTGTGAGTCCCCGTGCGGTGTCTGGGCTGTGGGCAGGGGTGCAGTTGGCACCCGAGTGCCTTTGGAACTGCAGTGCCTGGACCTCTGGCATGTGGGCACAAAGCCAGCTCCCACCCGGTTCATGTCCCTTTCCTCCTGTAGCCTTCAGATGCCATCTGGGCTGGGACTGCTGCCTTCAGGGTGGTCCCTGGTTCTGCCCCCACCTCCCTGCTCTTCTGAGGCCCACTGAGCTGCCTGTAGCCAAGTCCTTCAAATACATGACCCGGGACATGGTGGGGCTGCTCTGATCTGGGGCAGATCTCCTGGGCCCCCCTCCTGCTCAGCTATCTGGTGGCCTGGTGTGGTGCTGTGAGCCTCGGCAGGGCCTCCGGCTGCCCTTGGGAGGGGCCAGTGGGTCATGTGTTGCTACAATCATCTCTGTGCGTGGCACCTCCTTCCCAGGCTCCAGTGCTTTCTTTATGGCTGACTTGGGGGCAGGCTGCACCTTTTCTGGGTTTGCTCCATTTATCAATCCCTCCTGACAGTGCCAATCGTGGCCCCATCACTCTCCTGTGCTCCCAGCTTCCAAATGCGCTCCTCCCTGCCTTTCTTTACCAGCCTTTAGAGGGAGGAAGGGGACACCGAGGGGAAGGGGAGTTATTTTTATTAAAATCTGCATGAGGGCCCACACTGCAGCTCTTAAGTGTTGCCTGCTTCACCTGCCAACAGTTCTGCAGGGAGGCAGGAGCACAGCCATCCTCACTTACACAGCAGAAACAGAGAGGCTGAGGGAGTACCCCCAACGTTACACAGCAAAGAGCGGGGGCAGCTGGCATCTGAACCTAGGCAGCCTGGTGCCCGTCTATGCTCCTCAGCCTCTCATCGCTGCTCAGCAACGGCCTTATTACCAGAGAGAGTCCACGTGAGGGGGCCAGAGGGACAAAGTCCTTTGTCCAGGCAGCCATTTATTCAGCAAGCAATTCCGAGACCCTGATCACTGGGAATAGAGACGGGAACAACATTTTATTTGTATGCATTCATTTAATCTTCCATAGTTAACACATATAAGTTAGGTGCTTTTATTAACTTCATTTTCCAAATGAGGAAATAGGCACAGAGGTGTTGAGTGACTTGCTTAAGGTCACACAGCGAGTAAGTGGGGAAGGAAGACAGGATCTGGCCCCAGCTGTGTCTTGCCTTGGAGGCATTCACAAGCTAATGGGGAAGACAAGAGGAGTGTGCCCATCACCATGCAGGGCTGTAGGATCCCGGGGGAGCACCGAGGCACCTGGAAACCCAGGTAGGAGCCTGACTGGGCAGCCTCCCAGGAGGTGGGGGCGGGAAGCCTCCGTGTGCTGAGGCCTGAGGGTGCCCACTTTCCCTGGAGCCCCACTCACCCCGCACCTGTGTCCTGTGGCTGCTGTGCCCCAGCCTGCGTGGGGTGCAGGGGACACAGCGGGCATGGGCATGGCCCCTATTCTCTGGGGCTCTTCCAGGATGAGGGAGTAGCAGGGCTGGCCCAGCTGCTGAGGACCTGGTGCCAAGGCCCCAAAGAGCACTGGCCACAGAGTCTTCCATTCCGCTGAGGGCTGCCTCGTCCTGGGTGGGGTGGGCCGGCAGCCAGGCACCCCTCCTGTGGGGAACATGAATGCTTTAGTGGTAGAGCCTGGCATTGTGGACACCCAGTAGCCAAGTCTCCAGCAGCCCAGGCCGCTTCCCTCCCACTCACCCGCCTGCCACTCCTCACTACTGTCCGTGACCTCGTCTGATAGAAAGCAGCTTTGCAATTGGAGGCCTCTTTTCACGGAAGCCCTAGGGGTCCTTCTTCAGTACTCATGTGATGTCCACACTTGAGGCCCCTCACTGTCCTCTGCACACTTCCGGGCCTCCAGCTTGAAGGAAAAGGCTGGGAAGAAGAGTCCACGGTCAGGAGGAAGTGACTGCGATGAGCAGATTGAAGGACAGAGTGCCGGGACTTCCGCCGCTCATGGGCTGTGTGAGTCTTAACCTCTCTGTGCATCAGGTCTCAGGGTCAGAGAAACCCAGGGGGTGGGGAGGGCTGTGGCTCCACTGTACAGAACGTCCACCTCCTTCATACCTGAAAACCTTAGTTTTAACCAGAGTCACATTAGCGGAACGTCTCCCATCTGTCCTGTTCCTGTCACCACCGACCCAGCCCTGGTTCAGCCCCTTGGAGCAGGACAGCATTTTATGTGTGTCATACATATTCCACTGGGTACACAGGATGTTCGCCCCAGAGGACAGCTTCAGGGCACAACCTTTTGGGCTGATGGAAATGCTCTTTATGCTGATCGTGGTGGCTCCATGACTATATGGATTTGTTAAAACTCATAAAACTGTACACTAAAAAGGGGTGAGCTTCACTGTGTATGTATTATACCTCCATTAAAAAATTCTTCATAAAGGTCTTACATATAGTTCTTAGATTTTTTTTCTTTTCTTTTCTTTTCTTTTTTTTTTGAGACAGAGTCTCACTCTGTCACTCAGGCTGGAGTGCAATGGCGCAATATCAACTCACTCTACCTTCCGGGTTCAAGTGATTCTTCTGCCTCAGCCTCCTGAGTAGCTGGGATTACAGGCGCATATTACCACGCCCAGCTTTTTATTTATTTATTTATTTATTTGTATTTTTAGTAGAGATGGGAATTTGCCATGTTGCCCAGGCTGGTCTCGAACTCCTGACCTCAAGTGATCCACCTGCCTCATCTTCATCCTCATCAAAGTGTTAGGATTATAGGCATGAGCCACCGTGCCTGGCCCCTTAGGAGAAACTATTGGTTTGCATATCTTGTTTTAAATAGTGGAGTTCTTCAAATTTTTAATTTCTTTATGAGTCAGTTCAGTTATTATGGTTATTTTTAGAAAAATGCCTATTTCATTTTACATTTAAAATGTATTAAGATGCTTATTTTATTAGTATTTTAATCTCTAGTATATCTGTACTCATGGTCATGTTTTTACTCCAAATATAGTTTATTTTTGCATTCTCTAGTTTTTTCTTGACTGCTCTTGCCAGAGATTAGTATACATATTTATCAGTCTCCCCAAATAACAAACATTGGCGTTGCTTTTTCCTATTGTTTCTTTGTTTTCTGTTTCATTTATGTGTCATCTTCTTTCTACTTTTTTTGGGTTTCTGTAGTTGTTATTTTTATTTTAATTTGGATACTTGGCTCATTTAATTTTCAGCCTTTCTTTTCTAATATAAAATATTAAGATGGCTGGGTGTGGTGGCTCACGCC
This sequence comes from Homo sapiens, assembly GCF_000001405.40. Lineage (NCBI taxonomy): Eukaryota > Metazoa > Chordata > Mammalia > Primates > Hominidae > Homo > Homo sapiens. Next base: position 7,142,659 of record NC_000004.12, read on the forward strand.
TGCAATCCCAGCACTTTGAGAGGCTAAGGTGGGTGGATCACGAGGTCAGGAGATCGAGACCATCCTGGCCAACATGGTGAAACCCCGTCTCTACTAAAATACAAAAAATTAGCAGGGTGGGGTGGTGTGTGCCTGTAGTCTCAGCTACTCAGGAGGCCGAGGCAGGGGAATGGCTTGAACCTGGGAGGCGGAGATTGCAGTGAGCCGAGATCACGCCACTGCACTCCAGCCTGGTGACAGAGGGAGACTCTGTCTCAAACAAACAAACAAACAACAAAATATTAAGGCTACAAATTTTGCCCTTAAAACAACTTTTGTTGCACTCTGCAAGTTTTGATATGTAGCATTTCCCCCCTTACCATATAATTCAAGGAATTAGAAAACATCCATGTGTTCCCTTGAGCTGTGATGAACTTTGTTTTCTGGAAGAGAGAAACAGTGGGGAAGTGAAGTTTCTGGTGCAGGTAACTCACAGGTCCCGTTGGGGCTGTTAAGAGGCCTCGGAGAAGGCATTTTTTGTTTTGTTTGCTTTGCTTTTTAGCTTGGATTAATGCAATGTTGAGAGAAGGAGCAAATTGCAGAGTTATGATTTAAGTCATTTAAGTGCATTTAAAAAACACAACATACACATAAGTAGCAAAAGTGAAAACAGTGAAACACCGATGGCTGTGTACCAACTTCCCTGTAATTGTTGTCTGGGGAGAGGGAGGAAGGACAGTGCCCTCGGAGGAGCACGGAGCAGGTCTCTTGTAGCCGTGTTTTATTCCTTATAATAAAAAGATCTCTCCTCTGAGAGGCTGGAGACAAAAATAAAACATAAAATACAATAAAAAGTTAAAAAAAAAAAAAGATCTCAAGCAACCGTAAGTACCCAGGTGTGTGCTGCGTTGCTCTGCCCGTCTGGGATGGTTTTCAGCACCGCTGCTTTGTGGGAGTTGAGTAAGGGAAAATAAAGAGCCAAAATAAAGCCAAGTCTGAGAGTAGCCCCCAGAAGCATGCACTGTGGAGTCCTGAGGCTGTAGAGAGGCCGTCACCCAGCTTTCAAGGAGCCACATTAAAACAAGCTTTTGGAAGGTGATTTGTCACTGTTTCTCGAGAACTTTTCTGTTTGGCTTAGAAACTCCACTTTGGGGATTTAAGGGAAGAAAGAGAATTTGGACAAAAGCAAGAGAAAAGATATTTATCGGCTGGGCACGGTGGCTCACGCCTGTAATCCCAGCACTTTGGGAGGCCGAGACGGGCAGATCACGAGGTCAGGAGATCGAGACCATCCTGGCTAACACGGTGAAACCCCGTCACCACTAAAAATACAAAAAAAAAATTAGCTGGGCGTGGTGGCGGGTGCCTATAGTCCCAGCTACTTGGGAGGCTGAGGCAGGAGAATGGCATGAACCCGGGAGGCGGAGCTTGCAGTGAGCAGAGATCGTGCCACTGCACTCCAGCCTGGGTGACAGAGTGAGACTCCGTCTCAAAAAAAAAAAAAAAAGATATTTATCAAAATCAATATTCTGATATTTATTGAAATATTTTTATCAGAATTCTCGAAACAGTAGGATATAATAAATTATATATTTAAATGCTAGAAAATTTTGTATCATTTTAATAAAAATGGTGATGGAAAAATTTAATAACACAGAAAAATACTTACGGTTACCTTCTAAGTGAAAAAAGCAAAACAGAATTAGGCATACCATAGGATCCATACATGAAAAAAATGTGAAGAAAAATCATCCTGAAGAAATGGATCAAAATGTTATCAGGGCGTGTCTAGCTGTTAATAGTTACTGCCTTATGTTTCCCAAGGTGTCATATTTTAGACCTAATTTAAGAAAGCAGGTGCTATGGGGTGGCCTTGTTAATGTGACGGCAAGAGGCGGCTCATTTCCAGCCAGTTGAGGCCTGAGTGCTTTGCTTCCCGTGATCTCATTGAAGCCACACGACATCCCTGCTGGCAAGCACTGTTACTGTCTCCATTTACAGATGAGGAAACTGACTTCAGTGACTCGCCTGAGGTCACACAGCTAGTAAGTGGCAGAGTGGAGGTCAACCCCCAAGTAGGAGTGGGAGCTTCGAGATGACCTGCCCCTGCTCAGAGCCCAGCTTCTCCTGGACTGACCAGGGCTGGCCACCGCCTGCCTCCACTCCCTGCTGGTGGCTGGGTCTGCCTGGCACAGCTTTCTCCACTTCCCCAGCGCCCACCCCATCCTGACGGCCTCTCACCTGTGAGTTCCCAGCCCTCCTGCTCCTGTCCTTGCTGCTGAGCGCTGGCCTCCCTGGAGACCCTGCTGTCTTCCCTGCCTGTCCCACCTGGCTCCCCTCAGCCCCAACACAGTCCCTGGTCCCAGAGGGAAGGTTCAGGCCTTCCCGGCCTCCCATCATCCCCCATGACCTTGGCAATTGCCTGAGGAGGCATCTGTTCATCCCCTGTGATTCCCCAGCATGGAGACCTAGGATGGGGCGAGCCCTGAGCTCCCCAGGAGCAGGGACGTGCCTCACTCCACTTTGAAGAGGGGTCATTACTCCAAGTTTATAGGTGAGGAAACGGAGGCCCAGCCATGCGCATGCAGACGTGCCAGGGTCTCTCAAGTCTCCAGCTTGGTGTCACTCCCCCTGCTGCCCCTGGGCAGCTGAGCTACCTCCTCCACGAAGGCCACAGGCCTGCCCTTCTCACCGACCCTGTGATTCAGTGTGTGCCTCACAAGCCTGCCTGTGTCCCAGCACCCATGCTGAGTGGGAGCCCAGCATGGGGGAGTGGTGGATGAGGGTAACACCCCTGAGATCTATTCCCTGCAAGGATGTCCCCCCAGGCTTCTGCAGCCCCGGGGCTCCCTTCTAATGGACACTGATGGCTGTCAGCAGGAGCATGAGCCGATGTACCCACCATGTCCACGTGGAGAGAATCCATGCAACATTTGGGATATACTTACACTGAAAAATTATTTGTTGCTTATCTGAAACTCAAGTTTAGCTGGGCATCCCGACTTTATCTGGCAACCCTGTGCTGGACTGACATCCAGTGCCCGCCTCGCCTCTCTCCCATCCCTTTTTCACCTCCCTCGGGAAGCAGGAGGGACTCCCAGATAGTGAGTCTGCGGGGGAGGATGGCATGCTCAGCCCCTTCCCTGCTTTCCTTCTGAAAGGCACTCTGTAGGGTTGGGGCCGAGTGCCTGACCGTCTGGGTCCGAATCCTGGCTATGACCTTGGGCAACTTACCTGACCTCCCCACCTTGGCTTACTTATCTATGAAATGGGCATTGCGCTGTTGAGAGGGTTCTGTGAATTATTACTTACCAGACTTAGAATGGTGCCTGGCATAGAGTAGGTATCTGTTATTAAGGTTCTCCAGGATCTGCCTGGAGAGAGGGAGAGAGAGAGTGAGCTTTGGACTGCCCTCAGCTGCTGGGGTGAATGGGGGAGGCCCGTGGTTGTTGAGCCCTGCTGTGACTCAGTGAGTGAGTTTCATTCTGGGGTACAGCACCAAGGAGCCCCTTCTTTCATCCTGGCCTAATTGTAACAGAACCCACACTCTGAGCTAGGAGAGTGTGAACCCTGTGTCGGGCTCTCGGCTGGACAGGAAGTGTGGGCAGGGAGGAGAGGGCTGTTTATCCTCCTGCACATCCCATTGCTGTGGGCTCCTGAGGGTGGCACTGTGTCCTATTTCACCACGTCCCCCCACCGGGCGGAGGACACGGAGGCCCCTAAGGACAAATATGCCCCAACAGGGGCCCTCGATGGTTAATGGAATGGGTCAGCTTGGCGGGGCCACGATGCCCAGACATTTAGTCAAACACCTGTCTGGATATTGCTATGGAGGTAATTTTTAAAGACAAGAGTAACGTTTAAATCACTGGGCTTTGAGTAACGTTGAGGACCCTCCACAATGTGGGTGGGCCTCATACAATCCATTGATGACTTTAAGAGAAAAAGCCTGGCCACCTCAAGGAGGAGGGAATTCTGTCTGCGGGCGGCCTCAGGACTCAAGCTGTGACATCTGCTCCATCAGCTCTTCTCTGGGTCTCCAGCCTGCCCTGCAGATTTTGGACTGGCCAGACACTACCATCAGGTGAGCCAATTTCTTAAAAATAACCAGCCCCCCTACTCCCTGTTCTGGTTCTGTTCCGTTCCCTTGGAAAGCCCTGACTACCACAGGCACATTTGAGGGTCAGGTCACAGGACCATCAGCCCCTCTGTCAGCCGCAGAGTCCCGCATCCCTGCCTGTGCGCGCCGGTTCTGGGCAACGAGGGCCTGGCTTCCCCCACGTGGGCAGACCCCATGTTAATTGCCATCCAGGGCCTGGGGCTGCCTGTCTCGGCTTCTCATGGGGCATTTCTCTGCTACCTGGCAGGCAATCCCATCTCGACATTAAAAAGTCATTTCTTACAGACTGCTTGTTCATTTGTCAGCTTTTCTCCAGACAGAGAAAAGCTGTTTCACCCGACAGATCAGCCCCGCAGTGGAATTTCTCGGAGCCAGTGTTCCTCCCCTCCGTGCACCTCTGTTCTGACACAGTTTCCCCCTTTGGCTATCCAGCTTTGGTTTCTTGAATCTCCCCTCATCAATCATACCCCCGGCTATTCATCGTGTTTGTCTCTCGGAGCCATCGTTCTATGTCTCTCCTGTGTGTAGCAATGCTTATCCCCCTTTCCTGCCCCAAATGGAGATTGATTATCTTCACTTGTGCGCGCAGATGAGAACTCATCCTGTGAGTTCAGACTGCGAGGGGGTCTGGAAGCTCAGTGGGTGCAGGGATCTGCCTCCCAACACCCAACTCCCACGTCTCCTTGGTGCTCAGTGGCCTCGTGCATTGGCGGCCCGAGTGCTCTACAGGGCGAAGGTTGTGCCTCCAGATGGCCGTGGATGGCGAAAGATGGCACGGACACTTCCACCCCACCCTCGGCCTCATCCCACCTGCCGTAACAGGTGCCGGTTCTTGTTGTTTCTCCCTTCTAAAGAGCTCTCATCTCTGTGGCATCCTCCCTTGTGCCTGCCCAGGCCTGGGCCCCCCAGCTCCTACCTGGATCTCCAGAGCCTCCTCCTCCCTTGCTGGCCTCTGTGTGCCCTTCACACTTCAGTGGGAGTGAGTACATCACAGGCAAGCCTGACCCTGCAGCTCTGCGGGACGGGAGGGCCCAGGTCTGTAGCCTGGCTCTGCAGGGCTGTCTTGGCCACGCTCACCCAGGCTCCCCGGCTCCAGCCCATCGGCTCCTGCGATCTGGGTATGTTGCTGCCCTCCCTCTTGCCTCTGGGCCTGAGCACAGGACACTGCCTTTCCTGGTTCAGGTTTCAGGTTTCAGCTTATGGCAAAACTATAGCAATAGTGACAATGATTGCCAGTGTTCATTGCTCTCTTCCACTGGGCCGGGTGCTGAGCTAAATAAGCCCTTGCCATTCATTGTCTCACTTAACCCACAACACAACCCTGTAGGATTGCTGTGACTTTGGGCCCCATTTCACAGGTGGGAAAACTGAGGCTCAGAAGGTTTAAGGGAATGGCCTAGGTCTCATAGCTAGCACAGGGTGGAGCTGAGATTTGAAACCAGGCCTGTCTGAAGCCAGCATCTGCCTGCTTAACCAGGGCACTCGGGGGCTTCCCTCATCCCAAGTTCCTGGTTGGTGCCCCTCCCGGGCTTCCGCTATCACCCCTGTGTCACGAATCAGTTTGATTCTCCACCCCGGGACTCAGCTGCAGAGCCTGGCGTGCCAGTACCCAGGAGACATTTGTTTGGAGCATGAGAGGGGACTGTGTGAGTCGGTGAATGGCTGCTGCTGGCATTGCCGAGGGGTGACGAGCGTTGTCTGGCCCATGGGAATGTGAGGGACACAAGGATGTGCTGCGGTAACAAATAACCCGAGAGCTCAGGGCCCGGCAACGAGGAGCCCGGCGTGGGAGCTCCTGGCACTGGCCCTCCTGGCAACTCTCTCCAAGCAGTGACCCTGGAGTGGGGCACCCTCCCTCACAGCTTCCATGGGGAATGGAGGTGGACCGGGGAGCGGGGATGACCCCTGGGATGCTCTGGCTGGGTCCCAGATTGGTGCACCTCACATCTTCCCACACTGTGGGGGGTAGACCCAGGCCCACAGCCCTACCTGGCCGCAAGGAGGGCTGGGAGGTGCTGCCCGTCTCAGCCTGGAAAGGGGAGGGGAGAAGGCAACAGTGGACCTGGACGGACTCTGTCACAGGGAGAATGTTCTGAGCTTCACAGCTTCCGTCAAAGGAACCCCCAGAAATACCTGGGGGGTTCTCACTCTACTAAGTGAACGGAGATGCTCAGTGCTGTGGACTGACTTGTGTCCCCCACAAATTTCGGTATTGAAGCCCTAACCCCCAGGACCTCAGAATGAGACTGTATTTGGAGGCGGGGCCTTTAAAGAGGTCATTAAGTCTAGGCCAGGCGTGGTGGCTCACGCCTGTAATCCCAGCACTTTGGGAGGCCGAGGCGGGTGGATCACTTGAGGTCAGGAGTTCGAGACCAGCCTGGCCAACATGGTAAAACCCTGTCTCCACTAAAAATACAAAAATTAGCCCGGTGTGGTGGTGCGCACCTGTAATCCCAGCTACTCCTGAGGCTGAGTCAGGAGGATTGCTTGAACCTGGGAGGTAGAGGTTGTGGTGAGCCGAGATGACACCACTATGTTCCAGCCTGGGTGACAGAGTGAGACTTTGTCTCAAAGAAAATAAAAATTAAAATAAAAAAATAGGTCATTAACGTAGAATGAAGTCTTTAGGGTGGAACCTGATCCAATAGGACTGGCGTCCTTTTGGAAAGAGATTAGACACAGAATTAGGTCATGATTCCTGACTTGGCATGGGAGGTGGCTTTTCTGGGTGGGTCAGAGCCTCATAGAAACACATCCGACATCTGTTGGGGGAGGTCCTGGTTGGCCTCGGGGGGACTTGGTGTCTGGGTCTAGGGACCTTCCCCGCTGCTGTTTCACATGGGCCTGGCTCTCTACACTCACTGGGGTCCCCGGGCTTCATGTCAACTAGTCAGGTGAAGTCTTGCTGGGAAAGCCCAGCACACATTGGGAGCACACATTTGTTAAAAGCGGTGTGAGAGTAAACGCCTCCCAGCCGTGCTGCCTGCTCGTGCTCTGGTCTGCTTGGGGTTTCCAGCTAAGCTGAACTAAGCATGAAAATTCAGCTTCCACCACAGAGGACCCGGGGTGCCCTGGGCAGGTGCCCAGCCAGGTTAGGGCTGGGATTCTCACTGGGGTGAAACTCGGGGAAGGAGGAGGCTGTCTGTTGGAAGAGTCAGTCTTTGGCAGGGACTACTCTGCCCTTGAGCAAATGAAGACAAAAGATGAATCCCAAGAAGCCTTGAGATTAGCTAAACACATGGAGGACAGCGGGGCTCAGGAGCAGACCCATGGAGAGGAGAAGAAAGACAAGGGCACCACACCGGCTGAACCGAGGATGCTTCTGCCATTTTTTCTCCTGTCGAGAAAGGCCCCTGGTGAATATTTGCTTTTGCCAAATAAACATGTGTGTCCAGAAGCAGCATCATGCTGTCCTGAGCAGCTAAAGGACAGTGGGAAAACCGGGGTTGCCAAGATTTACGTCTTGGCATGAGGCCTGGGGAATCTGCCCTACATGCTGAGCTCTGGCCACACTGATGTTTCTGAGAGCTGCGAGGAGAAGCTGCTTGGAACCCGGCAGGGCGGGGCTGATGTACCACAGGACGGCCCCTTCAGAAACAAGGGTTGGCCGGACTCACCCCTGGCCTGGGCCATGGGCTTCCGACAGCCTCTCTCCAAGGTGGCTTCAGCAGGACTGTGACATAGGAGGTGGCCTCATCACACCCCACGCAATGTGTGGATGTTCATCGGAGGCAGATCTGCAAGTCCCCTGGTTTCTCTCCCTTGTGCCGCGGCTTTGTCCTTAGAGACGGGTTCCACTGGGTGGGCGTCTGCCATCCAGTGGAGCAGCTTCCAGTTCCAGTGGAGCAGCTCGGGGAAAACGAGGTGGCTGCTGAACGATGCTGGGTTTCTCCCGGGATGGGGGACCCAGGGCAGGGGAGAACATCAGCCATCAGCCTTGCTCCCCTGGCCCCATGGTCACCCGGGCCCCAGAGTGGAGCAGACAGCCCATGAGGGGGTGCTTCTGTCTCCTAAGGTGGGAGAACCAAGTCACCATAAATTGGCTGCCCTCAAACGACAGTTCTCATAGTTCTGGAGTCCAAAGTCCAGGTGTCGGCAGGGTTGGCCCTGCCTGGGGCTGAGGGACGGTCTGATTCATAACTCTTGCCGGCCTTCTGGTGGTTGTGGGCCATCCTCCACACTCCTTGGCTTGCAGCCACCTCACTCGTGGTGGTCAGGCAACTCCCTCCCTTCCTCCCATAACCACATCTGAACTACCTAGTTGATGGGGTGATCTGTGCAGCAAATCACCATGGCACACATTTACCTATGTAACAAACCTGTGTATTCTGCACATGTACCTTGAACTTAAAAGTTGAAGAATAAAAAAGAGATGACACCATTACAAACCTCAGTGGCCCCCAGACCTACGGGTGGGTGTAACTGACAAGTAACTTGCTAATGACAAGACAGATGACTAAGAGTTGGAGGGATGGTCTGGTGGTGACAGGCTCCTACCTCCAGCCCCATGGCATCTCAGCTCAGTTCTGAAGGGTGACAAGAAGCCATTTAGGAGGGAAGGAGCAGCAGCTAGGGCCGAGGTGTGTTCTTCACCCCGAGGGGAACTGCGAGGGCAAAGGCCAGAGCAGGAAACCAAGGAGCCTGGTAGTCCCAGCTCAGCAGGCAACACTGAGCCCTGGGCTGTGAGCATTTGCAGTTATCTCGTTCAGCCTTCACTACACTCTCAGAGGTCGCAGCCCTCCGGCAGATGATGAAACCACAGGTCTTTCTGGGGGCTGGGCTGCAGGTTATGAGGGGCAGGTGGAGGGGCTGAGCTGGGGAGGTGTCCGGGAGAGGGGATGACTGTTAGAACAAGATTCTGGAGGGGAAGTTGAAAATTATCTTGTTCAGCCCCTCCAACTGTAATCTGCCAGCAAACCTGAGACCCAGGGCCTGGTTCATACCTCCGGGACTAGAAACTGACCTTCCCGTTCGCAGCTTGCATCCTTTCCCAATATGCGAACAGAGCTGACAGTCACGAAGGGTTTTACCCTGTTGCATCTCCTGATAAGGAACTGAACTACAGCTTTAGACTAACTCTGTCCCAACAGATGTAAACCATATGGGAGGATCTTTGCTACCCAGATTTAATTAAAAAATTGCAGAAATGGTGTGTGCCTTCCGTAAAGAATGTAAATGTTAGCTGGTATAAAAAGAAAACCCCTGGCCGCGTAACTCCACTCCAGCAGTGACCATTCTTCACCGTTGGGTGGAGTCCTTGAGATTTGCTGCGAATGCATACAGGTATTAAATCATAATTCTCTGTTCCAGAGACAGGAGGGTGTGGGACTTGTGGTTTGGCACCTGGCTCCCACCCCCACCCTGTCAATTGGCTTTACCATTATAAGTTTGCACAAAGCCACCTCTTTTTTTTTTTTTTTTTTTGAGATAGAGCCTTGCTGTGTTGCCCAGTCGGGAGTGCAGTGGCGCGATCTCGGCTCACTGCAAGCTCCGCGTCCTGGGTTCACGCGATTCTCCTGCCTCAGCCTCCCAAGTAGCTGGGACTACAGGCGCCCGCCACCATGTCCGGCTAATTTTTTTGTATTTTTAGTAGAGACAGGGTTTCACTGTGTTAGCCAGGATGGTCTCGATCTCCTGACCTCGTGATCCGCCTGCCTCGGCCTCCCAAAGTGCTGGGATTACAGGCGTGAGCCACCGCGCCCGGCCACCACCTCATTCTTTAGTGGTTGTGGGGTCTGTCTCCATCAGATCGACTCTCCACTTATTTCACAAGTCTGATGTGAAGAGACACCTTGGTGTTTTCCGGTTTTCTGGCTAGCGCACACATTGCCGCCTCACCATCGGGGGACATCATGCTTGTGCGTGCCTGCAAGTCTTCAACCAAGTATTTTTCTAGAAGCAGAATTTCTGGGTCAACGAAGTCACATATTTAAAGCTTCCATAGGGATTGTCGAAATGACCCCAAAGGGCCGTTCCAGTTAAAGTCCCATTGCACAAGGCACAGAAGTCCCCACTTTCCCACACTTTTGTGGTGCTGAATGCTGGCAACCTTTTAAATTCCCACCTATCCGACAAGGGAAGGCAGTTGCTCTTTTTGTAACCTAGTCTGGCCACTGTGGCCCGGGGGCTGCTTCTGCCCTATCATCTCCCTTTCACCTCACCCCCTGATTCCTCTGTTTTGTCCTCAGTGGCCAACTGTTGAGTCTGTCGTCCACCTTGGTTCGCGGTATGCACTTCCCACAGGCCTCTCACACGTCATGTCTACCTGGGCATTCACCTTTATTTTACCCCTCTCTCCATTCACTTTTCTTCACGTTGTTTAATGTGCATTTTTGCTTATGTATGGTGTGCGTGTGTATAAATCTATATGCATGTATTTTTGGGACAGAGTCTCGTTCTGTCACCCAGGCTGGGGTGCAGTAGCGCAATCTCAGTTCACTGCAGCATCAGTCTCCTGGACTCAAGTGATCCTCCCGCCTGGGCCTCCCAGAGTGCTGGGATTACAGGCATGAGCCACTGCGCCCGGTTGTAAAGTGTATATTGATCTCTAATCATGTGCATGCATTTTGAGTGAACTTTTAATTGAAGAATAACATACATATAGAGAATATATATAGAAAAGTGTACAGGTCATATGCATAGCTGGAAGGATTTGCACAAAATATACTAGCCTGTGTCATCAGCACCCAGTTGGAGAAACAGAACTTCACTAGCATCTGTATAGACCTCCCTTGCTCCTCCTTCCCCAAACTATTTGTTCTACAGAGGATGGGTACTGGTTGTTTCTGGTTTGGGGCTATCAGGCACGGTGCTTCTATACCTGATACGTATATGTGGCTTTTGGTGAACACCTGCATAGGCATGTAAGTAATATCCACGTCAATGGCATTGTACTGTACAGCTCCCACAGTTACTTGCTTTCACTGGGTTTGGGTTTTAAAGCTCCATCCCTATTAACTTCAGGGGCATCTCTGCTGCCTCCAGAGACTGCAGGGCACCCTGTGGTCTAACCCACCTTGCACTCCAGGAAGGATCCCAGGCCATCTCCAACTCCTACCACCCTGAATAACGCTGCAGAGAGCAGGCTTGCAGCGTCCTCACCCAGTCCCCTCCCCATCCAGTGGGTGGTTTTCTCCGGTGCGTATGACCAGGGGTGAGCAGGTCTCAGGGTAGCTGCCTCGGCTGCTTCAGTCTGGTTCTGGTGGTTTCAGCAGTGAGCAGCCTTCTCTGTGTCCCCACATTGGGGGATGATGGTTGGGGCCCAGCCACAACATAGGTGCTGGACGCAGCTTCTCCTGTTAAGCGGAAGTTGAAGACACATACTAGAGGGGAGTGTGGATGGTGAGGCTGCAGGTAAGGAGCTCCTGGTGCAGCAGCAGTGCTGATCCGTCCTGTGTGCTCATCTCATGCCCAGATCTGTTCACACTCACCTTACACCCGTATTCAGCTCTATCTGGTATCTAGCTTGGCTTTCATGCTTATTTTAGCAGGGGTCACAGCAGGAGTCTGCTGTGCCAATGATGGTGAGTTTTCTGTGTCCCTGTTCCCACCATGGAAGGTGGCTGGGCTTGAGCCATCTCTCAGGTTCCTTTTCCAAGGCAGTTGGACAGCAGGCAAGGACACCACCAGCAGTGACCCCGGGGGTTGGGGGAGGGACCCACCCCTGTGTAAAATGGCACACAGGCCCCAGCGAGGCGGTGACTGCAGCAGAGACCGGAAGGACGGGAACCCCAGCCGAGGCCGTGGTGGGTCTGGGGTCCCTAAGAGGCTCAGGAGGGAGGAGAGCACAGAGCAGAGGGTGGGCAAAGTCAGACTTGAGGTGTGCAGAGCCGCGGGGCCTCTGAGGGGTGCACCTTGGCTTCCTCGAGCTGGGGTTTTCCTCGAGGCTGCCCGCTCCTTGCTGTGTTCCTGACTCCTCCCCAGGGGTGGGGTGGTTACCTGCAAGTTGGCTGGCTCTCTTGGCTCCACGTATCTTGATACCAAAGGTCCAGGGCTTGGGGGGTCTTTGGATTTGCTCTCCTCTCTGCTCTACCTGGTCCAGCGTTGTAGGAAGCAGAGCCGAGTGTGCAGAAGCAAACCGTTCAGGGGCAGGCTGCTTCGGTCTAGGCTGGTTGTGACTCTTAATCCCCATTCCTTCCAGCCCCAGTGTCGCCCATCTTCAAGGTGACATTTTGTTCCCATCTGCTGGCTCCTCCATTCTGTTGTCTCAGTTGGTTCAGAATCAGGGCAGGAAAGTGGGGGCAGCTTATTGGATCCCTTCCAACACCCAGCCGCTCCCAGAGCAGGCTCTGAGTCTTGACTTGATCCCGAGAGCCAGGGAAAGGGGTCAGACAGCCCCCGCCCTGCATTTTTATTTTGGAACATTGAAAATCTAGAGAAAGTTTGAAAACGTAGAATCATGTTAATCTGTATGCTTTTCCCTCGGTCTAGCAGTTTTAACATTTAACTGTGGCTGTTCCCACTCTCTCCAGTACATACATACATAGAAAAAAAATGCAGAATATATACACACACATATACGTAGGATACACACACACACACATGTTCTATGTGTATGTGTGTGTATATATTCTATATTCCATGGGCATACACACATGGAATAGTATCTACAATACACACACATGCACACAGGCTCACACGTGTGCACACACACACACACACACACACTCTTTTTGGTTTGCTGAACTGTTTGAAAGTGAGTTGCAGACATCATGATACTTAATCCCCAAATGCTGCAGCTTGTGTCTCAGGAGCAAGGATGTTCTATCCAGTCACAACACAATTGCGTTAGGGTTCTCCAGAGAAACACAGCCAATAGGATGTGTATATACGTAGAAGCAGATTTATTATAAGGCATTGGCTCACATGAGTGTGGCGCCTGCAGGTCTGAGATCTGCAGTGCAGGCCACAGGCGGAGACCCAGGAGAGCCGGCGGTGCGGGTGGAGTCTGAGGGCGTTTCCGGGAGAATTACTTCTTGCTCAGAGAGGCCGGGGTTGTTTTGCGTGAGCCAAGTTTTCTGAAGATTCATGAGAAGAACAATTCTGCCTCTAAGGTGGGTTGAACTGACCTTGTTTCTGAGTTCCAGGACTGCTGACTCACTTGGGCTGGAGAAAGCATTTGAAAGGGAAAGAGCTACTGGGGAACGGGGCAGGATGTGACTTGAGGAGCCCGGGCTCTGCGGCCACGTGCTGTGTGGCCCTGCTCAGTTTCTCCCTAGTTCGAGTTCTCAGGCACGGCGTCCTGCAGGTGAGGGCTGCAGGGCCAGAAACCCTCCAAACCGTTGCTCTGCCGCTCACTGGCTGTGCCGCCCTGGCAGCCTACCCAAGCTTGTTGAGCCTCAGTTTGTCCATTTCAGGGTGATGCTGATGGTCTTGACACCACAGGCTTAGTGTAAGAGTTAAAAGAGACAATAATTGGCAAAGGGCCTGCCCGGAATCTGTGACATATTTTTGTAATTAATAAATAATGGCTCTAAGTATTACCAAATGGGGTAATGATTATGAGCCCTGAAGTGGCTGTAATTATGATGAGTTGTTGACTTTTAAATTAAAGTCATGGGGACTAACAAGAGTCTACTGTCAGTGCTGGCACGTAGAAAACCTAATGGTCAGTCCTTGGAGGCTCTCACTCGGGAACAAATTCCCGCCTGCTGCCATTTCAGCACAGAAAGAGTAAGATACACATCTGTTTCCTGTCAGAGTGGGACTGACCCTCCCTCCAAGGACAGTTAGAAAATGTAACAGCGATAACAACGGGGACCTCTGTGTGGAGATGTCGGAGAAGTAACGAGACAGTGAGGAAATGGTGGGGCAGGATCCAGGGAGGAGAGAGGCTCGGGGGGTCAATGCAGCATTTAGGGGTACTGTGATTCTAGAGCACGCTTTCTGAGACACTGGCCGGGGGTTGACAACATCGTGTGGCTAAGGGACGGGAGTCCAGGGCTGTGGTAGGCTGGACCCTAAAGATATCAGGTCCCGGTCTGTGGAAACTCGGACTGTTAGCTCGCAAGGCAGAAGGGACTTTGCAGCTGTGATGAGGGGCCTTGAGATGGGAAGAGCATCTCCATCAGCTGTGTGAACTCCATATGTGGTGACAGCCTCCTTGTGAGAGGGGCAGAGGGAGACTAGACCCTCCAGGGGGAAGCCACGTGACCACCGCAGTAGGATGCAGTGCTGCTGGCTTTGAAGGTGGAGTGAGGGCCAGGGGCCCAGGAATGTGGCCGTCTCTGGAAGCTGGGAAAGGCAAGGAGACAGATGCTCCCTGCGGCCTCCTGAGGAAGTGCAGCCCTGCCCACTCCTTGGCTTTGGCCCAGTGAAAGGGATGTTGAATTTCTAGCTTCCAGAACCATAGGAAAGTGAATATGTGTTGCTCTAAGCTACTATGTGTGCAGTAGTTTGTTACAGCAGCCACGGGAAACCAATGCAAGGACCCTCCATGGGAAAGCTTGTCCTGGGAAACCTGCCATGAGCTGGAACCCCGAGGGGCTGGACCGCATCAGTGACAGTGAGCCAGAAGTGGACAGATCCTTGCAGATACTGCACTGTGGCAAATAATCTTAATTGGTGAAGTTGTAGTGAGGCCATCCTGGATAGCCAGTGCCCCAGGCCACCAGCAGACAGAGACAGAGATGACATCAGACCACTTGCTCGGAGCAAAAGCCTTGGAGTCATCCTGGAATGGCATCTTCCTCCCGTGCCCCACGGTCAGTATGTCAGCACACGGGGCTGTCCAAATGTACCCTCTTCTAGTCTCTCCTTTTCTTGTTAATTCCACCCTGATTTGAGCCCCTACCCTCTGATAGCTGGATTACTGAGACAGCCTCCTTTCTGGCCTCCCTGCCTCCACCATCACTGTCCTCTAGTCTGTTTTCAAGTCAGCAGCCAGAGTGATCTTTTTAAAACTTAAGTCAGACCACATCACTCCACTGCTGAAGACCTCAAAATTTGGGGTACTTTGTTCTAGCAGCCTGAATGGACAAAGACATCTGCCTAGAATCTGCCTGGAAACAGCTTCCCACTGCACTCAGACCAAAAGCCCAAGTCCTTGATGGTTTACAAGGCCCTACGTGGCTCCGCCGCCAGCCTCCTCTCTGATAGCGTCTCCTATTCCCCTCCTCCTCGCTCACTTGCTCCAGCCACGGTGGCCTCCTTGCTGTTCTTAGGAAACAAGCAATGCTCCCATCTCAGGGCCTTTGTACCTGCTGCCTCCTTTGCTACGGTGGTTGAAAGTTTGTGTCTTCCCCAAATTCAGCTGTTGAAATCCTAGGCCCAAGGTGATGGTTTTAGGAGTGGGGCCTTTGGGAGGCGAGGAGGTCGTGAGGACGGAGCTCACACTGATGGGATTAGTATCCTTATAAAAGCAGCCTGAGGGGGTGTGTTTGCTCTTTCCACTGTGAACAGAAAATATCTTGGGCCCCTCAAATCACTAAGGAAAACTCCAGCTGGAAAGTGCTTAGGGCAAACCTGCCTCCCATCTACTCAAAGTGATCCCTCTGCTCACTGAGATAGATGCGTATCTAATTGCCTCCTTCGGAAAGCTAATAACAAGCTCAAAATAATGCAACCCTTTGTGTCTCGCCTATCTGTGACCTGGAAGCTCCCTCCCTCCCGGCTTGGAGTCTTCCTGTCTTTGCTTCAAGTCGTCCCACTTTTCCTGACCAAACCAATGTACTTCTTACATATATTGATTGATGTCTCATGGCTCCCTAAAATGTATAAAACCACGCTGTGCCCGGACCCCCTTGGGCGTTTGTCGTCAGGACGCGCCCTCCTGAGGCTGTGTCCCAGGCACGCATCCTCAACCTTGGCAAAATAAACTTTCTAAATTAACTGAGACCCGTCTCAGATGTTCTGGGTTCACATCACCATGCCAGGCGACACAGTGGGAAGTCAGCAGTCCGCAGCCTCGGAGAAGGGTCCTCATCAGAACGCGACCATGCTGGCACCCTGATCTTATACTTCCCAACCTCCAGCATTGTAAAGAATAAGTGTATCTTGTTTATAAGCTGCCCAGTTTATGGTATTTTGTTAAAACAGCCTGAAGAGAATAAGACATCTGCCTAGAACACTCTTTCTCCAAATAGGCACACGGCTTCTTCTCTCGACTCTTTGAGGTCTTTGTCAAATGCCCTTTCTTCCCAAGGTTGCTGCCTTCTTGGGATGTTTAAAATGACTTCTTGTTTGAGCCTCTCCAGAAAGCAGAGTCTGAGGCTGGGATTGCAGTGTTAATGCTTCATTTGGGAGGTGCAAGCCCCGGGTGGTGAGGATGAGGGGGAGGGGACCCACATGTTCCCAGTTGCATAATGAACTGCGATGACCATCCCCAAAGCACTCAGCCATTGGGTCTGTGCAGCACACAGGA
Source organism: Homo sapiens (assembly GCF_000001405.40). Taxonomy (NCBI): domain Eukaryota; kingdom Metazoa; phylum Chordata; class Mammalia; order Primates; family Hominidae; genus Homo; species Homo sapiens. Next base: position 7,159,119 of record NC_000004.12, read on the forward strand.
ATCCTGCAAGTGTTCGCAGGCAGGGATCACATTTGGGAGGCGTCCACAGGTGACAGCACACGGCGGGGGATGCATCTGTCCAGCTCTGTCATCCCCTGTTTCTCACTGGTCAAGTTTCACCTCCAGGGAGCAAATTCACCTGCAGGCCGGGGTCATTTTCTCCAGCACCTGGCTGGCCCTTCGGCAGGCAGTGGGTGTGATGTTTTATCCAAGTGTGCAAGTGCAGGGCGACACAGGTGGGTGTCGACTGAGAGGGAGGGAGGAGACAGGCCAGGGAATTAGAGACCCAGTTGTCTTCACCCCACTCCCACCCTGCCCCCACCGCCTCCCTTACCTGCTTTTTGGCTTAGAACCTGGGGTCTGACATGCTCTAGGGTTTTATTGATTCTCCACTGATTGTCCCTCTCCCTGCACTGCTCAGTTTCTTCTGTATTCACGGCCTCATTCCCTGTGGTTATGACTATGCTTAACATGTCCCTGGCACTCGAGAAATATCTGCTCAATGAAAAAATGAAAGAGGACTCTTTGCGGCTGACGCTCCGACGCTCCTTTTTGGAATGGCAGTGTCAGTGCTGTAGGATTACATGTTTTTCTCTATGAGTCTAATGCCGTTTCTTTTCTTTTTCAGAGACAGGGTCTTGCTCTGTCTCCCAGGCTGGAGTACAGTGGTACAATCACAGCTCACTGCAGCCTCGATCTACCGTGCTCAATTGATCCTCCCACCTCAGCCTTCAGAGTAGCTGGGACTACGGGTACACACCACCACGCCTGGCTAATTAAATTTTTTTTTTCTTTTCTTTTTTTTGCAGAGATAAGGTCTTGCTATGTTGCTTAGGCTGGTCTTGAACTCCCGGCCTCAAGTCGCCTTGGCCTCCCAAAGTTTACAGGTGTGAGCCAACACACCTGGCTGCTATTTCTTGGTTCCATGCACCAGATAACATTAATTTAACCATATCCTGATGAGCGCCATGTGTTGGGTTCCATGGTTTAGAATCTCCTCCTAGACAAAGTACACAAGACTTCACTGGAATTAGGAGGCAGAGGGTGAATGTTTAACCTAGAGGTTGTAAAATAAATACGTGTGTCTGTGTGTGTGGGGGGGTTAAACATCTGGGAGGATCAACACTCACACGTTCACAGTGGCTGGACTGGGGAGTGGGGGGCGCTTTAACTCTATACATTTCTTTATATACCTCTATATTGTCAGGGTTTTTTTCTAACAAGCATGCATTCCTTTTACATTAAGTATTTTGTTTTTAAATAGAAAAAGAAAAGCCCAATTTGAAGATCTGGAAGAATCAATGTCAGTTCTGAGGCCAGTCCAAGCCCTGGAGTCTGAGGCTGCAGAGAAGACCAGGGCAGAGCGGCCCGGCCAGGCCCGCCTTGGGGCTGCTGCGTCTCAGGGGCAGGGGGTGCTGCCCCAGAGGGAGGCTGGCTGGAACCAGAGCTTGCTTTCCAGTCAGCACAGGGGGATCACTGCCAGCCTCGCCACTCCATCGGCTGCTGCTGCTGAAAGAGGACAGTGTTGCAGGCCGGCACAAGGCTGGATGTAGAGAATCCAGGACGCCCGTTCTCCGGGAACTGGCACATATCTCTAGAGTGGCTGCTGCCAGGGTGGTGATGTGCCCTTGGAGTCAGAAGTACTGGGGCTGTTAACTGTGTGTGTGTGATCCTGGACGAGTCACTTTATGCCTTCATTCATTCATTCATTCATTCATTCTTTCTTTCTTTCTTTCTTTCTTCAATCCCTGAAGGTCTACTTTATACCGAGCCCTGTAATGGGCACCATGAGTGAGGGATGCATAAGATGCGGCCCCTGCTTTCAGGGGGCTCCCAGGCTAGTGGGGGAGACAGACTTGCAAATGGGAAGTGCTCAGAGCCATCCAGTGGGTGCCAGTCTCCCACCTGGTGGCAATGCCCAGGCCAGCTGTTCTAGAGGGCAGGCGCTCAGTGACCTCTGTCTGCACTCAGGACAGGGAATCAAGACTCAGGAATCAGGGCAGAATTCCTGGAGGAGGTGGCAGCTGAACTGAGTCTTTGTGGAGTTAGAGAGTCCAATGTGGGAGGAGGGGTGCGTGCCGGGAAATGAGGAGGCGGCTTAGAGGAGGGGAAGCTGTGCTCAGGAACGGCTTTGTCACTGGCCTGGGTGGTGGGGGCAGTAAATGAGGTGAGGCGTGGAAAGGCCAGCCCAGGGCAGGGCTTGGTGCATGGGTCAGCCCCGCCGCAGCAAAGCGCCTGTACTCCCAGCTACTCAGGAGGCTGAGGGGGGAGGATCGCCTGAGCCTGGGAGGTCAAGGATGCAGTGAGCCCCAGCAGTAGGGCCATGAGCTTTGCCACCAGGCCCAGCTATAATACTTTGTTTTTTGTATTTTTTGTAGAGATGGGGTCACACTATGTTATCCAGGCTGGTCTCAAACTCCTGGGCTCCCAAACTGCTGGGATTACAGGCATGAGCTACTGCATCTGGCCACCTGGGTGTTTTAAAGGGAGAATGATGGGATGGGAGAGGGTGAGCAGAGGCTCAGCAGAGCCAGAGAGTGAAACATTACAGAAAGCAGACGGGGGTCAGTCCCTGTGAAACCCGCCTGAGTCTGCAAGCTGGTGCCCATTGAAGTCAGGTTCCTGCCCTCCCCATGGGCTGGGGGACGGGGCTGTATCTCTGGGCATGGCAGGAGCCAACAGCAGATTCTTCTGGCAGCTTTGAGTTTCTCAGGCAGGCACTTTCAGGGAGCTGGCACCATCCTAGGGATGTGGCCTTGAGCTGTCAGAAACCATGTGGGAGGTTATATTTTTGTTGGCCAAGACTGAAGCCTGCTTGAGAAGAGGGTTTGGAGGGCCTGGCTGGAGTGTGGTTAGGGAGAGAGCCTTTTCCAGGCGCCTCTCCTGGCTGTTCCTGGTTGCTGGCAATCCCTGGTGCTTTGTAGCTTCTGTATCCCTGATCCCTGCTTTCCTCTTCACACGGCGCTCTCCCTGTGTGTGTATCTGTGTCCAGATATCCCCTTTTTATCAGGGCACCTGTCCTGTCACATTAGCGGCCACCCTCCTCCAGGGTGACCTCATCTTAACTCATTACATCTGCCACGATTCTATTTCCAAATAAGGTCCCATTCTGCAGTACCAGGGCTTAGCGCTTTAGCGTATGGATTTGGGGGTACACAGTTCAACCGTAACAGGCAGTTATTATTATTTTGAGATAGGGTCTGGCTTTGTCGCCCAGGCTGGAGTGCAGTGGTGTAATCTTGGTTCACTGCAACTTCCGACTCCCAGGCTCAAGCAATCCTCTTGCCTCAGCCACCCAAGTAGCTGGGACTATCTACAGGCATGTGCCACTATGCCTGGCTAACTTTTGTATTTTTAGTAGAGACAGGATTTCACCATGTTTCTTGGCCAGGCAGGTCTCGAACTCCTGAGCTCAAGCGATTGGCTCACTTTGGCCTCCCAAAGTGCTGGGATTACAGGCATGAGCCACTGCGGCTGGCTGGCGAGTTATTATTTTTAACCTCACTGCTTCATTAGCATTTCCATCCCACCACGCCGACCCTCTGTGAAGACTGGAAAGGAGGGATATCCTTGGTGCCATGCTGAGGCCTCTTAGGGAGTGGAGGAAGAAGGGTGAGCTGAGGGCCCCAGCTCGGGCCTGTTTTTATCTCCATGTCCCGGGAAGTCTCGGCCTCCCTGACACCCTTTTTCTCATGGGAGCATGGAGCTCACAGCAATCCCTCCTGTCCTTTCCCCTGTGACAGCCCTGTTCGCGTGATTGTGGATGGGCTTTGTGACCTGCACAGCGCTGATTCTGGCTTGACGGCCACCACAGCCTCGTAAGGGGAGGCCGCAGTTGCGAGGAAGGGGATGTGCTTAGTTTGTGTTCATGGTTTTACCAGGGTACTAACGGCTGGCGCTGAAAGCTCTTCCCGGGGGACTCTGTTTCGGATTAAACATAAGCACTGTTTCGTCACTGAGAACAGTTGTAAGAATGACTGCAGGAGAGATGATCAGGAAACCAGGTGGGCGAAGCCCACATTCTGCCTAAGAATAAATTATCTGAGCTGTCTCTGGTGAGAATAGACTCTCAAAGGTTTCCAGAACAGAGAGGTGTGGTCCACTTGCTGTGTAGACCAGAAGTAGCTCACAACACGGTTCCCGTGTTAGCACACCTGCTGCAGCTGCATGAACGGGCTCCTTAGGGGCTTCATCTGTAACTCATGGCACATGAAACACGCTGAAGTGTTCCTGAGGGTTTCCCACACCTGAGGCGGCGCGCTGGAGTCAGAACATGGATTCTCTGCCGGGAAAACTGGATAGCCACCTGCAGAAACATAAAACGATACCCTGATCACTCACCATACACAAAAATCAACTCACAACGGATCAAAGACTTAAATATAAGACCTGAAACTACAACTAGAAAAAACTACTAGAAGAAAACAGGGGAAATGCTTCATGACATTGGTCTGGACAAGGGTTTTTTTGGATAAGAACCGGAAAGCACAGGCTACAAAAGCAAAAATAGACAAGAGGGGTGACATCAAACTAAAAAGCTTCTGCACAGCAGAGGAAACAATCAACAGAGTGATGGGATAACCTATAGAATGAGAGAGAATATTTGCAAACCGTACATCTGATAAAAGGTTAATATCCAAAATACATAAGGTGATGGCTGGGTGTGGTGGCTCATGCCTGTAATCCCAGCACTTTGGGAGGCCGAGGCAGGCGGAGCACAAGGTCAGGAGTTCGAGACCAGCCTGACCAACATGGCGAAACCACATCTCTATTAAAAATACAAAAATTAGCCGGGTGTGGTGGCACGTGCCTGTAATCCCAGACTCAGGAGGCTGAGGCAGGAGAATTGCTTGAACCCAGAAGGCGGAGGTTGCAGTGAGGCAAGGTCATGCCACTGTACTCCAGCCTGGGCGACAGAGTGAGACTCTGTCTCAAAAAACAAAACAAAACAAAACAAAAAAAACCAACATGCCGAAGTAGCAGAAAAGTGGTCACTAGAGGCTAGGGAGAGGGTGTTGGGAAGAGATTGCTTCACAGGTACAAAATTCCAGTTAGGAGGAATACGTCCTGGTGTTCCTTTTTTCTTTTTCTTTTTGTTGGGGACAGGGTCTTTCTCTGTTGCCCAGGCTGGAGTGCAGTCCACCTCAGCCTCCCGAGTAGCTGGGACTACAGGTGCACACCACCATGCTCAGCTAATTTGTGTATTTTTGTAGAGATGGGGTTTTGCCATGTTGCCCAGGCAGGTCTGGAACTCCTGGGCTCAAGCCATCTGCCTGCCTTGGCCTCCCAAAGTGTTGGGATTACAGGTGTAAGCCACCATGTCCGGCCAAGTTCTGGTGTTCTGCAGCACAGTAGGGTGACCGTAGCTGGCAATATTATAATCATATTTCCAAATAACAGAGAGTTATGAATGTTCTCACCACAAAGAAATGGATGAGGTATGATGAAATGTATGAGATGCTCGATATGATATATCCCCTGATTGGATCATCACATATTGTATATGTGTAGCAAAACATCCCACCGTACCCCATACAATGTACAACTACTATGTGCCAATTAAATACAACAGAAAAAGAACATGGACTCCCTACTGCCCAGGGGCCAAGAGTGCAAGGGCTTCTGGGTGAGGAGGAAGGAAGCAAGGCTTTGCCTGCTTGGAGCATGTTTCCTTCCTGGGCCCCTGTCCGGTATTTCCTTCCTGGTTTTCTCCTGGGACAAGAGGGTTGGATTGGAAAGCTTCTCACTGCCTGTTTGCCTTCTGTGCATTTGTTTCATATTTGAATGTGGTTTGGAGTTGAACAGGCCTGAGCTCCAATCTCAGATCTGCTGTGTGACTTGATGGACAAGTCACTGAATGTCTCACTTCTCACCTGTGAGGTGGGGACCTTGGACAACAGCTGATTAGGGCTGTGAGGAGGTGACTCCAGGTGAGGGTGACGTGAGCGCTGTGAGGAGGTGACTCCAGGTGAGGGTGACTCGAGGGCTGTGAGGAGGTGACTCCAGGTGAGGGTGACACGAGGGCTGTGAGGAGGTGACTCCAGATGAGGGTGACACGAGGGCTGTGAGGAGGTGACTCCAGGTGAGGGTGACTCGAGGGCTGTGAGGAGGTGACTCCAGGTGAGGGTGACGTGAGCAGGTGACTCCAGGTGAGGGTGACACGAGGGCTGTGAGGAGGTGACTCCAGATGAGGGTGACACGAGGGCTGTGAGCAGGTGACTCCAGGTGAGGGTGACACGAGGGCTGTGAGCAGGTGACTCCAGGTGAGGGTGACACGAGGGCTGTGAGGAGGTGACTCCAGGTGAGGGTGACGTGAGCGCTGTGAGGAGGTGACTCCAGGTGAGGGTGACGTGAGGAGGTGTCTCCAGGTGAGGCCGATGTGAGGGCTGTGAGGAGGTGACTCCAGCTAAGTTTGACTAATTGGTGCCTCAGAGATGGCATCCAGAAACAGCCAGCCTTTAACACTTGAAAGCACGCCCTTGAGAAGAGAGGTTTGACTTTCCTTTCTGTATCTGAAACTTGCCTTCCGTGGCTGCCGCCAGTTGGGAAAACAATTCGCCCTTCTGCAGGAACGTCCCGAGTGTGAATCTCGGCCTTTGTGATCCAGCTGTCTCGCCCGATGCCCTCCTCCTGCTTGGGCAGACACACAGGCTCGCAAGGCCGGTTCTGGAGGCCCTGGCTGCCCCGCCTGTAATGGCTCCAGCAGGAGACCCCCACAACTGCCCCCTGTTGCTCAGTCTGCGCTCATACAGGGCAAATGGATGCAAACTGAGCTGTGCAGTGTGGTGGGACCCTACCTCACAGGTGGGGTGTCGAATGAGAGCTGCCAGCCTCCATGCAACGTTCAGGTGACAGGCCCAGCTGAGCTCTGGGCTCAGGTGCACACTGGGGTGTAAAACTACAAGGCTTCACAGCCAGGGTCCTGGTCCCCTCTGGGGCTGAGGAGCAGGAGGTGCGTCCGAGGCCTCTGGGGGCGGGGGAGGGTGTTTCTGGACCTGGGTGGCGGTCCCGGCTGCATGGGCCAATGCTTCATGGTCATTGGGAAGCCGGGCACGTCTGTCTCATGTGCATGTTTGTGTGTGTATTATATTGTGTTGTGGGTTCAGATGTGGTCTCACCCCCAAATTCATGTGTTAAAGTCCTAACACCCAGGACATCAGCATGTGACCTTATCTGGAGACACAGTCTTTACAGATGATCAAGTTAAAGGTCATTAGGGCAGACTTAATCCAGTATGCCTGGTGTCCTTATAAAAAGGCAGACTTTGCACACAGAGACACACACGGAGAATGCCGTGTGCAGGTGAAGGCAGAGGTGGGGTGAGGCTTCCACAAGCCAAGGAACTCCAAGGGCGGCCACCAAAGCACCTGAAGCCAGGGGAGAGGCCTGGGACAGAGTCCCCTTGCAGCCTGAGATGGAATCCACCCTGCCCATGCCTGGATCTCAGACTCCTGGCCTCCAGAACTGTGAGAGAATACCTTTCTGATGTTGAAGCCACCAAGGCTGTGGGACTTTGTTACAGTGGCCTCAGGATACATAAAAAGTCTTGCATTCAAATCTCGGGCCGGGTACTTTGATTTAAATCGGGGTGGACAATGGAACCGAGGTCCCAAACCTGAATTCCCTGGGTCATTCTCTCGACCACCTCTTTTGGTCTGCGAAGCTCCGAAAAGAAGTTTTGCTCCCGAGGGAAAGGCCACGATGCAGTAGAAGCGACACTCACTGGTGAGTCCTGGTTCAGGCTTACCCCATGCCCTGGAGTTCTGATCTGGGGAATTTGAGGCTGCTGTCTTAGCGGCCCCCAGTGACATGAGGGGTGGCGCAGACTGTGTCTCACAGGGCATTAAGCAAAGTTCTTAATAAGGGCCTTTTATGGAGCAGTGGGAATGAGACCTGCCAGGCTTGGCTGGGAGTCTATCAGGCCCTCAACATGGGCTGTGGTGGCAGCAGCCACCTCATAGTGTCGTGTACAGCCATCTATTACCATGTAGGGTTCAGGCATTGCTGGCTCAGCCCGGACATCCCCGCACTCCTCGGCTGGGGCAGCAGCACGGTTGGTGACCAGGCCTGGCTGCAGGTCCTGAAGGGAGAAGGGCCTGGCTTCGTCCCAGCTCACCCTTGCTGACTGTGCTGCTCCTGTCAAGTTCCTTCAGGTCAGTTTCCTGCAGCTGCCACACAAAGCACCACAGACCCGGGGTCTTGAACAACAGGAATTTATTTTCCTGCAGTTTTGGAAGCCAGAAGCCCCAAGTCGAGGTGACGGCAAGGTTGGTCCCTGTGGAGGGCTGCGAGGAAGGCCTCATTCCTGGCTTGCGCTTCTCCTTCTTGGCCTGCAGCTCCTGTCCGGCGGCCCCTCCTATAGCAACAGATTGCCCTGTTTTCCAGGAACAGGCCCCTCCCTTTGCCCCTTCAGGCCTAGAAGTGGTGTCGTCTCCTCCTGCTGACCTGGAGAGCTTCATCTGCCCCTGAGGCTTCCTGGAAGCCAGCCCACGTGGGTGCAAAAGTCCATCCCGTGAACCGTCTCCATTGCCCCTCTGAGTGAGGCACACAGGCAGCCTTGCAGGTTTTTCCTGAATGCACAATGATTCTGGAATTACCCAGTGCCCAGCTTGGTGCTTGGCTTAGAAAGTGTGCAGCCAGTGTTCCCTGAATCAAATTCAAGATTTTCAAAGGGCCTGAGGTCCTTTGGATGAAAGCATTTAAAAAGTGCAAAGGTGTGTGATTATGCACACATCATTCATCTGGGGAGTCTTGGAATTGCAGCTGGCAGGAGCTCCCTGGCTTTCTGGAGTCTTGTTTGTTTTCTGTAATGAGAGCAAATGCCCTCTCGTGGCCTGGCCTGAGTTTCCTTTACCGGCGCTTTTCTATATGATCAACATTACATGAGTAGGGTTGGGGCAAATCTACCTGAGGATAAAAATGCCTGGAAGCCCAAGGGAAAAGAGCAAGTCTGGGTTTGGCTTCCCAGAATGTTGCAGGGTCGGGGTGGATTGCAGGCAGCCACTCCTGGCACTGGCCTAGAAGGTGACACTTCTTGGAGAGAAGAGGAATGAGGTAGTGATGGAGGCTGCGAAGGCACAGAATCACTCACCAATGTGCCAGGTGAACAGCCCCAGAGACCCTTTCTGAAGGCTACTGGGGGCGAGCCTCTCCCTGCCTCAAGAACCCGCTGTGGCTCCCCACTGCCTGTAGAGTAAGGCCTGAAGCCTTCAGAACCCTCCCAGCCCATCTCGCCAGCCTCACGCCCACTGTGCCACTCCCTGCCCACTGCACAGCAAACCCCTCCCTGAATTATTTACGGTTTCCTAAATTTATGGTGCCGTTCCACCCCTGAGCCTTTGTGCTGTGGGCTCAGCTTGTGATGCTGTCGCTTGCAATTAAACTAATCTCAACATATAGAAAAATGTCAAGGGTAAAAGAAAGAACAGCTCACTCCTTTGTAAGTGAGTGACTGAGAGCTTCCACAGGGAAGGCACTGACCCTGGGACCTGAGTTCCGGAATCAGGGATAAGGCCTTGCTCTCTGTGGCTGCCCAGTGCCCCTACTGATCCGGCTGCCTTCTTGGTGGGCCAGACCCTGGTGAGAACCCCTAGATTTGGAGTCAGGCAGGCGTGGGATCCAACCCCAGCTCTGCCACTTGAGAGCAATGGGGCCCTGAGTCAGTCCCTTTTGGAACCTCAGTCTCTTCATCTGTGAAATGGTGGTGCTGATGCCTGCCACACAAGACCCAAGGAGGTGACTGGTGTCAAGAGGTGGCATGAAGGCCAGCACACAGGACTTGCTCAGTCAATGGTTCTTGTGATTTTAGGGCTGGTGTTTGGCAGTAGAGCGTGACTCCTGTGTCTGTCTTGGGGCAGATTTTAGGGGACTTGCTTTGCAAAGTCATGGTAGTAAGATCCTTGAATCGGAGGTTGGCCTATGAACTAATGATAATCCGCTTAGCTAGATTTCAGTCTCCTCCAGTCCGCCTGGACTTAAGAGATGGTCTGTTCCTATCTGTTCCCAGAACCTATGATGGGGCTGAACTTGCAGGTGGCAGCCAGAGACCCCCATGCTGAACTCAGTTCCATAAAAATCTATGAAGGCTATTCTGTGTGATCATGAAGGGGCATAACTCCCAGGCTGTGTCCTGGGGCAGCTCGTGGTCCAGTGGGAGAGACAGACATGCAAACAGACAGTGACAACATAGAGAGATGGGACCTGCAGGAGGCTGCAGGAAGTGGTGGTGGTGGGGAGAAGCGTGAACCTGGTCAGGATGTGAGTGGTCACGGCAGACTTCCCGGAGGAAGTGATGTTGAATGAGCATCAATTTTAAAAGCAGAGTAGGGAGGAATTAAACAGGGCAAAAGAGCAGGGCAATGCAAGCAAAATAATTACCCAAGAACTACCGCAGGACGTGGAGGCGGTGGGAGAGGGATGGTGGGAACCTCAGCACTTTAGTGTTGGACAAGTCACTTCTTTTTACCTGTACGACTTCCAGGTGAGCAGATCAGAGAAAGGATAATGTTCTCCAGTTGAGAAAGAAAGCGTCCTGGCTGGGCGCGGTGGCTCACGCCTGTAATCCCAGCACTTTGGGAGGCCAAGGTGGGCAGATCACGAGGTCAGGAGATGGAGACCATCCTGGCTAACACAGTGAAACCCCGTCTCTACTAAAAATACAAAATTAAAATTAGCTGGGCATGGTGTTGGGTGCCTGTAGTCCCAGCTACTCGGGAGGCTGAGGCAGGAGAATGGCGTGAATCTGGGAGGCGGAGCTTGTAGTGAGCCGAGATGGCGCCACTGCACTCCAGCCTGGGCGACAGAGCGAGACTCTGTCTTAAAAAAAAAAAAAAGCATCCTGAGGCCACCCATGGTTAGGGCAGGATTGAGACTGGAAGCCACTTCTCCAGTTGTCTCTAAGGCAGGCTGAGCAAACAGACCCCGATTCAAACTTCAGATTGTCTTAGTCTCCTAGAGCTGCCATAACAAAACCCCACTGATGGAGTGGCCTAAACAACAGACATGTATTTATTACAGTTCTGGGGGCTGGAAGTATGAGATCAGGGCACCAGCATGGTCAGCTCCAGCGAGGGCTCGCTTCCTGGCTTGCAGACAGCTGCCTTCTTACTGCATCTTCACATGGTAGAGAGAGAGAGAGAGTGGCAGAAAGCAAGAGAGCATGAGCAAGCTCTCTGGAGTCTCTTCTTACAAGGCAGCAATCCCATCAGATCAGGACCCCACCCTCATGACCCCTTCTAACTCTAATCACCTCCCAAAGGCCCCATTTCCAAACACCATCCCCTTGAGTATTTGGGTTAGAATTTCAGCATATGAACTTTGGGGGCCACAAATGTTCAGTCTATAACAGAAGGGAAGACTCAGCTTCTGGCCCGTTTGCCTCTAGGCCTCTCAGAGCACAGTGAAATCAGCTTTCTCATGTATTTGAAATTTGCTGATTTTACCAAATGTGATCAGCCACAGGAACGCTCACGTCCTCGACTCTGTCCTCTCCCTCCTTCCCTGTCATGCTGGTCTCCAGCACCGATGAGGGGAATTGCACACTGCAAAAGATCTGTGCTTTGGAGAGGATAAAACACCCTCTAAATGCACATTATTGTTATTTTTTTTACGGGCACCCGAGCAAAACTGTCTGTTCATAAGAGCTAATTTAGTTAGATCAGGAATAAGTGCTACTTGAGATGAAAACTCATTCTCCTTTGTGATATTTTCTTTTGGGTATAAATCAAGAGAAGGGCTTTTAAAATATTTTTAGTATAAATGTATTTCAATCATATGGTCAGTCACCTCTTGGCACAGTTATCTAATAGATCTCCATGTGATTACTGAAATTGAACTTGCCTTGACAGCTCAGCCATCCTTTTCTCCATTCAAGCCGTATTTGATTTCATCGATTTGGAAAGGGAGCAGGGAAAATCACCTATGACTCTGCATGGAAAATCTGATGTCCTGCAGGCTGATAGAGGATTCCATTGCAGACCTGATCTCTATGTGGAATTGGAAATCAGCATTGTAGTTTCAGGTAGGGACTCCATAAAAGTTCTGTCTCCCGTCTCCTTCTGTCCCTCCCCAAAATAGCTCTTTCTGTTATATACAGTGCTAGGAATTTACCCATGCAGCATGTAACCCCTAAGCCTTCCACTAAAGTCAAATGTCTCTAAGAGGGTGAACACCTTAAACCAGGACTATAAATATGCCACACAGATGCTGACATTTCCAAGCCCAGGGCAGACACTGCTAATCAATCAGGCACAGTTTCCCACAAAGGCTTGATTTTGACAGGCAGCTCCAGGCAGACATTCCCAGTGGATCAGAGTCATGGGTCGAAACTATTAGTCATCCCGGCCTGAAACCATGGTGGAGATGGAGATGATGAAGAGGAAAGCATTCAGCTTCCAAAAGCCCTGCTTTCTCTCTTTTGATGTTTCTCCTTCTTCTTTCTTCTTTCTTCTTTCTCCTTCTTCTTGCTCTGCCACCCAGGCTGGAGTGCAGTGGTGAGATCACGGCTCACTGCAACCTCTGCCTCTTGGGATTGAGCTATTCTTCCACCTCAGCCTTCTGAGCAGCTGGGACTACACGTGCACACCACCATACCCAGCTAATTTTTGCATATTTTGCAGAAGCAGGTTTTGCCAAGCTGCCCAGTTTGGTCTAGAACTCCTGGGCTCAAGTGATTTGCCTACCTCAGCCTCCCAAAGTGCTGAGATTATAGGCATGAGCCATAGTGCCCAGTTTGTGGTTTCTTTGTTTGTTTGTTGTTTGTTTGTTTGTTTTAGATGGAGTCTCGCTCTGTTGGCCAGGCTGGAGTGAAGTGGTGTGATCTCAGCTCACTGCAACCTCCACCACCCGTGTTCAAGTGACTCTCCTGCCTCAGCCTCCCAAGTAGCTGGGATTACAGGTGCCTGCCACCAAGCCCTGCTAATATTTTTGTATTTTTAGTAGAGATGGGGTTTCACCATGTTGGTCAGGCTGGTCTCGAACTCCTGACCTCAGATAATCCACCCTCCTCGGCCTCCCAAAGTGCTGGGATTACAGGCGTGAGCCACCGTACCCGGCCTCTGTTGTTTCATTTCTAACATAAAGTCCACCACACCTTTCCCCCCAATATTTACCATGACATTTTGATTTCTGTTCTAAGCAGATTCACTCTAAGTAGTCTTTCTCCTGTTACTGGTTTTACTCATGTAACAGGAGCCTCTTGTTATAAAAAAGGCAAGGAGCTTGCAGTACAGAAAGGGCAGTCAGGGACCAGTGGGTCACTGGTACAATGTCTGATTTTCTAGAAAAGATAAAACCATCCACCAAATGACTCTGGCTGACTCAGAAAGGGGTCTCCAGTTGATGAATTGGGGGAGACAATGAGGTTTTGGCTCAAACACAGATCTGGCTCATCTGAACAGAACCAGTTGGTACTGAGCCCTTATGGGGCCAGTCCTGGGTTGGGGAGCAGGCATGAACTGGGCATAGACCCTGCATCCCTTTCCTGAGGCTGCCGTAACACGAGACCACAAACTGGGCAGCTTAAAACAACAGAAATTCACTCTCTCATAGTTCAGGAGGCTGGAGGTCCAAAGTCAAGGTGTTGGCAGGGTCACCTCCTTCTAAGGCTGGGAGGGAATCTGCTCCAGGCCTCTCTCCTGGCAGTTTCTGGCAATCTTGATGTTCCTTGGCCTGTAGACGCGTCACTCCAGTCTAGGCATCTGTCTTCACACGGCCCTCCTCTCTGCATCTCATTTTCTGTCTCTTGTAAGGAAACGTGTCATTGGATTTAGGGCACCCCATTAACCAAGCCAAGGCAGAGAAGGTGTGTGCCTCTGAGCAGTGGGCAGGAAGCTCAGGGCAGGAGCACGTATCAGAACTGAGTCCTGAAGACGGGCTGGGAAGTGGGAAGGTGGAGTGAGAGGAGCTGCGTTGCAGGGCACAGGGGATGTGAGAGGGCACCATGGCTCAAGGACAGCTCTTCTCCCTCTGCTCATGGCAGAGTGAGGGCGAACTCCTGCGGCAGGGGCATCTGGGCCGACTCTGTGGTCATGAGCTGGGTTAGGATAGGGGGTCAGGAGTGTGGACGGGGCTGCGGGATGTGGAGTTCAAAGCTCAACTCTTAACATGTAGCAGCTCATGTGACTTTGGACAACATCCTCGACACCACGAAGCGTTACTCTTCTCACCTGTGAAATGGAATGACAGCGACCATCCCCACCTCACAGGGAGAGGAGTGCTGACGAGGGTAAAGGAAGGGAAACAGGAGAGACACAGTGACCTTTCAGCCGTCATTAGCCACTTGCACTATTATTTCAGGCTTGTACCCCCAGCTGCTAGCACGGAGCTGGCACGGCCTAGACGCTCAAGAAATGGCAATTGAACGAACAAACAATAAAAGCCCAAAGCACATTGCTTTCTTAAAAAAAAGGCAGCTTTGGCCAGGCGCGGTGGCTCACGCCTGTAATCCCAGCACTTTGGGAGGCCGAGGCGGGCGGATCACGAGGTCAGGAGATAGAGACCATCCTGGCTAACACGATGAAACCCGGTCTCTACTAAAAATACAAAAAATTAGCCGGGCGTGGTGGCAGGTGCCTGTAGTCCCAGCTACTCGGGAGGCTGAGGCAGGAGAATGGCGTGAACCCAGAAGGCAGAGTTTGCAGTGAGCCGAGATCGCGCCGCTGCACTCCAGCCTGGGTGACAGAGCGAGACTCCGTCTCAAAAAAAAAAAAAAAAAAAAAAAAAAAAGGCAGCTTCATTGAGGTGTAAGTTATGCACCATGAAATCACTCATTATTCAATGGTTTCTAGTCAGTTTACGGATTTGCGCACCCCTCCTGACGTCCAGTTTTGGAATACGTCCATCACCCCAGTTCGTGTCCTTGCTGTCACTCACAGTTCCCACGCCCAGCCCCAGGGAACCATTGACCCGCTTCCTGTTTCTATAAATTTGCCTTTTTGGGGCATTTCAAATAAATGGAGTCACACAATATGTAGTATTCTTTGGCTGGTTTTCTTGTATGTGGCAAAATGTTTTTGAGGTTGACGTGTGCTGTAGCATGGATCAGTTACTCATTTCTTTTGATTGATAAATAGAATTTCATTGTATCCGTCTGCCACTTTTTATTTATCCATTCCTCAGTTGATGGCATTTGGATGGTTGCCAGTTTTTGGCTACTGTGAAAAATATTGCTATGAGCATTCACATGCAAATCTGTGTGGGTTTGCATGTTTTATTTCTCTTGGGTAGATTCTTAAGAGTGAAATTGCTCTCACATCCCTGTGATATGGTACTATTATCATCATGCCATTTCACAGATGAGGAGAGTAAGGCTTGACATGTTGAGTAGGGTAGCTCACACCTGTAATCCCAGCACTTCGGGAGGCTGAGGCTGGAGGACTGCTTGAGTGCAAGAGTTTGAGACCATCCTGGGCAACATAGTGAGACCCTGTCTCTACAGAAAATAAGAAAAATTATCTGGGCGTGGTGGCACGTGCCTGTAGTCCCAGCCACTTGGGAGGCTGAGGTGGGAGGATTGCTTGAGTCTGGGAGGTCAAGGCTGCAGTGAGCCAGGATTGTGCGACTGCCCTCCTGCCTGGGCAACAAAGCAAGACCCTGTCTCAAAAAAATAATTAAAAATAAGAGATGTTGAATATATTGTGCAAAGTTCAAGTTAACCTTTTAAAAAACTAAGTTTATTTTTTATTTTTAATTTTTTTTTGTAAGACAAGGTATCATTTTGTTGCCCAGATTGGAGTGCAGTGGCATGACCTTTGCTCACCAAAACTGCTGCCTCCTAGGCTCAAGCGATTCTTCTGCTTCAGCCTCCCAAGTAGCTGGGATTACAGGTGCACACAACTATCGCCCAGCTAATTTTTGTATTTTTAGTAGAGATGGGATTTCACCATGTTGGCCAGGCTAGTCTTGAACTTCTGACCTCAAGTGATCCACCCACCTTGGCCTCCCAAGTGCTGGGATTACAGGCATGAGCCAGCATGCCTGGCCTAGAAACTAAGTTTTTTCCCAGTGTGGCTGTGCCCTTGTACATTCCCACCAGCCACGTATGAACTTCTAGTTTCTTTAATCTTTTTCACATCTGTTTTTTCATTATACTCACCTTTGTGGATGTGTGATAGCAACTTGTTTTCATTTTAATTTGCATTTCCCTAATGACTAACAACATTGAGCATCTTTTCCTGTGCTTAGTAGCCATTTACATAGGTCTACTTTAGTGAGATGTCTATTTAATTATATTGCCCATGTTTAATTTTTTTTGTCTTCTTAAGTTCTAAGAGTTCTTTATATATTCTGGATACAAGTGTATCCTTTTCCCATTGAATTGTTTTGGCACTTTTATCAAAAGCTAATTACCCATAATGTTTGTAATTCTGTTACAATTCTGTTCTGCTGATCTATACATCTATTCTTCCATGAATGCTCCGCTGTCTTGATTATTAAGGCATAATATTAAGATTGAAATCAGGGAGTATAAATCTTCCATGTCCTTTGCCTTTCCGTATAAAATTTAGGACCAGCTTATCAGCTTCTACAAAAAGGTTCGATAGTATTTTGACAGGGATCACATTGAATTTATAGGTCACTTTGTGGAGAATTTGCTATCTAGACGATATTGAATCTTCCAATCCATGAACACGGAATGTTCTTCCATTTGTTTATGTCATCTTTAATTTCTCTCAACAATGTTTGGTAGATTTCAGTGAAGATCTTGCACTTTTGTTAAATTTATTCCTAAGCATTTTATTCTTTCTGATGCTATTGTGAATGGAATTGTTTGCTTAACTTTATTTTTGGATTGTTTGTTGCTATTATATAGAAATACAATTGGTTTTTGCATATTGATCTTCTATTGTACAATCTTGCTAAACTTGTTTATCCTATGAGGTTTTTTTTTTTTTTTTTTTTTTTTTTGAGATGGAGTCTCGCTCTGTCATCCAGGCTGGAGTGCAGTGGCGCGATCTCGGCTCACTGCAAGCTCTGCCTACTGGGTTCACGCCATTCTTCTGCCTCAGCCTCCCGAGTAGCTGGGACTACAGGCACCCACCACCACGCCTGGCTAATTTTTTTGTATTTTTAGTAAAGATGGGGTTTCACCGTGTTAGCTAGGATGGTCTCGATCTCCTGACCTCGTGATCCACCCACCTCAGCCTCCCAAAGTGCTGGGATTACAGGTGTGAGCCACCGTGCCTGGCCTATCCTATGAGTTTTTAAATGGATCTGTTGGGATTTTCTATATTAAGAATCACATCATCTATGAGTAAAAGTATTTTATTTCTTCACTTTGAATCTTGATACTTTTTATTATTTTGCCATATTGCCCTAGTTAAACCTCTAGTAGTTTGTCGATTAAAAGTGGTGAGAGTAGACATCCTCGCTGTGTTCCTGGTCAAGAGGGGAAAGCTTTCTGTGTTTTTTCATCACTGAGTGTGATCTTTGCCATGGGTTTTTTGTAGATCCCCTTTTCCAGGCTGAGAAAGTTCCCTTCTATTTCTAGTTTGTTGAGAGTTAAAAAAAAAGTCAATAGGTACTGAATTTTAAAAAATGCATTTCCTTTGAGACAGTCGTGTGTTTTTCTCCTTTGTTCTATTAATATGATGTATTAGATTAATTGATATTTGGATGTTAAACTAGGCTTGCATTTTCAGGATAAATCCCACTTGGTCTTAGTGTCTAGTCCTTTTTATATGTTGCTGGATTCAGCTGGCTAATATTTTGTTAAGAATTTTAGCATTTGTTTAATGATGAATATTGGTCTGTGGTTTTCTTCTAATGTTTTCGTCTGGCTTTGGTTAGGATAATACTAGCTTCATACAACGAGTGAGAAGTGTTCCCTCCTCCTCTATTTTCTAAAAGAGTCTGTGAAGGATTGGTATTATTTCTTCTTTAAATATTTGTTAGGATTCACCAATGAAGCTATGTGGATCTGGCTTTTCATTGTGGAGAGATTTTAAATTATTAACTCAATTTCCTTTATATTGTTGCAAGTCTGTTCAGATTTTATATTTTATCTTGAGTCAGTTTTTGTAATCTGTGCATTTCCAGGAATGTGTTCATTTATCTAAGTTGTCTAATTTGTTGGTATTGCATTGTTTACAGTATTCTCTTATAAGCCATTTAATTTCATATGATTGGCAACGATGTTCCTTTTCTCATGCCTGATTTTGGCAATTCTTATCTTTTCTCCTCCTTTTTTTTTTTTTTGGCTCATCTAGCTAAAAGTTTATCAGTTTTGTTATCTCTTTAAAGACCCACCTTTGGGTTTCATTTATTTTCTCTTTTGCTTTTCTGTTTTCTATTTTGCTGATTTTTGTTATAATCTTTCCCATTTTCTTTCTTCTGCTTGCTTTTTGTTTAGTTTGCTCTTCTTTTTCTAGCTCATTTAGATAGATGCTTAAGCTATTTAAGACCTTTCTTTTCTTCTGACATAGGTGTTAAAAGGTATAAGTTCCCCTCTATGCACTGCTTAGCCGTGTGCCATTCATTTTCATATATTGTTAGAATTTTTCATCCGCTTCAAAATATTTTGTAATTTCTCAGGTAATTTCTTCTTTGACCGTTGAGTTATTTAGAAATGTGCTGCTCATTTTTGAAATATTTGGGCTTTCATAGACTTTTGTTAATGTGTGATTTAATTTCACTATGGCTAAGGACCATGCTTTGTGTGATTTCAGTCTGTTTACATTAACGAGGCTCATTTTAAGGCCTAGTAATGTTCTGTCCTGGAGAATGGTCTATGTGTGCTTGAAAAAAATTGTGTATCCTGCAGTCATTAGGCTAGTTAGGTTGAGTTGGTCAATAATGTGTTTAAGTCTTCTATATCTTTGCTGATTCTTAACCTAGTGGTTCCATTGGTGATTGAGAGTGGGATTTGAAATCTCCAACTATTGTCCTTTTAATTCCATTAGTTTTTGTGTCATGTATTTTGAAGCACTGTTATTAGGGGTGTATACATTTATAATTTTTATATCTTCCTGATGTATTAACTCTTTTATCATTATGAAATGTTCTTCTTTGTCTCTAGTAATATTTCTTATCTACAAGTTTATTTTGTTTAATATTAAAATTATCACTCCCAGCTCTCTTATGATTTATTTTTTCATGGTATATTATTGTCCAGTCCTTTTACTTTCATCCTATTTGCATTTTTGAATCTAAGATATGTCTCTTGTAGATAGTATATAGTCACATCACTTGTTTATGCAGTCTGGCAATCTCTGCTTTTGGCCTTTTTAGACTATTCACATTTAATGTACTTTATATTACATTATGCTTACATATACCATTTTGGGTTTTCTATACATCTCTTTTGTTGTTATCTTTTTCCTTTGTTCCTTCTTCATTACTTTTGTTTCTTTTAAATAAATATTTTTAGTATCCCATTTTAATTCCTGTTTTTTTTTTAAACCTTGTATTTTGAGTTATTTTCTTAATGATTGCTTTAAGGACTACAAAATACTTTTAACTTGTCATAATCCACTTCAGATTAATACTAACTTAATTAATCTGACCAAATACAGGAGGTTTGCTTCAATATAGCTTCATTCTTTTCCCCTTGTACTATTATTGTCACATATATATTACATATATATTATCTAAATATCTGTATCTATATATTTTTCTTATAAACCCAACAGTGTAGTGTTATAATGATTACTCAAGTCTTTTAAAGAATTTAAGAGAAAAATATATTTACAGAGTGTTTTGTATTAACAGTAATATTTACCATTTCTTTTTTTTTTTTTTTTTTTTTTGAGACGGAGTCTCGCTCTGTTGCCCAGGCTGGAGTGCAGTGGTGTGATCTCGGCTCACTGCAACCTTCACTTCCCAGGTTCAAGCAATTCTCATGCCTCAGCCTCCCAAGTAGCTAGGACTACAGGCACGTGCCACCACACCCAGCTAATTTTTGTATTTTTAGTAGAGGTGGGGTTTCACCACGTTGGGCAGGTGGTCTCAAACTCCTGGCCTCAAGTGATCTGTCCACTTTGGCCTCTCAAAGTGCTGGGATTACGAGTGTGAGCCACTGTGCCTGGCCTAACATTTAGCATTTCTAAGGCTTTTAATTTCTTCTTGTGAATTTAAGTTTCCATCCATCTGCTATCATTTCCTTTCAGCCTCATGGGCTTCCTTTGGTATTTCTTGAAAGGCAAGCCTGCTAGCAATGAATTCCAACAATATTTGTTTATCTGAGAATGTCTTTATTTCACTTTTGTTTTTGGAGGATAGTTTTGCTGGATATAGAAATATTGGATGAGTTTTTTCTTTTTTTGCATTTTGAATATGTCATTCTACTGCCTTCTGCCCTCTGTTTTTTTCTGTGATGAGAAGTCAGCTGCTTATCACATTGTTGTCCCCTAATACACAATGAATTGTTTTTATCTTGCTTCCTTCATGATTTTCGCTGTCTTTCAATCATTTGATTATGATGTGTCTAGGTGTATATCTCTATGTATTTAACCTACTTGGGGTTGTTAAGTTTTTTCAAATGTTTGGATTAAAGTTTTTCATCAGTTTTGGAAATGTTTTGGCCATTATTCCTTCAAGTATTTTTTGCATCCTCTTTCTCTCTCTCCTCTCCTCTGGAACTCTTCTGAAATGCATATTGACATGCTTGATGTTCTACAGGCTGTTGAGGCTCTATTAATTTTTCTTCACCCTTCTGTTCTCTTTGTTCTTCATATTGGTTAATTTTTATTGCTCTGTTTTCATGCTTGCTGATTCTTCTACTATCTCAAATCTGCCACCGAGCCCTTCTGGTGAATTTTTCCCATTAGTGTACTCTTCAACTCTGGAATTTTCATTTGGTTTGAAAATATTATTTCTACCCCTTTATTCAGATTCTCTATTTATTGATTTATTATTATTGTTGTACTTTCTGTTAATTATTTGATTATGTTTATAATAGTTGCTTTGAAGTTTTTCACTACCAAATCTAACTTCTGGAGATCCTCAGAGACTAGTTTTCCCTCCCTCTGACCCCCAGAGTATAGGTCATATATGCCTATTTTTTTGCATTTCTCTTTTTTTTTGTTGTTGAAAACTGGAAATTTTAGGTAACATATTATATCAGCTTTGGATTTTGATTTTCCCCAAGAAGGTTGTTACTGTTTGTTGCTTGTTCATTTGTTTAGTAACTTGCCTGTGCTAACTCTAGGAAATTCATTTTCCTTGCTGTGTATAGCTGCTGATGCTCAGATTAAAAATATATATATATTTCTGGCTGGGTGTGGTGGCTTACACCTGTAATCCCAGCACTTTGGGAGGCCAAGGCAGGCAGATCATTTGAGGTCAGGAGTTCTAGACCAGCCTGGCCAACATGGTGAAACCCCCTCTCTACTAAAAACACAAAAATTAGCCGGGCGTGGTGGCACGCGCCTGTAGTCCCAGCTACTCAGTAGGCTGAGTCAGCAGAATCGCTTGAACCAGGAGGTGGAGGTTGCAGTGAGCCAAGATCACGCCATTGCACTCCAGCCTGGGCGACAGAGTGAGATTCTGTCTCTCTCCCTCTCTCTCTCTCTCTCTTTTTATATATATATATATATATATATATATATATATATATACACACACACACACACACACACATATATACATACACATATATACACATATATATACACACATATATGTATATACACACTATATATACACACATATATACACACACACATATATACACAGACACACACACATATATATATACGTATTTATATATTTATATATATATTTTTTAAAGCCTGGCTTCTGTGCCCCTGTGTGTCCATAGTATAGAGGTCAGCCAGTGTTTGATCAGAGGTTATTCTCAAACACCTCAAGCTCATAAGACTTCTATATTCTGTTAAAGACCTGTACACAGGTAGGGGAGCACATTCATAATTCTGGCCGTTTCCAAGTCTGCCTGGCTTTTACTTTTTACTAGGCTGTTCATGTTTCCTGTGTGTGTGCACGTGGCCTTAGGGTCAGCTAGCTAGAAATCATGGCTGGCTTGGATCCTTTCCAGTCTCCATCATGCATAGACACAGCCCCAGCCATTCCACACAGCCTGTCAGATTGCCACTTTTGCTGAGAAAGCCATTAGACGTGAGCATTACCCATTGCTCCAAATTGTGTGATTCCTGTCAACTGTGGCCCACCAGCTGCTGGTCCTCAGGGCCTGTCCTGCCCTAAAGAATCTCTAAGTCTATCCAGCTGGGAGGGCAGTATCGGAACAGCCCTGGGCCAGAATTTTACAAACTCCCACTGTTTCTAACTGAAATTCAGCAGTTTTCAAGAATAAGCACTTCTCAGATTGGTGCATGCTTTTGGATGATTTTCAGAGTGTGGAAATGGCTGGTCTTTTTGGTCAATTTTGTGCAGCTGTATAATTGACTTTTGGGGAGAGGATTTGTCAACCTCCTCGCTTGGCCATAGCTGGGAGTCCAGAAGTACTTTCCTGACTGGAAAATGCGGTGGGCAAGATGAATGTCTTGGCAGGATAGGGTAGGGGAAAAGTGGTTGGATATGAGGCTGAAAAGGTTGCCTGGGGCTAAATGAAACCTCATTTAGTAGAGGAGAAAAGAGGTAGCACCCTTGGGGAAAGGGATTTTCCCAAGTTCTCAAACCTCAGTCAATGAAGAGATGACACTGGAACCTGGATCTCTTGACTCCCAATCAATTGCTCCCCCCGCCATCTACCAAATTGCGTTAGTAGTTGTAGTTTAGAAGTCCACATCCAGTTTTCAGTATGAAAGGCTCATCCATCCATCCATCCATCCATCCATCCATCCATCCATCCATCCATCCATCCATCCATCCATCCATCCATCCATCCATCCATCCATCCATCCATCCATCCATGCATCCATCCATCCATTCATCCATCCATCCATCCATCCATCCATCCATCCATCCATCTACCCATCCATCCATCCATCCATCCATGCATCCATCCAACAAATACTGACTGAGTTCCCACTGTGTGCCCAGCATTGCACACAGCTCTGGCAATACAGAGGTAAATGAAAACTGACAGAGTCCCAGGGCTTATGACCCTTATAGTCTTAGATTGGGGACACTTCAGTTGCCAGAAAGGGCCTTGCAAGAGCTAGTTTGAAGAAATGTCTCATGCTGATTTGTTAGTGTTGACTAAGGCTATAGCCCTTTCCAGGAAAAACAGTGAGTTTTAATTGACTCCCAAGCTGAAATGTCTCAAGCCATGATTTTCAACCAAAATTTTCTTTGTGAAAAATTGCAAATGTGCAGCACATTTAAATAAAAAATCAATTTCATAGTCAAGAGTTTGGTAGCAAAAATGTTGACTTCCAAAATGAATCTCAAGGGCAAGAATACCGTGAGTTCTCTTTCAAAATGTCTGTTAAACTTGAGGGCTTTGAAAATCTCTCCTTCAGAGAAATCTATCATCATGAGGCCATTGGCCCTTCACGGTGAGACTGCCATGGAGCGGCCTGATACTTAAACACTTGCCAATTACTGCTAGCTTCCTATGCGATGCCAAGCAACCATATGGAAACTGAAAAATTCAGCAAAAATCTGGATGCCTTTTCTATATGACAACAAATAATCAGATATTTGGAAACAAGAGATTATTTTTTAACTAAATCTTGAGTCATCCTCTGGAAATTTCTAAACACAACCTCAGAGGAAGTTATGGTGTTACCCATTTCATCCCGTCCTTCTCTGTTTTCTTCCTGGGTGATCTCATTCAATAATCATGCCCAAATCTGTATCCCAAGCCCTTAAAATCTCCTGGTCACCACTTCCAAAGGCCTCCCAAGCTTCCCTGATAGCAAGCCAACACTTTAGGCAAATTCATTCAGACGAATAAATTCTTCCCTCTCTCTTCCTTCTGCCTTACTCAGCACGTATTTCCATAATGGTCTGTGGTCTCTAGGGCTCACCAAATGTCCAAGTGCTCCCACATCTCCCAGCCTTGCTTGTAGGTAGAGGCCATGAACCTGGGTCTGGCCACTGGGATGTGAGGGATGGAGCGATTTCTAGGACCCATCCTTATAAAACATCCTGTGTGATTCTCTAGCTCTCTCTTCTCCTGTTATGTGACTTTAGAGGCCTCTTGTTCCAGATTGCAAAGCTACAGAATGGAGAAAGCCACCTGACTTTGCATTTGCATCAGACTTTGTGAATGAGTGAAATGAACCTTGCTTGGGTTACACCACTGAGATTTGGGGTTAATCTGCTGCTGCAGCCCAGCCTGGCCTATCCTGACTCATACCTCCAGGATGTCCCACAGACACCTCAGAGGCTACACGTTCACAGTTGCACCAGGCACTTTCTCCTTTACGTGTTCCTGACCTGGGGAAGTGGCATCATCGTTCCTCCTACCACTTCCTGGTTGTGTTTGACTCCTCCGTTTCTCACTTTGCACAAGAGGTGGTTCTGGGGACCCACCTCTATCTCCTCCTCTCCACACCTCCCCATGGCCTCCAAGCTTTCAGAAGCTGCCAGCATTAACTTTTAAAAACACAAACCTGACCATGCCATTCCTTTTCTTAAAATCCCTAGAAGGTCGTCTTTGAAGTCAGAATAAAGCACAAACCCTTTAGCACCCAAGACCTGTGGCCTTTGGGCCTGCCTCCCTCCAGTCTCTTGGCCTTTGTCCCTGTGTGTGCTGCACTCTCTGTTTCACCTCACCTGGGTTCCTACTCACCATCCAAGACCTGCTCCAATGTATTTTTCTCTGATGCCAACATGTCAGGCGAATAAATTCTTCCCTCTGTCTTCCTTCTACCATACTCAGCACATATTTCCATAATAGCCTATGTTCTCTGGGGTGTAACTAGCTGTTAAGCAGAAATAAAAACCACAGGGTCAAAGAGTTGAGGGACAATGGAATTAATCAAAGTCAAACAGGTTTTTAAGTTGCAGAACTTTGCAGGCCTTAATATGCAAAGTCACATGACTCTGTAAAAGGTATGATGGAGCCCATGGTCCTTCCTAACATAGCGCATTTCTAGAGAGCACCTCCTAAGGCTAACATTCCATGAAAGTCCTAGTGTAACCCACCCTCTCACTTGACAGAATGGGAAACTGATACCCGGAGGACACAGCTGGGAGTGGCCAAGTGGAGACAGCTGGGAGAGTGGGTGAGGAGGTGAAGTGTGCTGGCCGGGGGGCTGCTCTTCTGGCAGGTGAGGGACTCAGTGCTCAGCCCCCAGCCTTGGGGAGCATTTGCCTTGTGAATGAATACACACTGTACCCCAGCTAGGCATTTCGGGGGGCTAGACAGAGACTTCAGAATAGACCGTCATGGACTGTCATCACATAGGTGAGGTTGTGTGATGCAACGGGGATTTACTGTGGGTTATCTCATCATAGGTCCATGTGAAGACCCCCTCTGCAGCACACAACACAGGCAATGCCTTCCAGGTGTTCTTCTGAGCATTACATAGACACTCATTTATCTACATGGCAACCTACAACCCGGGTACCATCATCATTCTCATTGAACAGATGAGGAAACTGAGGCACAGAGACAGTCAGTGATTCGTTTCCTGCAGGGCCAGAACCTGAGTTCAGCCTCTCTCCCAACCATCACTGTGAGCTCATTTAAAAAAAAAAAAATACTTATGACACACTGACTGTGATGGGTGCTTTCACCTACAGAACAACCACTTTGTAGGCAGGCATCATTACTGCCCTCACTACCCCCTCTGCTATGGTTGAATGATAGTGTCCTCTCCAAAATTCATGCTGAAATGCAATCCCCAACACAATGCAAAGTGGCCTTTGGGAGGTGATGATAATGGAATTAGCACTCTTATTAAGGGCTCAAAGTGGAAAGGCGTACTCTCTTGCCCTTCCAACATTTCCCTCTCTTCTGCCAAGTGAGGACACTGTGTTTGTCCCTCAAGAGGGCACCATCCTGGAAGCAGGAAGCAGCCCTCACCAGACACCAGTCCTGCTGGTGCCTCGATCTTGGACTTCCCAGCCTCCAGAACCATGAGAAGTAAATTTGTGGGTGTTTTTTTTGAGACAGGGTCTCACTCTCTAGCCCAGGTTGGAGTGCAGTGGCACAATTATGGCTCATTGCAGCCTCAACCTCCCAGGCTCAAGAAGATCCTCCCACTTCAGCCCCATGAGTAGTTGGAACTACAGGCGTGCACCACCATGCCTAGCTAATTTTTAAAAAATATTTTATATTTAAAAATATAAAATGGGGTCTTGTCATGTTGCCTAGGCTGGTCTTGAACTCCTAGGCTAAAGTGATCCTCCCACCTCAGCTTCCCAAACTACTAGGATTACAAGTGTTAGCCACTGCACCTGGCCTGTTCTTTATAAATTACCCAGTCTGTGGTATTTTGTTGCAGCTCTTACAGCCGCCTCTAGGCAGGTGTTGTTATCTCCCCTCAAGACCACCTGGAAGGGTGTAGTCAGCACTCTCATCCTAAAGATTTGCGCCTTTCAGCCATGGGCCACTTTCCCAGACCTCCCCCAGTGCCCATCAGGAGAGGACCATGTGTGGTCCAGGCTCCAACGTGCTGAGGGTTTCCTCTAAGCAAGAGCATTCTCCTGCCCGGTGAGAATAGGAATGTCCGATTGGTGGGAGGAGAATAAATCACTCCCCACCTCCAACCTACATTGGCCAGAGCTGGCCCCCGCTCTCTGTTCCCATGGCACTTTATATGTGTGCATAGAGAGCCAGGGAGCAGTGGGGTTCAGGGTGGGCCCATGCTATGTGCTGCAGAGCTGGTGGGTCACAGTCTCCCCAGGTGATGGTGGTGTTAATAATCATCCTAGGCCCGTGGGGTGGGGTGAGGATTGATGCATGAGAAAGTTGAGGCGGGGGCCCTGGCATGGAGCAGGGCTCAGGCCGCTTGTCACCCAGGCTCATGTCAGCCCTCCGGAGCCTGTGGGTGTATAGGGGAAGCGCAGGGGTTCTTCAGCCAGAGGGACAGGTTCAGGGCCTGCTGATGCCCCTTGCTGGTTTTGGGACCTTGAGCAAGTCCCCTTGCCTTTTGGTGCTGTGCCTCGGTTTCTTCTTCTATAAGAAGGAGGTGATGATGTAACCCACCCACCCAGCCCCTCTACCCCGCGCATCAGGGTAGCAGGCGAGCTAGCACTGTGGCACCAGGAGTGGAGCTGGCCCCTGGCGGGCCCACGCTGGAGAGGCATCGCCATCTCTGCTGCCCCCCTGTGGCGTCATCATATCAACCTGCCAGTCCCCCTCACCTGGTGTTAATCTCCCAGAGGATGGGGACTGGTTCTGATCACCTCCTGGCTTCCAAGTGCCTGCCACAGGGCCTGGGACCCCTGATGCCTCAGAGGACGCTGGGCAGACCTGGGGAGGCTTGTGTTCACTACCTGCTGCCATGTGCTGCACTCTGCCGCCCTGTGGCTCTCTCTCCACTTCTTCAAAGGCCCCTGTGCCGTCTGTCTCCAGGTGTTTGCACCGGCTGGTTTGCAACCCCCTCCACCATCTCTTCCCTAATTCCTTAAACACTGTCTGTCCTAGGTTCAGCTTCCGAGGCGACTTTTTTGGGGAAGCTTCCAATGACCGTCTAGGTTACTCATGCCTCTCCGTGGTCCTGTTGCCTGCAATCCCATTTCGGGGCACCTGTCCAGCTGGAGGCTGCTAGTGCTGCTTTTCCTTGCCTTTTGTCTGTGTCCCCACCACGGCGTGAGTCCATGAGGGCAGGGATCTGGTCGAGTTTGTTCCCTGCCATCTCCCCAGGGCCTAGAACAGTGCCAGGCACATAGGTGCTCAGTAAATATTTAGTGACTGGAATAAAGGAACCAACCCTTTTGTGGTGCATTAACTGTCCCTTTCACACATCAGGGGTCCGGCTGGTCCACAGAGATGATGTCCAAGGGATAAGAACTCCTTGCCTCCATTAAAATGCAACAACCCCTCCAAGAAGAACTGCTGAGCCTTCCCCCGCCGTCTGCCCTCCGTCTTCTGGTTGGACATGGCCAATAGCCTCTTCTGTTTCCCTGTGGGTACCTTTCCTTCCTCCACATGTGGATACACTACCCTTCGGTCTCCACATCAGACTTTTGCTCCTTGCCTGAGTTAAAGTCCCGACCTGCCAAATCCACTGTCTGGCTCTGTTTCCCCTGACAACCTGATAACGAGATTGTCAGCTTGATCCTTCTCGCTCAAAGCTATCCCCTCTCACCCCTTGCTGTTTGCTAAAAGTCATTAGGAGATTTCTCTGCAGGTCATTACTGTCCTCCTGCCCTGACAGCAGGTACAAAACTTCTGAATGTTGCTCAGGGCTGGCCCAGGGGCTTCCCCTCTGGGGAGTCCAGCAAACCACCAGCCTGTCCCTGCAGCGCTCCCTCCTGCCGGGTTCACGGCATTTCCAGTGAGCCTCATCACGGATCCTTGACATCTCTGAGGCGGGCCCCACTTAGGGAGCTGCACAATTGGAGCTTTGTCACATTTATAAAGATAAATTAAAATATTATCACTAGAGACCGTCAATAGTTTCGAAAAGCCTGGGACTTTTAATGAGCAAGTGGTATGATTAAAAGTCGGAAACACAAAGTATCTCTTCTTTTTGGATGAGGAGGCTTGCTGTGGAATGGGGAGGTCAGTGTGGTTCTTGAAGCCAAGAGGCTTAGACTGGGGCTCACCTGGCCCCACCAGGTTTTGGAGTCCTACTATGTGCTGGGCATTTGCATTTCTTCTCTCATGAATCCTGATGAAAAGCCATGCTATGGGGCAGCATGCCCTGCTGGTCGCACATTGGCATCACGTGGGGGAGTTTAGAGAAGATGGAATAACGGGGCTCCACCCCCACCGAGCCTGAGGCAGAAGTGGACCCAGGAAGCAGGATTTTTCTAAATCTCCTCACATGATTCTGATGAGCAGCCTGGGCCTGCAGCCGCAGGGTTAGCACAGTGCTTCTCAAACTTAGGGGTGTGCCAGAAGTACATGAGCGCATGTTAAAACAGATGCCTGGGCCCTACCCCAGAGTTTCTGGTCTGGGTAGGGCCCAGGAATCAGCAGGTCGAATCAGTTCTCATTAAGGTAGATGGTGCTGGTCCCGTTTCTCAGGTAGGCAATTTGAGAAACAGAGAGGTGAGGGTGAAGCTGAAGGGCCTCGTAGCCAGCACATGGGAGAGGGGGGGCTTTGAATCCTCGAGGTAATTTATTCAATCCCTTTGTGCCTTCATCTTCTCTATCTTTAACTTGGGGAAAATAATACCTACTTTATATAGGTGTTGTGAAGCTCAGTGAGTCCTTCCAACCAGAACAGTGCCTAGCCCATGGTGGTGTTCAGTAGCATTTATGATCATTGCTGTCTCTATTACCTAGCAGGATAGTTGAAGGGTGTCCTCCCGGCAGCCTTCCTCCCTCAGCCCCAGACAGCAGCTCTCCCTTCCCTTAGCTCCAGGCACCTCTGTGGGAGCACCTGTTTCCCTAATGTCACTCTCTGTTCACCTGTGTGCCTCCTCCATCAGGTTGTGAAGTCTCCAACAGCAGGCACCAGGTATGATTCAGGCTAGAGCCCAGTGCCCAGCCTGGAGCTGGGAGAAGGGAAGGAGACGAGGGAGCAAGGCGGGGCATGCTGAGGGTCCTCGCGTTGTGAAAAATTATTAGGTTTCTTAGCCCTGGACAGCGTTTACTATTGACCTGATGCACCTGAGTGTCGGATGCTGAGCCCAAGCATCTGCATGTGGCCCCGTCAGTCTTGCAGCGCCTGTGGGGTCCTCACAAACAGCGCCTCCATCAGCCACTCACGCCCCCATGCCTTCTGAGCCTTTGGCTTCCTCAGTGAGTACTGCTGACACCACCTCTGTGGCTTCTGAAGACATCCCGTGTGCTCTTCTTCTATCAGGGCATGTCGGGAGGGGTAAACCAGCTCTCCTTTGCTGTCTACACTCCCCCATGTCTTTCTCTGGCACTGGAGCCCCTGAGTCCCTGAGTCCCTGATGTGGGTCACTAAGGAGGGTGAGTGCAAGGCAGGTAGGAGGCACCTGGGAGTGGCACATGGGTCCCTGCAGGCTTCCCTCCATTCTCTCCTCTGCTGCCTGCCAGCTCCCAGCCACCATGGCCTCTCTCTGGACCTGAGAGGAGTAGCCTCCTAAGTGGCTTCGTGTGCCTGTCCTCACCGTGGCCAAAATGATGGCTGTAAACATGCTCATAACCTCAGCCGACTGCTTAAAGCACCCCAGCGACTTTCCATCCGACTGTGAGTACAAATCAAGCCCTGCGTCTGCTCCTCCCTGAACATGCCAGCTCCGGCATCAGGGTCGCCATCCCGGCTCTTCCTGCAATGCCTGGGTGGGTCCTCGATCCTCAGCTCAATGTCACTTCCTAAGGGAGCAGGGCTTCCCTGACCCCTGAGCACCCCTACCTCTTCTCGGATGGCCGCACTGTCCTCTCCTGGGCACTTAGTTCTAGCTGAAATTAGTTTTCCCCACTAGGACAGAGGCTCCTTGTGAGCATGGGAATCTTGTCTGTCTCCCTCATCACTGTGTCTGCGTGTCCAGCAGGTGGGGACTGAATGGTCTGGGACAGTCAAAGTGGCTCTGAGCTCAGACCCACAGAAGGGGAGAATCAGCCTTGCTCTTTCCAATGTCTTGCAGCCTCATTAGGGCAGAGGCAGCAATTGTTCTGGAAAGATCAGTAGTTAGGTGTCAAGCCAACTGCATTCCAGCTCGGAACCCTCCCCCCAATTTGTTGGGGACTTAACGTGACTGACCAAGTCACTCAGTGACTGAGCCTCCTTTGAGCTGAAGGGTGGTGGTGGTGAGCTCATTTTGCTGCCCTGCCTGGCTAGGCAGCCCGAGTCTGAGCCCCATAGATGTAAAGTGCCTGAGAGCCCGGAACACACAGATGACAAACGCACCATGGCAAACGCATAGATGACAAGCAGCTTGAGGTGGTGTAAACAGTGCCACCTTGGGGTTAGAATACCTGGTTTGGAGTCTGGCCTCTGATACACACTGACCAGGTGACCTTGTGTAGTCAAGGAATGTCTCTGGGTCTGTTTCCTCCTCTGTAAAATGGGGACAGTGACACCTGCTCCAGCCTGGTCGTGAGAATGAGATATGATGGCCTGAAACAGCAGCCCCCAGAGCAGAGTCCCCGTTGTCCTCTCAAGCCCCGGGGAAAGTGCCCAGCACCGTAAGTGCTTGATAACTGACACTGTCAAGTTTCTCCTTCCTTCCTTCCTTCCCTTCTCTCTCTCTTTCTTCCTTTCTCGCTTTCTCTTTCTCTCTCTTTCTTTCTGTCTCTTTTCTCTCTTTCTCCCCTTCCTTTCTCCCTCCCTTCCTTTCCTTCTCCCTTCTTTCCTTTCCCTCCCTCTCTCCCTCCCTTCCTTCCTTCCCCTTCCACCCTCCCATCCTTCCTTCCCTCCTTCCTTCCTTCCTCTCTTTGTCTTTCTCGCTTTCTTTCTCTTTCTTTCTCACTTTCTCTCTCTCTCTCTTCCTCTTTCTTTCTCTTTTCTGTCTTTCTCCCCTTCCTTCCTTTCTTTCTCCCTTCCTTCCTGTCCTTCTTTTCCTTCCTTCCCTCCCTACCTCCCTCTCCTTCCTTCATTCCTTCCTTCTTTCCTTCTTTCTTTCTTTCTCCCACACTGGAGTGCTGCGGCATGATCTCGGCTCACCGCAGCCTTGACCTCCTGGGCTCAAGCGATCCTTTAACCTCAGCTTCCCAAGTAGTTTGGACCACACCCAGCTAATATTTTAAATATATATATATTTTAATAGAGATGGGGTCTCACTACATTACCCAGGCTGGTCTCTGACTCCTAGCCTCAAGCATTCCTCCCAACTTGGCCGCCCACAGTGTTGGGATTACAGTGTGAGCCACTGCACCTGGCCAAGTTTCTTGAGGATAGTACTTGGAGGCCTTCTTTATTTAAAACAAAACAAAACCAGTTAACACTGAGAGAGACCGCAGAGATTGTGCAGCCTCTTCTTTTACAGTTGGCAAAATGGAGGCTCGGGAGTTTGGGGAAGGCCCTGTGATGGTTCCTGTCTAAGCTGGGAGGAACCGAACCATCTCATTTCTAACTCCATGTTCAGTGATCTCCTGCCAGCCACGGTCTGCAGCCCTCTTTTGGTCCCCCACTTTTCCTCATCTCCCCTCCCCTCCACCCTTCACTGACCCCACTCTGTTCTTCTCTGCTTCCTGTGTGAGACCAGATGTTCCCACAGCTGCAGAGTCCTCCCTTCCCTCTTCCCATTGGGTTTGAAGCTGACAGGTTCAGGATTTACATGGTGGGGTGAGAGGGAACGGCACATTCGGAGTGTGGGGCCTTCTTAGGCATCTGGCCAGACCTCCTCCTCCCCAAGTCCCAGCGCTGGGTACAGCGTGAATGCAGGTAGCCTGTGCCCAGTGCTTTGGGATATGATTTCCTGGGGAGGGAGATGGGTGCTCCAATTCTCTGGGAGCCAGAGGGAACCCCCAATTCTCCATCTTTCCCAAATGTTCGAGGCCTTGCCCCTCTGCCCCAGTAGGCTCTCTCTGGAGCCAAGGGACCCAGCTGGGAGGTGGGGTATGACTGGGACCCCGGCCCAAGGGCTCCTATCTGGCGCGGGGCCTCTGGGGGAAGGCCATGGGCAGGGTGGCCCTGGCCTGGCAGAGGCTCTGACCCTGGCCTTGCCTCGGGAAGCGCCTGCCGTGCTTGTTCCTGGAGGCCCGTCTGACACTCAGGGTGGCTGCTCTGTGAAGTCATTTTTATCGCTACTGAACTAAAGTGGCCACGAGACCTTGGGTGGGGACTTGCTGTGCTCCGAGCCTCAGTTTCCACATTCCTCACTGCGCCTGCCAGGTCCCTAGGACCTCACCCCCTGCCCCCTCCCCACGCCTCCCCACACAGGAGCTTGTCCTGTTCAGGGTAGCTCCCTCGTGGCCCCTGGGTTGGGAGATGAAGCCACTGCACGTCCCGATGTCTGAGCCAGAGGCCTGGCAGTCCTTGGGGCAGTTCTGCTGAGGACACCTTAGGGGCCTCTGCACTGCACCCCCCCACCCCGCTCCGGCCGCCTAGCAGGCCTCCCCAGGGACCTTCACGGGCTTCACCCCCTCTCCACTGCCACCTCTTCAGAGGCCCCTTGAGGAGAACCCTTTATAATCTGCGCCGGGAGCCCTGGTTCTAGCTCAGAGTTCTTTTGCCTATATATGTGTCCTCCTGGGTTGGTCTGTCTCCCTCAGGCTGTCAGCTCCCGGACAGGGACCTGGCTGTTCCCAGCGGGAGCCCAGAGCCGCAGAACCGTGGCTGGACCTGGAGAGAGGGAGGGAGGACGGGAAGAGGTGGGAGAGCCGGGAAGGAGGACCGGAGGAACCACCGAGCTGGGAAGGGGATCCTGGCCTGGAGGTGGGGCCGCGCTCGGGTACGCCGGGCTTCCCACGAGCGCCTGGGCGGCGGGCCGGCCGGCAGGTGGCGGTGCGCGCTCGGCGTCGCGGGTGGCGCCGGGGCCGCCGAGTCCCCTCCTCCCGCCGCTCCCTCCCCTCGCCGGCTCCTTTCTCTGCGCTCTCGCTCGCGCTCCCCAGCGCCCTCCTGCTCTCCCGGCCGCGGTCCCCTCGTCCGCGCCGCCCCGCCGCCGGCTCCGCTGCCGCCCCTGGCGACCATGGCGCACCGGGGGCCCTCGCGCGCCTCGAAGGGCCCCGGCCCCACCGCCCGAGCCCCGAGCCCCGGGGCTCCGCCGCCGCCGCGCTCGCCGCGCTCGCGGCCGCTCCTGCTGCTGCTGCTGCTGCTGGGCGCCTGCGGGGCGGCGGGGCGCTCCCCTGAGCCCGGGCGCCTGGGTCCTCACGCCCAACTGACCCGGGTGCCGCGGAGCCCTCCCGCGGGGCGCGCGGAGCCCGGTGGCGGCGAGGACCGGCAGGCGCGCGGCACGGAGCCAGGCGCCCCGGGTCCGAGTCCCGGTCCCGCTCCTGGTCCCGGCGAGGACGGCGCCCCCGCCGCGGGCTACCGGCGCTGGGAGCGGGCGGCGCCGCTGGCCGGAGTGGCTTCGCGGGCGCAGGTCTCGCTCATCAGCACGTCGTTCGTGCTCAAGGGGGACGCGACGCACAACCAGGCGATGGTGCACTGGACGGGCGAGAACAGCAGCGTAAGTGACCTCCACGCGCTCGCCGCGGCCCCTACCCGGGACACCGCGGGACACCCGGGCGGGACCGCCACGGCCCCCACCCCAGATCCCCACTATGGTCATCAGGGGCGGGTTCTTGGCGACTTGGGCACTTGGGTCACCTCGGCCGCGCCCCTACTGGCCTCTGGTCACTGGTTACTTGGGGAGAGGTCCTCAGATTCGTACGCTTGTCTCACCGCAGGGGACATTCCCGCAGATTTCGGGATCCTGGGCCACCTCCGATACTCCCCCACTGGCCTCCAGGTCTTGGGTTACGGAGGAGGACCCCAGAACCTTCGGAAGCCTGCAGGTCCTTGAGGGTACCCCAGCTCGGCGTTACCTCCCCTGCCCCCAGACTCCACCAGCTGAGCGTCGCGTTCTGGGATTTTGGGCTCCGGGATCCTTCCCTCCCTGGTCTACCAGGGACTCCGCGGTGGCGCCTCCGCAGGCTCCGGGACTTCCCCGGTCAGCTCGAATCCTGTTCTGGGACTCTGGGATTTCTGGGTTACCCCTCTCCCCGGGGTACTCTAGTGCGACCCGCGGCTGTCTTGAGCTCTTGCTGCCGGTCGCCCCGCCTGGATGCACTGGGACCCGCGTACCCCCTTGGGTTCATACCCACACTGTGCTGGAGACCTGTGTGGCGCTGGCACAGCAAACTCCCTGCCCTCCCCCCACCTTCCCGGCTACTCTGGCTTTGCTCCAGCTGGAAGTTTGCCACCTCTGTTGGGGACCTCCTGTTCCTCCACCCACAGCCTGGGGCTCCCACCCTTCCCAAATCCTGCCTCCTCTGGCCTTTGGTGGTGCATGCAGGAGGCAGAGGGTCCCTTTAGATTATTCCCCTGGGGGCTGCCTCAACCTCACTCCCCACTTCCCCCCACCCCCACAAAAGGGCCAAGGGCCACTCTGAAGTCACCCTGGGGCAGCCCCTGGTGGGGCTCTAGTTTTGCAGGTTCCAGAGAAGGATTGGGATAGGGAGGTGGCAGCCATGAATCCCCAGAGGAGGGTACATTTGTATGGGGAGGGGAGATGGAAGCCTCCCCTCATTTCTGTGCCTTGCTGTCTCCTGGGGTCCCCTAGGAGACCTCTTCTCGCTTCCCAAAGGGCCAGGGTTCCTATATGCACTGGCAGTGGCATGGGTGGGGAGCACTGGCCTCTGGAGCCAGGAAAGGGCATAATCTGGGTGGTCACTTGTGCCCATCTCCTCTGTCCAGCTTTGCTGGGCTACTCCCAGCCAGCTGTGATTTGTGCTGGAGGAGGGATGAGGTGGGCAGATGAATATGTTGGGGCAGGGGTAGGGGCAGCACTGAATGAATTTAGTCGGCCTAGAGCCCAGCTCCCCAACCAGCCAGCATCTATCAGGGTACAGGTGCCAAGTGTCTGGTCTTGGGTCATTCCTGGCATCTCCAGCCTGACTAGCAGCCCTTGGAGGGGAGAGCTGGCTCCCTGGGTGCAGTGGGCCAGCAGGGGGCAGTCAGGGTGCCGGCTGGGGTGACTTGCAGAGGTGGCAGGTGCCACCTCCCTAGAAGAGCCCTAGAAGAGTTCTCTCCATCTGCACCTTGAGAGAGGGGTCAGATGCCAGGTACTTGTGAACAAACGGTGTGTGCTCTACCATAAGCTCTAACTCAGGTGGAAAGGCAACCCAGAAACTGAGAGCTCAAAGGACCACATAAATACAAAAAGCAAATCCCGCAGGGCCAGAAAGCTCTAATCCCCTACCCCATCTGCCGAGGTGGTTGATCCTGAAGCTTGCTCCTGCCCCTTTGTCATTTAGCTTCCTGGGGAGGGGGTAGAGGAGCCCCATGTGAGGGGATAGGCTGACATCCAGCCTGCCCCTGTCCTGACCTCACAGTCTGGGTGCAGGGCAGCTTCCTGGGAGAGAGTTGAGGAGGGAGCTTGGGCCAGCAGGGATGGGGCACTGGGGGTGGGGGGCTGTCAGAGGAGCCCATGTGGCTTTGCTCCTTGAGGGCGGCAGCTGGGTTGGGTGACTCCTCTGTGACTGGGTGGGCTTGCGTCCTCACTGCTGGCAGGTGTGTGTGTGTGTGTGTGTGTGTGTTGTGGGGGGAGGATTGTGGGTGGGGGCCAATGTTGGCTTCTCTTTAGTGAGGACAGCAAGTCCAAGGAACCAGAGAGGAGCTTTAAGGGATGGATGTCCTCTGGTCAGCATGAGGCGAGGGGCAGGGGTGAGGTGTGGCACACCGGGCATAGCCTGACACTTAGCAAACACTCGGGGAGTAGAAGCCAGGACACCCTCATTGTGAGTAGTGGGTGTGGGTGTCCGTGGGGTCAGATGCTGGACCAGGCATTGGGCTTCAACACCTTCCACTCCTGCCTCTCTCACACACCCATTCTCTGGACTGGGCAGTCAGGGAAGACCTGATCATCCTGAACCTCAGGGAGCAGGCGAGGCTGCAGGAGTTTGACCTTGCCTGAGAAAACTCAGAAGAGGCAAGAAGGCTGTTATCTTGAGCTAACTAAGTAAAACTGCTTTAAAAGAAAAAATCATTGCCTTAGTGCTTGTTGCATGCGTAGTATTGTTTTCTCAGCACACGCCGTGTCTTAGAAATGTACTCTGCTCCCTCTAGTCTCATCTTGCAACCACAGGACTAAAGATTTCAGCCAGGATTTGGCAGTGGGTTTCACGTCTGCTTGAAAGCACCATCTTTGAAAGCTACAACCAGACAGAAACTCACACGGCTGGTTTGCTGAGCAGTCTTCTTAACGTTTTCTTTCCTCAACTTGCTTGCCGCCCTCTGCAGATGTGGTCAACATGAACAGAGAGCGTGTTTACTTTACCATATCAGGTGTTCTTCAAAATTAAAAGGAGCATTTGATGAGGGAGATGGACTTTAAAACATGGCTTTTGAGAGCATCCCACAAGAAGCAGTCCCAGGATTTAAGCCCTCATTGCTACAGCTCCGTTTAACATTATGTGGGTTTTCCTTCCAACGGCTTGGTTCTGCCTGCTCCCATGGAGATAGAGAAGGGGACTTGCTTGGAAGTTCAAACACCGCCTCCCTGTCTGACGTTTAGCTGTAGAAACAAATTGTTATGTGTGAAATTAATGTTTCATTGAAACCAAGAGGTATTGCGTTTTTATGGATCTAGAGTGGGCTGTGCACACACAGCTCTGGGTTTTGCATCTCCGGAGCTGCCCTTGGAGGCAGCGGTGCTATTTGAAGGTGGATAAATATTACAGAGTGTGGCTCTCAGCCTCTGGGGTTGCGGTTTCATGTTATTCCTATGGGGAATGTGCTGTGCCCCGTCCTGTTCTTAATGTTTCTGGGAAATCGTGGGCTTATTGTGCTTATTTTAAGCACAGCTCACCTGGGCTCCTTCCCACAAGGCACTTGATCCTCAACTTTGAAGCTGAATGTATCATTTGACTTGAACGTGAGCTTCCTGCAGCCTGGTCCAGTTTGTTCACCTCTGTCATTGTTCCCCGAGAAGATCAGCACCTCCCTCCCCTGCCCTCCCTTCCCCTCCCCTCCCCCTTCCCTCTCCCTCCCCTCCCTCTGCCCATTTTCCAAATCTGCTCTGTGCTGCGCCTACATGGTTAGTGGTATCCAAGGCAGTTGAATGCAGAGGTGATTCTGAGCAGACTACCCACACTCTCTGTTCTGCAATCTTGATGAACCCGATATTTGTGTATATTTTATACCCAGAGAGCTAGAGCTACACATCAGAAGAGCTTCTGAAACTTGTTTCTCTGAGTTAAGAGGTCAAGAACTAATGGTATGTGGCAGCTTCTACTATACTACCCATGGCCTCTCCCCAAGTTTGCGTGAGAATTCCATCATGACATCTGCCAGGTGTCGAGTTCCTGGAGGGCAGGTGAATTCTCTTTCTAGGGCTGCCAGGGCAAAGTGCCACAGACTATGTGGCTGAAGCAACAGAAATGTATTTTCTTGCAGTCCTGGAAGCTGGAAGTCAGAGATCAAGGTATTGTCCAGGTTGATTCCTTCTGCGGCCTCTCTCCTGGGCTCGCAGATGCCACCTTCTCCCATGTCTCCACATGGTCTTCCCTCTGTGTGTGTCTGTGTCCTCATCTCCATTTCTTGTAAGGGCACCAGTCATATTGGATCAGGGCTTATTCTAACCACCTCATTTTAACTTAGTTACCTCTTTAAAGGCCCTGCTTCCAAATACAGTCACATTTTGAAGTGCTAAGGACTTCAACGTATGGATTTTGGTGGGGGGACACAGTTCAGACCCTAATAGCAGGGAAGGGGTCTCAGCTTCCTTTGCATCTCCTGAGTTTAGAAGTGGATCTTAGAGTAGTCTAGTGGGAGACAGCAGATGGACATGAACAGCTAGGATATGAGGGGGCAAGTGTCACCCTCCCCCGATAATGCTGATGGGGAAATCAGGGAAGACTGCATGGAAGAGGGCATCAAGGCTGACCTAAAGAATGAGTAGGTGGAGTGTATAGGAGATGGAGAACATTCCAGAAAACAACATTCCAACTTGAGCAAGGTCTGGGGGGTAGGAATTTTGAAGGTATGTGTGTGTTATATAAAGTGAGAGTGAATGCATTGTGCATGGAGACAAACCATAGAAAAGAAGTTTGGAAAAAATAGATTAAAAAGTCAGCTCCCGATGGACCCCAGATGTGAGGCTGAAGAGTCCGTGTCGCAGTGACGAGTGGTGGACATTGCAATTGAGCTTCAGAGGCAGCCTGCCCGGGTCTGTATCCTGGCCCTGCCACTCTCTGGCTCTGGGATCCAGGTCAAATGGACTAAATTCTCTGGACTTCAGTGACCATATCTTGAAAATGGGAGAAGTAAAGGCTCATAGGTTTGTGGTGCAGGTGAAGTGAGATCTTCCATGTCAAATGCTCAGATCAGAGCCTGGCCCACAGCAGGAGCTCAGAGAATGATATCAAGAAACAGCCCTGGAGGCACTGTGGGGGATGGGGCTGGTGAGGGCTGCAGGGTGAGACATCTGGACAGAGGCTCAGGGAGGAGCTGCTGCCAGAGGGAGGCTTGGACCAAGGCTGTGGAGGGGGCTGAGGGAGAGGAGAGTGGGCTGGAGAGAGGTGCGTGGCTGGGCGCACAGGACGTGGCTGCCCCGGCTCTGCAGGCCTCTCTGTCCTGGGTGGTGCTGGGCTTCTAGGCTCCAGGCCAGCCTCCAGAGTGCAGAGACCATGTGAGTTCTTAAATGAACGGGTTCAAATCCACGACAAAGCTGACTTGAAGCCTCGTGTCCGATGCTTGTGGTTTTGTGATGTCAACTCCAGTCCACCTTAGAGGACAGCTTGGTGGCTCCAAGCTTGGGGTTTTGTATTTAAGTATGCTGAACTTGCTGTGCGTTACTCTGGAATTCTAGGCCCACATGGTGTGGGCCTCCCAGCATTTGGGGTGGAGGCTGGATTGGAGCCTGAGGTGTGGCCCCCGGTGGCTGAGCTGTGGCTGGTCGGCCTGTGAGTGCTGGGCCTCCGTCCAGAGGAAGTGCATCTCTGTCGTGATAGCTCATCACCAAGGGTGTCCAGCGGCCACCTGGAGAGAGACAGAAGCAGGCAGAGGTCAAGGGATGTGGTGACCAGGGGTGAGTGCCTGTCATACTTGCTGTCAGGAGCTGGCTGCTGGTGGGGCAAGCCTGTCCGGGACCCTGGGCCTGGCAGCTGGATGAAGAACCATGAGGGAGCCGGGGACTCTGTGTGGAGAGAGGCGGCAGCACATGGGGACATGCAGAGGGCGGGCTGAGTCTAGGGAAGTCTCGGCGTGCAAACCACAGGCTCGCACGGTGACCCAGGGCTTCTGCCCTTGCCCCAGTCACTCGACACTCAGAGCATGGGTTGAGAGCTCCCAGCAGGAAGGGGAGGGTGTTGTGCCCAGAACCCTCCACGTGGCCTCATATTTGCCTCCAAAGCAGCCGGCAGGCCTTGTTTCCTGGGTGCTTACCCATGGGGTCTGCTGGGTGCACTTTGCGGAAGTCCCCATCCTTCTGATTCTCCTGTGAGCCGGGAGGATGGGGAGCCGTGCTCTCTCTCGACCTGGGCCCTAGTTTCGTCATCGTGTTTCGGGTGTCAGCCCTGGGGTGCAGAGGAAGGGCCTGGAGCCAGTGGGATGGGCTCCTTCTCTTGAAGTGCTTGTGGTCCAAAGCGGGGTGGGGGCAGAGAGCCCCAGGGATGCAATTCAGGAGGAGCGAAGTGGGGCCGGTGTGGAGGCACAGTGCAGGGAGAGCAAGGTGGGGCAGGGGAAGCTCAGTTCACCTGGGGAGGGGGTCACATGGGCCACAGGTGGAGGAGGATGAGGATGACTGGCAAGGCTGGGGAGGTGTGGCTGAGGGGAGCAGCAGAGATCTCTGAGGTGTAGAGGGCAGGTGAGCCTGGTGGAGGGGCTGCCCGTGGCCATTGCCTGTGCTGTGAAGCAGGGGCTCCCTGAGCAGGGCTCCTGCCCATGGTGTTTCCTGGCTGGGGTCCGAGGGAGGCTGTTGCTGTGGTCTGGCCTTCACAGACTCACTCTGTGGCCTGGGTGGGGCGGGCCGCTCTGGGATGGGGAGCTGCGTAGACCCGCTTCCCTGGCCTGGGTGGGGCGGGCCATTCTGGGAAGGCAGAATACAAACTCTGCCTTCGTTTGTATTCTCATCCAAGTTCAACAGATGAGACCTTGACTGTGGATCCCCCATGTTCTGTCCTCTCTCTGCACCCCCTCAAGTGCTGGTCTGTTCCTGTTGCCTCTGAGGACCCCTGAGAAGCTCCCAAACCCACTCTCCCACTCCCCAAAATCAGTTCACCTGACCTAAGGTGCCCTGCCTTGCTGGGTCCTTGCCTGAGGGACCGACACTCCCGGGGAATGCGAGCAGGAGGGGTTATGGGATAGAAACTGGCTTTGGGCTGGAAGTCCACCCCTCTGGTGCACAGTGGGGAAGCGCAGAGGTGGGGGAGGCTGGATTGTCTTCGGTTGCCCCGCGTGCAGGGCAGCAGCGTGGATGGGCTCTCGTGCTGCTCTGGAGGCCCTGATCCCCCCTCGCTGGAAGTGCTCAAAAGGAGGCTCCATGTCCATGCTCCAGGCCACTGCAGGGACTTTCGGTTTGGGGTGGGAAGCGGGACCACCAGGGGCCGACTGAGGGGTCCAGAGTTGTGGTTGTGAGCCCAGATTCCCAGCCGGACCCAGGGGTGCACTCCATGCTGTTCCACATGGCCTCTGGCTCTGACCCCGGGGTCCCTCCCCTGCCCTCCAACACATTAGTGCTGCCTTCCCTCTCCTCCCTGGGGAGCCCTGGGTTCTCTCCCTGCAGCGCTCAGCTGGGCACTCACTCCTCCCTTCCCATCATGCTGGCCACCCATGTAGCCAGTCTTCCCCAGGCCTCAGTTTCCCCATCTGTAAGGTGAGCGTCAGGACCAGACCATCTCCAAGGTCACTACCAACCCGGACGTTGTTTATGCTTAGTACACATTTGCTAATTTATTTGTATTTTATTTATATGAATGGAGACCGGGAATGAAGTAGAAGAGACTTTGGAATGCCCAGCCCAAGAACCTCACCGCAGCCTCTTTCAAGTAGTAATGAAGGAGGCAGATTTCCATGAGAGTTGAGCTTCAGGCACAGCTGGTCTCACCCGTGCCTGCTGTTCACGCTTGGATGAGGACTGAACCTCTCTGAGCCTTTTTCCTCATTTATCAAATGAGGATCATGGTTCCTGTGTGTCAGGCCAGTGCTGGGGCCACACACTCCATGGATGGGGGCCTGGCCAGCAGAGCCACCAATGTCCTCCTTCATCTTATTTCCTAAGAGTGTCGACCTCACTTGCATCTTCACTGTCTTCTTGAAACTAGCTCAAGGCCCGGCTCGTGGTGGCTGTTGGCCTCAGCTCTTTACCGAGCTTCTCTGTGTGCCTAGCGCTGTTAGCTGCTGAGGATTCAGTGAGGGGCCAAGTCAAACTTGGCCCCTGCGCGGGTGAAATGTTTGGTCTGGACAGGAATTCACCCCAGCGCGTTCTAGGTGCCGTGTGAATCTGCGCTGGGGAAGTCTGGGAAGATTTCCTGGAGGAGGTGAAGATGGAGCTGCTCTGCAGGATGAGTAGAGTCCCGGGCTGAGGAGGAGGTTGGAATGGTGAGAATATTAAGGCTGAAGGAGAGGCCTAGGGGCTGGAGCAGCCTGGAGCGCTCATGGGCACAGGAGAGACTCGTGCGTTGATCAAGAAGCCTGGCTCGAAGTCATAGAGACAGCCCTGTTAATAAAGTTGCTGAGCACATTTCACAAATCCACTTTTACTTTAATAAAGGGCGATTTAATTTGTAGTTGCGTGAAGGTTCCTGAGAGTATTCTAAAGAGGTCATAAATTAGCCTCATTCCTCGGCACGCCCCTCAGATGAGAAGGCAGCCCAGAGCTTGCGTGGGCCTCTCGGCGTAGCCGTTACTTTATTTTATGGTGATTTTTCAGAGTCAGGCTAAGACTTGTGCAGATGATTCGATGGAGAGCAGACTGGAGTGACGGGCGAATCAGCTGGGACGCTGCCGAGAACCCCTGTGCCTTTTCCGGTGCAGGAAGAAATGGAGGGGAAGCTTGTACGTTGCCTCCTCTTTTGGGGCCGCCTTGTCTTTCTTTTTTCAGACTCCAAAGGATGAGTTATTTATAGGTTCTTACGAATGGCCCACTTTGTCCTCGCCCCTCCTTAGTCGCTAGTTTGGGTGGGTGCTCTGTGGATTGCAGGGATGCCGATGACCTGAGAAGCCTGGCTGTGCTGCAGCTGCTGTTCCTGACCGACGTCCTCCCCTTTTGGAAGTCCAGGGAGCAGAGATCCCTGGCTCTGGCCACCGGGAGGGCAAGGTCTCCGTCTGTAGCTTTGGAAAGGTGAAGGCATGTGTTCTGCATTGGTTCACATCCTGCTTTTTCTTGGAAAGCGCCGTCCTGGATGTGAGCTTGGATTCTGGGTGTAGAAGAAGTGCAGACATGGGGCTGTCAGTCTAAGTGGGTGGTGGGGGTGGGGAATGCCCTGTACCTCTCTCCCCGCTCCCAGCAGGTTCCCACAAGCACAGACCATCCCTGACCTGCTCTGCAAGGCTGTAAAACACAGACTTAGGCAATTTGCTCACTGCTGATTGATATGCAGCCCGCTGAGGGCAACAGCAACGTCTTTTCCATTCAGCCTCATGACTCGGGACCGCTTCCCAGAAGGCCTATGGTGCTTGTCACCTCTATTCCAATTAAGCTCCATTTGTCATTAAAAAAATGGAATAGGGATACTTGAGTGAGTGAGGACTCTCCTTGGAAGACTGGAATAAAAGGTAAAACTCCAGTGTCCTTTTGAGGTGGAAAATCTCCTTCTTATTTTGCATTTCTATAGCAGTCAGTTACTGTATTTGCACAGAAAATTACAATCATTTAATTAGTTTCTTCTCACACCAGCTCGAAGATCTTAAAATAACAGCACTCTCCTTCCTTAGTAATTTTCTTGCAAAAGCAGATAATTTCCTGCAATGTTGAGCTCGCCTTGACTCACACCGAGCACATTTCTTGCAAGTCACCATTTCCTGACGCTCAGATAAATGAAGTTCAAATTAGAGAAAGAAAAGAGCCAGGCAGAGTGTGGCCGCTTCCATTCAGATCAATTTTAATTCAGAAAGAATTCTTTATGAGGCTTCTTTGCCGTGCATATTTCTGAAGCATCAGACGTAGTGATAACATCTCCTAGGCCTCAGCCGGGGAGATCCAGCAGTTAGGATCACCTCCCAGCTTCTGCTTCTGATGTAATTTTACCTTATAATAATAATCCCTCACTATTTACATGGAACTGCTGATTAGTAATAATAAAGTTAATAATCACAGCCCCTATCTACGTGCCGGATGCTGCGTCAGGCACGTCATGCCCATTTGTCTCATTTGCTCCTGAACAGAGACCTACACAGTAGATATCATGGTTATATGCATTTTGCAGCAATGGAAAATAAGGTTCGGTGTGGCAGGAGGACTTGCCCCCAGTCACACAGCTAGTGAGGATCTGAGCTGTGGTTTGAATTCCTTCACTCTTGAGCCTGAGTTCTTTTTAAAATTCTTTTTGCTGGCTGGGCGTGG
The DNA here is from genome assembly GCF_000001405.40 of Homo sapiens. Classification (NCBI taxonomy): domain Eukaryota; kingdom Metazoa; phylum Chordata; class Mammalia; order Primates; family Hominidae; genus Homo; species Homo sapiens. The sequence continues at coordinate 7,203,162 of NC_000004.12, forward strand.
TGGCTCACGCCTGTAATCCCAACACTTTGGGAGGCCGAGGCAGGTGGATTACCTAAGGCCAGGAGTTTGAGATCAGCCTGGCCAACATGGTGAAAATTTGTAAAAATACAAAATTAGCCGGGCGTGATGGCACATGCCTGTAATCCCAGCTGCTTGGAAGGCTGAGGCAGAAGAATCGCTTGAATCAGGGAGACGGAGATTGTAGTGAGCCGAGATTGTGCCACTGCACTCTGGCCTGGGCGACAGAGCAAGACTCCGCCTCAAAAAAAATTCTTTTTTCTTTAGAGACGGAGATTGCAGTGAGCCGAGATCGTGCCACTGCACTCTGGCCTGGGCGACAGAGCAAGACTCTGCCTCAAAAAAAATTCTTTTTTCTTTAGAGACGGAGATTGCAGTGAGCCGAGATCGTGCCACTGCACTCTGGCCTGGGCGACAGAGCAAGACTCTGCCTAAAAAAAAATTCTTTTTTCTTTATTACTATTTTTAAAATTGTGGTAAAATATATGTAACATAAATTCACTGTTTTAATGCTTTTTCAGTGTATGGTTCTGGGGGCATTCAATGCATTCACAGTGTTGTGCAGCTGTGACCACCATTCTTCTCCAGAACGTTCTCATCTTCCCAAATGGAAACTCTGCCCCTCTTAAACACTAACCCCCATCACCCTCCTCCACCCCCGCCACTCACAGTCTACTTTCTGTCTCTATGAATTTGATGCTCTAATGGCCTCATATGGGTGGAACCATACACATTTGTCATTTTGTGTCTGGTTTATTTCACTCAGCATGATGTCCTGAAGGTTTGCCCAGGCTGTAGCAGGTGCCAGAATTTCCTTCCTTTTTTTACGGCTGAGTAATATTCCACTGTATGGACACCACACATTTCCTTTCTTCATGCATCTGTGGATGGGCGTTTGGGTTGTTTCCACCTTTTGGGTAGTGTGAATTAGGCTGCTGTGAACATGGGTGTGCAGATATTTTTTCAAATCCCTGCTTTCAGTCCTTTTGGGTAAATGCCCAGAAGTGGGATTGCTAGATCTTATGGTAATCCTACGTCAGTTTTTTTTCTTCTTGAGACTGGGTCTTGCTCTGTTGCCTAGGCTGGAGTGCAGTGATGTGGTCACAGCTCACTGCAGCCTCAACCTCCTCTGACTAAGCGATTCTCTCACCTCAGCCTCCCAAATAGCTGGGAGTGCAGGTGCACGCCACCACACCTGGCTAATTTTTGTATTTTTTAGTAGAGATGGGGGTTTTGCTGTATTGCCCAGGCTGGTCTTAAACTCCTAAGCTCAAGCAATCCACCCGCCTCAGCCTCCAAAAGTGTTGAGATTGTAGGCGTGAGCCACCATGCCTGGCTTATGTTAAGTTTTTGATTGAGCCTGAGGTTTTATCTGCATCAGAAGTCACTCTTGTGGCTGCCTTGTGTTGTACCCACTTGCCGGTCAGTAGCACAATTGCAACCCCCAAGGAAATCCACAGGAGGAGAAACATGTGTGGCATTAGGACAATCCCGTGCCTAGAAGGGACACGGTGGCAAGGCTGCGTCGTGGGAGTCACCTTTCCCTGTTCTGTTCTCATAACCTCTGAATTCTGCCACTTGTGACCCAAGGAGGGGGTATCTCTCTGAGCCCAGGAAATCCAGATCTGTCAATTTTGGGAAGTCAGAAATAGGCTGGTCTGGTGCTGCGCCAAGGGTGGAAAAGGAGACCATTCCCGGAGGCATTGCTCGGCGCGGCCGCGCTTGCTAAGGGTAACCGTTTGCCTTCCAAGTTCAAGCCCATTTCTCTTCCTCCTCTGCTTTTAGGCACTTTTCCCAATTGACTACCTCATTGACCAGTTAAGTAATTCAATTTGCACTCTGTAAAAATAAAGCACTCAATAAAAACCCTATGTTTTTCTCAATTATTCCCATCAATACCACTTAACCCCAGCCAAGTTTATTTTCTGATTTTTCATTTGACCATCAAATAGGCCTTCTGGGCATCCACTTTGAGTCCTGCAGCAGCTATGACGTCAGGCGGCTGCTGTGTACCTGGCTGTGGGTTAGGCTCCTTGGGTGGACCAAGGACACACACCCAGGGGTTTTCTGGCTTTGAGGACCCCAAACTGGCACAGGGGCTCTTAGCTCTCTCTGTGCCCTAGACTCCTGCCCATCCCAATCCTGGAGAAGCTGATGAAACTTTCTCAGAATGAGGATTTTATAATTAGCATAAAACAAAGTATAGATCCAGAGGAAACCAATTTCATGGCAATGAAGTTATCAAAATACAGTTTTAGTATTTCTTCAGTAACACTTCCGTAAGAACTAGCAGCAGGTGTGATGATTTCCATAGTTTTGAAGTTGTGCTGAGTGTAAGCCATACTTTGAGATCGATAACAACTGTGATCTGGTCTTGGAGATAGCTGTGATTTCTGTTGGTGACACTCAGGTACTGATGATACATTTGTGACTTGTTGCCTACTTCATAATGGAGGAAATGCCTAATTTCAGCTGGGGCTGGTTGAAAACAAAGAGGCCATTGTTTCTGCATCCAAGTTCATGGGTTCCTGAAGAAACAGCAGGCAGAGAGAATCAGGAGCATGTAGAAATAATGCCCTGAGGCCGGACGCGGTGGCTCACGCCCGGAATCCCAGCACTTTGGGAGGCAGAGGCGGGTGGATCACGTGAGGTCAGGAAGTTTGAGACCAGTCTGGGCAACATGGTGAAACCCCGTCTCTACTAAAAATACAAAGAAATTAGCTGGGCATGGTGGCAGACGCCTATAATCCCAGCTACCCGGGAGGCTGAGGCAGGAGAATTGCTTGAACCTGGGATGTGGAGGTTGCAGTGAGCTGAGATCACGCCACTGCACTCCAGCCTGGGTGACAGAATGAGACTCCATCTCAAAACAAAAACAAAAACAAAAACAAAAAACAAAAAAACAAAAACACCATGCGAGGTAGGACTCGGCTGGAGGGATGAGATGGGGACAGATGGACCCCATGGGAATGATGCATCCCTCTGCAGTCCTGTCCCCTCTGCCCTGCCCCAGTGTCCGCGTCTTCCCCAGGCCTCCTCTCTGGTCTCCTCCAGCCCACTAAGGGTATGGACTCCAGGGGCTCAGGGGCTTTGGTCTGTTTCATTCCCTGTTGCTCCCCAAGCGCCTGGTGCTTAGTAGATGCTCAGTAAACATCCGAGGACTTCTGAAAGGAGGAGCTAGCAGGAGGTCATGGATCCTGAAGCTCAGAGGCCTAGCTTTCCTGCTGGGGAATCTGGGGAGAGTCGAGTCCCTCTGTCCTCGCAAAGCTGGTAAGTGAGGATCTGGGCTCCCTGGCCCACTGCCGGCTCCACGAGTAACCTGGGAAGCTCTTTAACGCACTAATTAATCTCCACCCCGTGGGGTGGGGATTATGGCACATATCTGCAGAGAAAAGAGCTGGCTGCCAGAGAGACAGACAGATTTGTTTCTTGCCTGAGAGGAGTCCTGGGCAGAGGGGAAGCAGTCTAGCAGCTGCTGACTCATGGTCGTGGCTGTGCAGCCAGGTCCTGGTGACACCCACGCCTCCATGGTGGGGCCACTGGGTCAGCCAGGAGCCAGGGTACTCCGTGGTGAGAAAACACCCATTCCCAAATTGAATTAGGGCATTTAAATAGCATCCTTGATGATCCCAGCCTCATCTCACCCAGTAAAACAAAACAAAACAAGACAAAACAAGAAACCCATGAGATGGGTTTGCTCAGCTTTCAACAAAGACAAATGACTCTGGGGTAGGTTGAACCATGGGAGGGCTTTCCCAGGGGAGAGCAGGATTCGAGAAACCTGGGCTTTCTGACGGAAATGACTTTGCAGCATCACCCACCTGCTCGCTCACTCATCCATCTATCTACAAACCAGCCCCGCACCTAGCATCACCCACTGCTAACGTGCTCATCCATCCATGTACACGCCAGCCCTGTGCTGAGCCTTCTCTCTGGGCCAGCTTCAGAGGAATCACCAGTTTCTGAGTTCTCAGGGGGCCTTCTAATGGAGGGAGCCCCGAAAATGGCCTTTGTCCACATGTGGGGCCTCGCTTTTCATTCTTTGTCTGTGAATGTCTTTTCTTCCAATCCACATCCACATGTCCCTTTGAGGAGGGCTGGAAAGGTGCAGTGCTGAGCTGTGTCTGGGAAGGCTTGCTGCTGGCCCCTCCGAGCCCCTCCCGCCCACACAGCCTGGGCCGGGAGCCGACGTGAGTCACCGGGCTGCTCTCTGCGTTCACCCAGCGCCTGGCCAGGGCCCAGCTGCTGGGCTGGAGTGTGGCGGCCACCGTGGCCAGACAATTCAGGCTCCTGGAGGCGGGCAGGTTCAGTGGGCTGCCCCGAGCTCTGAGCTGGGGCCGGCTCCCCAGTCCTCCAGGCCTGGGTTCCCTCATCTGCACTGGGGCTGGCAGGATCCCTCCTTATGGCACATATAAGTAAAGGTACAGGGAGCAGGGCAGATGTCTAGCGATGCAGGAGCGAGCTTCTTCAGTCCCAGGGAAGACTGCACTGTTGTCCCCTAATCAGAATGTGCCTTCTTTCTCTAGGGGGATTTTATGTGGTTCCAATTTCTTCCCATTTCCTGAATAGTTTGCTAAAGTGGAACAAAGCCCAGCATATTTCATGAACATTCAGCGACTCCAGTTTACTTTTAAAGAAAGTATTTCTCGTTGACATCTGGTTTTTCACAAGTTTCCTGATATGAATTATTGCCTGGAATTCTCACCTCTAAGATCAAGTCAGAATTTCTTTCCATCTTGCCTGTGGCCGAGCAGAGGGCTGGGCAATGACGGGGAAATCCAAAACCCGGGAACTTCTGGGACTTGTCTGGGGCGGGAAGGGAGTTTTCGGGCGCCTTCTCCCAGGATCCCACCTCCCCCAGTGTCCCTTGGCCCTGGGTGGGAGCCAGCTTGGCCTATGAAGGCAAAGAAGATCAGCTGGGGCCCACCTTCCTGTCTCAGGAAGGCAAAGAAGACCACCGAGGCGGCCCCCAGCTCCCTCCCTGGCCTGGCCTCCTCACCCCCTGGGACATGCAGAAGGGGCTTGGTGCTGGCCATCTTGGCTTCTGAGCTGGGGCAGGTGGGGGTTAGAGACCGTCCACGGGGCATGTCGGGACTGAACTCGCCTTGCCCCCAGCCCTCCAGCCCCCACAGGGTTTCTACTTCCTATGGCATTTCCAAATGGCCTCTGGTGGGCACTGTGTGCTGAAGACTTTGGGGATTACTGGCAGGCAGGGGATTGGCGGGGAGGGAGGCAGGGCTGGTCTTCTGCCCTCTGCCCTTTCTTTCTCTGCAGACACATTTTCTAAGACCCCCTGTGTGCCAGACTGTGTGCTAGGCACACTGGACAGACTAGTGAATGATTCCCTTTGTACACCCCGGCAGCCGCAGGCAAGGGATGACCACGGCTGTTTCAAGGGCGAGAGGCTGCAGCTCCATCCTCTGTCTGCCCCAGTCCTGGTCCCAGCGGGATGCCAGGGCTTGGCTTGGCTTGGCTTGGCTCTGGTTGTGTCTCCCTCAGCCCTCCCTTGCATAGGGTCCCCCAAGTTTTTCTAGGGGATGCACTGCCTTGTCTCCTGCTCACCAGGCACCCCTCTCTCTAGTCCTATAGGGGAACCCTGCAGAGAGCTGCCTCTGCCCCGGGCCCTGGTCCGAGTCTTCTGAGCACAGAGAGGGACTCTGAGAGGCTGCATGACCTGTTTGCAAGGCCAGCCTGGTCTGTGTGACGCCAACCTGGCTCACCTAGCCCTGCTGGGGGGTGGGCAGCGTGTGGAGGGCCCCACCTTTCCAGCAGACAGCCTGGCCTGCCTCAGGGGGCCCCTGCCTGCGTCCCTCACCCCGGACCACACTTCTGCCCTCCATGGAGGGAGCCCCTCTGCTCTGCTGCCTCCTGGCTTCATGTGGCCCTGCAAGCTGCAGACCTCGTGAAACTTCATCTTTCTCTTCCCTAGGAGGGAAAGGACACTGAACTGGCCTTGTTGTAGATGGGAGCACATCACATGTGGAGGTCTTGCCCCGGTGCCGGACAGCCAGCATATGCTCAGATGCCCCCTCCTCAGCTGGCTCTGTCACCCTGTCCTTCAGCGCCCGAGAGCACGCCCCGCCCCCGTCTGTGAGGACTTGCTGCTGTGCCGCTCACCTTGGGCCTTGCTTGTCTTCATATCTTTGTATCCCAGGGCTCGGACTCCATCCCAGCTTCTGGATGGCCTGGCCCATTCTGGGGTCTTGAGATACTTGTGGCCTCTGGGGTGGGAGGACTTGGGAGGCTGTGTAGAGAGTCAGGCCAGGCACCTCTCTCTTTAGGAAGCTACCAGCATCCCCTTCCGGAAACGGTCCCTGCCGGGACCCCAGCGTGAGGCTGGCTTCTGTGGCCGGCTCCATGGTGCTGAAGCCTATCCCCTTCGTAGACTGTTTTTGGTGGGTGGGCTCGTCCCCTTCTCGACTGCATGTTTGGAGCAGTCAGGCACAGAGTTCCTGAAGTGCAGGTGCTGATCTTTGAATTTTGAGATCACTTCCAATCTGTTTTTTTTTTTTTAATCTTTTCACTCACCTCCCTGCTGTGGGGTCGGGTTTTTGGCATGATCAGAGAAGGGACGAAGACCAGGCAGAACCTACCGACCAACCATGAGTTTTTGTTGACATCATGGATTGCTGACATCTACAGGGCTTTGGCCCAAATTTGTGTTTGCCCCAGAGAGCATTTTGGGAGGTGTTCTTGGAGCGACTCACGTATTTAGCAGTGAGCTATGGCTCTGGGCCAGATCCTCTGCCGGGGGAAGGGGTGAAGTCCATGGTTGGGACCGAGCATGGTCCATGTCCTGGTGAGGTTACAGCCCTCTGGGACGGGAGCAGATGGTGACTTGGGGGCCCCAGGGCAAGAGCCCATGTCGGGGAGGCTATGAAGGATGCATGTGTGATGGGGGCCTCTGACTGGGGTGGCATCAGGGAGGGTCTCTCAGAGGAGGTGGCATTCCCCAGAGAAGGACGTCATCAGCCTTGTGTGGGGCCAGGTGGGTGGGGACGTTTGTGGATAATGTGAAGGCTGGGCCCCCGGTCATCTTTGGCGCCCACCCACTCACTTCCTCTGTGTGCTGAGGGCTGGGCTTTCTACCCTTGACCCTTATTATCACCATTATTTAAAATAGAGGCGGGGCTTCTCTGTGGCTCAGGCTGGAGTGCAATGCTGCGATCTTGGCTCACTGCAGCCTCCAACCCCTGGGCTCACGCCCTCCTCCTGCCTCGGCCTTCCGAGTAACTAGGACTATAGGCACGCGCTACCATGCCTGGCTAATTTTAATTTTTTTGTAGAGATGAGATCTCGCTGTGTTGCCCAGGCTGGTGTTGAACTCCTGGGCTCGAGGGATCTATCCACCTTAGCCTCCCAAAGTGCTGGGATTACAGGTGTGAGCCGCCATGCCTGGATCAAACGCTTGACCTTGATGCAGTGCCCAAGATGGTTGGCTGCAGGTGGGTGGTTGGTGACAATCCCAACTCTGCTGCTAACAGCTGCCTTGCCTATGTTCTGAGAGTCAAGTCTTCCCCTGTAAAATGCAGGTGTATGGTGCCCACCTGATGAGACTGATGTGGCTGTGATACAATGAGGGCAAAAGTGCTGGGCACCGAGCTTGCACCAAGCAGTGTCCACTTCTCTTATTCCAGGAAGGAGGCCCAGTCATCCATCACCTACCAACCCCCAGCATTCATTCCTGAGCCCCCAACAAGAGAAGCTTTTGGGAAAGGCAGGCAGGGGGTAGTCAGCCAGCTGCCAATACCTCAGTGACCCCACAGGGCTCTTCTGGGAGTGGAACGGTGACCTGGCCTGGGTGGAGTGGGCCCAGGCTCCACTGCTCCTTGGAATGCCTGAGGGTTTGTAAGCAGGGCTGAGTCATGGACACAAAATCACTTGTGCAAGAAATTTTTGCATTTTTGCATTTTTTTCTTAAGTCAATAAATTCTGACTTTGAGTTCTCATTCTACTGCAAGAAGCAAAAATTTCGCTTAAACCTTCCTGCCTGGAGAAATTTGGAAAAGCTTCTCAGAGGTGGCGGGAGGAGCAGGAGAGCGGGAGGGAGGGAGGGAGGGAGGGAGGCATTGCCAGGGCGCAGACCAGAGCTGTGGCAGAGTTCAGGGATGGCAAGAAGAGCCAGGAGGGAGCGTCCACGACGGGGGGCAGGCCATGGCGCTGGGACGGTCACTCCCTGACATTTTTCAGGATACCATTGATTGATTGATTATTTATTTATTTATTTCGAGATGGAGTCTCACTCTGTTGCCCAGGCTGGAGTGCAGTGGCGCGATCTCCGCCTCCTGGGTTCAAGCAATTCTCCTGCCTCAGCCTCCTGGTAGCTGGGATTACAAGCACCTACCACCACACCTAGCTAATTTTTGTATTTTTGGTAGAGATGGAGTTTCACCATATTGGCCAGGCTGGTCTCGAACTCCTGATCTCAAGTGATCCCCCTGCCTCGGCCTCCCAAAGTGCTGGGATTACAGGTGTGAGCCACCATGTCCGGCCTAGGATGCCTTTTAAAGACAGATTGTCCACGTGAAGTTCCATCAAGGACATACAGACCATTAGGGAAGATGCAGGTGTGACAAGGTGGGGGCCCCTGTGAGAGGAGGGGTTGGGGGCTCCCATGAGAGGAGAGGCGGGGGGCCCCTGGGAGAGGAGGGGTGGGAGCGGGCCTCACTCTGTCGGCTAATCCCTCATCCCTTTTACTCTCTCCCCACCTGGAGGAAAATGCCATAGAAGTGTTTTTTGTAGTAGTGGAAGGAGATCGTGAATGTTATCTGGTGTCTGTTTCTGCATAATTCTATCAGGAATGTTCCCAGTCATCTGTGTGGCTAAATCCCCTCGGTGGCCTGAATTTCCATGGCTGCCCCACCCCAGGTCCCTGTTGATACAGAGGATGGGGAGAGATATTCTTCTGAAAAGAAAAGATGGGAGCGGAGTGTAGGAGGGCTGCAGAGGAAGTCTTTCCTTGACTCTGCCTTTGGAAGTTGCCTCCTCTCACCTGGCCCTCTGGGGTTCTCCTCTCTTCCCAGACCCTGCCGGAATTGTAGCCCACACGGCACAGGTCAGCATGTGGTTGTGCAATGGCTGGTTGGGCAGATCTTCCCAGTTGGTTTAAAGTTACTGGAGGGCGGGGAACACGTTCCTGTTTCCTGTCTCTGCCTTTGTGTCTCCTGCAATGCTGTGTACAAAAGGATGTGTTAAGCAGGACTTTGGTGGCAGGTCACAGAAACCCCACTCCAACTAGCTGAAGTGAAAAATGGGAATTCCTAAGCTCACAGAACCAGAATGTCCAGGGGGCTGGCTTCAGGCATGACTGGCTCTAGGCGTTCTAACATAGGCACCAGGCTTGGTTCCTTGTCTGTCTCCATCTCTGGGTTCTGTTTTCACTGCATGTTGGCTTCCTTCTCAGGCAGTCCTCCCAGGTCCTGGTCCATGGGAAACAGGCTAAAGAGAGTTGCTGTTTGTCCCTGCTCCTGAGGGAAGCCAGAGCTGAGGCCCCCTGGCCTACTTGGGTCACATGCCCACACAAACCCATCATGTTGGCCAGGGAGCTGAAACGCTTCCATTGCCTGGCTAGGCCCACACACCCAACCCTGCAGCCAGGGCGAGGAGTTTCGTCTCCAGATGAAGATCAAGAGCTGTTACTGGAAGAAGAGAGTGCAGGTTCTGGGCAGGAGCCCATGGAGGGCAGGGTGAGGAGTTGGAGGAGGGCTTAGCAGCAGTCTTGAACCTCTTCTGGTCTCGTCATTGGGGGGTCATCTGCCCACCTGGGGGGAACAACCCGTGGCCATTGGAAAATACCCTTCCCACCTTGTGCTGCCCGGGTCTTCAGAGGTGTCAGCTCTGGGCGGTGTGACTTCTACTGGAAAAGGTGGCAGAGCCACTGCCATTCATGTGGCAGGGCCACACCCATCCCCTCCTTCTGCTTTTATGGTTTGCTGTCCATAAATCCCCAATCCTCAGAACTGCTTAAGCCATATCCACAATAATCTGGCTCATGAGTAAACACAACCCCTGGCATGTGGTCCCACCGCCATCTCGCCTGTGGGCTGTGGCACCTCCTCCATGGGTGCTTGTGCCATTTTTAGTCACTGTGCCCATGGAGCCACTACAGTGACGGGTTATGGGATGAAGGGCACTGGGAGGCACAGAGGCAAGCTGTCTTGGGAGAGCTGGGACCTTTGTGTCCAGGGCATGGAGGGCAGCCTGGGGAGGGCTGGAGATGGCCCTATCACATGGTGTTGTGGACTGAAGGCAGTCAGGGAAATGGTGCAGACAGCAAATGGTGCAGACCACCGATGGTGGTTGTCGTAGCCTTGGAGGCGGAGGTGCTCTGTGGCCACACTCATTCAGTGTTGATCTGAGTCTTCCAGTGCCCTCAAGCTTGCTGCCCCAATCTGAACCCAAATAAGTCAAGAACCACTGTGTTAACTCAGGGACTGCTGGCATTGCAAGGACCTCGGGAGCCTCGCTGGGGTCTCATTTTACAGATGAGAAAGCCGAGGCCCAGGAGGTGAGTGGGTTGGGCAGAGTTCTCCCCCTGGGAACAGCAGAGCTGGGTCTAGAGCCAGGTCTCAGTATTCTCAGGCCAGTCCCCTTTCCAGATGGAGACCTAGAGAGACTGGCCTCCCAAGGGCCCACCCCTGGAAAGGTACTTGGATGCCACGAGCCAGCTCTGGCTGTAGTGGACTCAGCCACATGTCTCCAGGAGCTGGGCTGGGCTGGAAGCTGGCTTCCTGGGGCTTTATTCCATGTCCCTGCCCCAGAGCTGTGAGGTTCCCTGCAGCGAGTGAGCCATGGGTACAGGTTGGGTCAGCTGGGAGTGTTTGTTTTTGTGCCTTTGCCTCCAGCCTCCAGGTCTGGGGTGTCTGTTTACAGGAATTGTGGGAGAGAAGGTGAGTCACAGTTGGGGCTCCTCTTGTCTTCCAAAAAGGAAGCCAGCCTTTGCTTGCAGCTCTCCCCACTGGGGACAGCTGGTGGGTGGGGAGGCTGCTGTGGCTTGAAACCCTCCTAAACTCAATGCTGAAATTTAATTGGCAATGTAACAGTATTGGGAGGTGGGACCTTGAAGAAGTGATTAGGTCATGAGCTCTCTGCCCTGGGGAATGGATTAATGCTGTTGTTTCAGGAGTGGGTTAGTTCTCATGGGAGTGGGATCCTGATGAGGGGATGAATTTCAGCTCCCCTTTTCCTCTTTCTCACCCTAGCCTTTCTGCCTCCCACCATAGGATCATCCTCACCAGATGCCAGTGCTGTGCTCTTGGACTTCCCAGCCTCCAGAACCAAATAAACTTCTGTTCTTTATAAATGACTCAGTCTGTGGTATTCTGTTACAGAAAGAGGTCTAAGGCAGAGGCTGGGCAGATTCATTCAACCCAGTGCCAAAATTCCACATGGCACTGACTGCGTGCAGGAAGGTTGCTAAGGAGTAGCCCTGGGATAGACTCACAGGATCTCAGTTCCCAGGGTGCTCATAGGTCACTGTGTTCCAGCTGGGATACCTCCAGTGATGGGAGGCTCACCCCTTGTAGAGACAGCACATTCCGGCATATCTGGTTTCTGCAGAGAGCCAGTGAGGTCAGCACCTAGCTGAGGCTGTGGAAAGAAGGTGATGAAGCTGCCAGTGGGGCTGCTTTTCTGGTGGACACGAAGGACGCCTGTCTTTGCTGTTGGGTTTCCAGGCTGTAGGTCTGTTCTGCTCATGGACTTGAGGGACAGTGGGGTTGTGGGTGTGGTGCCAACTTTGCTTTATTCCAGGGTAATCTTTAGAAAGTGAGAGGTGACAGCGTGCTGGCAGTCCTCACGGCCCTCGCTTGCTCTCGGTGCGTCCTCTGCCTGGGCTCCCACTTTGGCGGCACTTGAGGAGCCCTTCAGCCCACCGCTGCACTGTGGGAGCCCCTTCCTGGGCTGGCCAAGGCAGGAGCCCACTCCCTCAGCTTGCAGGGAGGTGTGGAGGGAGAGGCGCGAGCGGGAACCGGGGCTGTGTGCGGCGCTTGCGGGCCAGCTGGAGTTCCGGGTGGGCGTGGGCTTGGAGGGCCCTGCATTCCGAGCAGCAGGCCGGCCCTGCTGGCCCCGGGCAAGGAGGGACTTAGCACCCGGGCCAGCGGCTGTGGAGGGTGTACTGGGTCCCCCAGCAGTGCCAGCCTACCGGCGCTGCGCTCGATTTCTCACCGGGCCTTAGCTGCCTTTCCGCGGGGCAGGGCTCGGGACCTGCAGCCCGCCATGCCTGAGCCTTCCCCCGACTCCGTGGGTTCCTGTGCTGCCCGAGCCTCCCTGACGAGCGCGACCCCCTGCTCCACGGCTCCCAGTCCCATCGACCACCCAAGGGCTGAGGAGTGCGAGTGCATGGCGCCGGACTGGCAGGCAGCTCCACCTGCAGCCCCGGTGCGGGATCCACTGGGTGAAGCCAGCTGGGCTCCTGAGTCTGGTGGGGACGTGGAGAATCTTTATGTCTAGCTCAGGGATTGTAAATACACCAATCGGCACTCTGTATCCAGCTCAAGGTTTGTAAACACACCAATCAGCACCCTGTGTCTAGCTCAGGGTTTGTGAGTGCACCAATGGACACTCTGTATCTAGCTGCTCTGGTGGGGTCTTGGAGAACCTGTGTGTCGAAACTGTGTATCTAACTAATCTGATGGGGACGTGGAGAACCTTTGTATCTAGCTCAGGGATTGTAAACGCACCAATCAGCACCCTGTCAAAACAGGCCACTCAGCTCTACCAATCAGCAGGATGTGGGTGGGGCCAGATAAGAGAATAAAAGCAGGCTGCCGGAGCCAGCAGTGGCAACCCGCTCGGGTCCCCTTCCACACTGTGGAAGCTTTGTTCTTTCGCTCTTTGCAATAAATCTTGCTACTGCTCACTCTTTGGGTCCACACTGCTTTTATGAGCTGTAACACTCACCACGAAGGTCTGCAGCTTCACTCCTGAAGCCAGAGAGACCACGAGCCCACGGGGAGGAACAAACAACTCCAGACGCGCCGCCTTAAGAACTGTGACACTCACCGCAAAGGTCTGCGGCTTCATTCTTGAAGTCAGTGAGACCAAGAACCCACCAATTCCGGACACAAAAGCAGCAGTGAGGGGAGGTGGGCTTGCCTTGTATGTGGGAATGGTGAGCTCCACCGCCCAGCCCAGCACTGCTCCACCTGGGGTCTTCAGTGGTAGACGTAGGGGTCCATGGCCACAGACAATTCACTCAAGGCCACATCTTCTTGTTTTAATCCTGTGGCTGCTGTAACAAACTGCACAAACTCAGTGGCTTGAAGCAACACAGCTTCATTGTCTTATGGTTCTGGAGGCCAGAAGTCCAAACTCAGTGGTGTGGGCTAAGGTCAAGGTGTCAGTGGGACTGGCTCCTTCAGGAGGCTCCAGGGGAGATTGCCTGTCTTTGCCTTTTTCAACATCCAGAGGTGCCCACATGCCTTGCCTCATGCTCCTTACTCCCATCCCTCCAATCTCTGCCTTCGCGTCTCCTTCTCTGGCTCTGACCCTCCTGCCTCCCTCTTTTAAGGACCCTCCTAATGACTTTAGGGCCACCAGACAATACAGGCTCCTCTCCCTTCCCTAGAGCCTTAATCACACCTGCAACGTTTCTACAAGGGAACCCATGCACAGGTTCTGGGATTTGGATGGGGATGTCTTCTTGGGGGCTGAGATCAGCCTGCCCTGCCCTCGAGCCGCAAAGCCAGTTGAGATGGTGGTTTCCATGGTTCCTCTCCCGGGGATGCAGAAGCGGAGTGACTCTTCCAATTCTCCGTCCGCACTGCGTGGCGGTTCCCGTGGCTCTTCTGATCCCCCATCCGCACTGTGTGGCGGTTCCCGTGGCTCTTCCAATCCTCCGACCGCACTACAGCTGCGCTCCTTTGGATGCTTGGGTCTGGCCTCACTTCTTAGCCTAAAGTCTTTCAGAGCAAGTCCGGCCCTGCTCCATGGGGCTCCTCTTTCCCCTTCACCTACTCCATGCTGGCTGCTTGCTGCAGCCTGACCAGCCTCATTGGGTCCCCTCCTTGTCAGGTTCCTCCGCCCGGCCTGGAACCTTCCATCTCACCCCCGCCTTTCTGGCGCTTGCCCCACTGCCACCCCTCCATGAGACCCGAGGACCCCGCAGCTTGCTGGTGCCCTGGCCCTCAGGCATCACAGTGCTCAGTGATGTCTGTGGGGTGGATGAGTGGATGGATGAGTGGACACTGAGCTGCAGACAAAGGAACATTATTTTTAAAGCACATGTAACCAACTCGCCTGGCTCGTGGCCTCTGGGTCCATCCTGCCTGCTGGTTCCAGGGGCCAGAGCCTGCAGCAGGAGGCTCGCAGGCTACATGCTTTTACTTAGGATGAAGGTTTTAAAGCCACCTGGAAGCAAAATTTGGCAAAACTTCCACCACTCTCAAACCAGCAAATATTTACTGAGCATCTATGAGTGGAAGGCAGTTCCCCAGGGTGGGGCAGAGTGGTGCGGCCGCCACACCCTCCACAAAAATGCCCACAGCTGGGGCCTTCGGCTCTCCTTGACTCGTTATGTAGCTGTGTGTGGGGGTGTGTGACAACACGCACACACAAAGAGGAAAAGTCTCCAACTGTTAAATACAGCGTGAGGATGAAGCCACGTGGGAAGCCTGTGGGGTGAAGCTCCGACCTGTGGGAGCCGTGGGGACCTGAGCTGGGCTCATAGGGGCAAGGTTCTTGAAGGGATTGTGTATTTTTAGGGTGGCGAGGGTCGAGAGTCCAGGAGAGGGGACAGCTGTGCTGGCCGGGGTCACAGTGCACGGTCCCAGGCTGCCTTTCCCACTGTGCAGCTGGGTGATGCTGGACAGGCCATTGCACCTCTGTGGCCGGGCTTCCCCAGGTATGCTGGCGGGGGGTGCTCTTCATGCATGTGCGTGAATGGCCAGGGTGGGCAGAGCTGCCGGATGGGTTGGGGGTCAGGAGGGGCCCTCCTGAAGCCAAAGTTTATCTTTGGAGGTTTCCGAGTGGGCGGACTTGGCCCGAGTAGAAGGTCAGATTGAGCAATTAGAGAAATCCCCAACGAGTAGATCCTGCATTCCTCACTGCACTTGGCCGGCTCACCTCCCATCCAGGCAGTTGTCACCTCCTATTTGTGCTGCGTAAATGGATTCTAATCGCCTTCTTCTCCTCGATCACTTCAAGAATGGCCTCGGTAGCCATAAAGGAAATTAGTTTCAGGTGGAAGCCTTATTTTTACCGTGGCAGAGACCAAACTGTTAATTACCTGGAAATTGCATGAGGATTTTTGCCTGAAAAGTTTTTTTCTTGGGTTTAACTTTTCATAGATATTAATTATAGATATTGGCTTTAGCCCACTGAAATAATTCCTCTCTCAAGAGATTAAAGGCATTTAAAAAATGATTCCTTGAGAAGCCTACTGCATATTCTTTGTCTCTATTTATGCTCAGTGTATGGGATGGAAACAGGACATTGGGGATGTGAGCACGATTAGATGCCTTTTCTGCATTTAACTAAAGATTGATTCCAGACTACATGTGTGTTTTCAGATCTCTGAAGCCAGTGGGAATTTGAGGGCAAAGGGCAAGAAGGCAACCCTTCAATATCATAACGATGAATCCCGATAGGAATGTCAGGACTTGCCTCTATGATGCCCGTACTATGCCACCTTAGTTCATGTCCGGGAAATGCTGTGCTGTGGCTTTCCCAGCACACTCAAGATAAAACCCAAACTCTTTCTCTGGCCCTTTCTCATTCCACAGATCTTACTGCACTGCCCGCAGGCACTCTGCCCTGAAACACAGTGCTCCCGTGCACTCGGCCATGCTGTGTTCTTGTAGCTTCTGGAATATGCTAGGCCCTTCCTACCTCAGAGCCCATGCCTGGGTGACTCCCTCTGCTTGGCATGCACAGCTGGCTCCTACTCATTTTGGGGACCACTATGTCTTTCTTCTCTGCACCACCTATGCCTCCTGCTTGTTTCCTTAATTATATTCTGCTAATTGGATTTAGCTGATCTTTTTGTCTATGCTGTGTGTGTGTGTGTGTCTGTTCATGTCTATGAGAAATAACAGCTTTCTGAAGGCAGAGACAATGTCAGACTTCAGGGCCATGTTGAGTTTGAGGTAACCCATGCGACAGCCTGTGTCAATATCCCCCAAACCCAGACTCTGGTTTCTCTAACTTGGCTTTAGAATATCTGCTATCTAGGCCGCATTCTAAGGAGCCTGGTTTAAGGGGTCTGGCCTGCAGCCTGGGCACCCAGATGATTCACTGTCGAGGGCTGTGGATGAGTCCATTCTCACGCTGCTATAAGGACATACCTGAGACTAGGTAATTTATAAAGGAAAGAGGTTTAATTGACTCACAGTTTGGCATGGCTGGGGAGGCCTCAGGAAACTTACGATCATGGTGGAAGGGGAAGCAAGGCGACTTCTTCACAAGGCGGCAGGAAGAAGTACAGCAGGGGAAATGCCAGATGCTTATAAAACCATCAGATCTCGTGAGAACTCACTCACTAATCCGAGAATAGCATGGGGGAAACCACCCCATGATCCAACCACTTCCTGCTGGGTCCCTCCCATGACACGTGGGGATCGTGGGAACTACAATTCAAGATGAGATTTGGGTGGGGACACAGCCAAACCATATCAGGCTGGGAATTTGGAGGGCCTGTGGGTGGCCCGCAGGGCAGGAGGACCCTGATGTGCAGGGCACAGACCTTGCCCGCAGCAGCCGCACTGTGAGAGCCTCACACTTGCACCCCTGTCTTCTGCACCCTCGTGTTCCACCGTGATGACTCCATGTCGTTGTGAAAATAAAGGAGTGTTGGGTTTGCTGGATTTAAGAGGCCAGGAATTTGTGTCATGGATTTCAGAACTAGTTCCACCAAGAGTACATACAGTTTAGAACAACAGCTGCCGACTGACCCCTCAAAGCAGAAGACTTGGTTTTACTGGAGTTGGGCTGAGACTTCACATTCTGAGGCCTGAGCTGTCTGTGTGCTGGGCTGGTGGCAGGCAGCTCTGATGTGCGAGGCGGCCCTGCACTGAGGGAGCCAGCTGGGTGCCATGGGGCCTAGTGAGGAGCTGTCCTCCTGGCCTCCCGAGGCATTAACCAAGGCTTGGGGGAGGGGGTGGGGGACGGCCACCCTCTCTCTAGTGTGTGGCATGAATTGTTTACGGGTGAGCTCCTGCCGCTGAGTGTGCAACATGGGGTCTAGGGGCCTCGTCTGAGTCTTCTCTGCACCCCACTACTGGATTCAAGGCATGGTGGAGTAATGGAAAGAAAAGGAATGAGTGGATGAAGTCCTGGCAGGGGGAGAAGGAAGATGCCATTCTCTTAATTCCTGATGCCAAGCAGGGCCAGATGGAGCCAGGGGCTTGCGTGATTTTCAAGCTGATTTCTGGAAATATCTAGTAAGCATTGGTTTAGATGGGTGAGGTTGATTCAGGCAAGGGGCTGCTGTCTAGCTCAGAGGGAGTGGGGACAGTTGATATTTCCCCAGTTTTGGAAAGTTCCATGTGTGGGGACCTGAATGAAGTGCTCGTGGCTCCCATTTCCGGCCCCATTTTGCACGCTGTGGGGTGGCCTCTCCAGGTGCGTCCCAGGTGTGAAACATGCCACTTTCCAGCTCCTTCCCAAGGCCAAGCTTGGTCACCGAGCAGTGGGAAGTGACTTGGGGATGAGTTTGTGAGAAATTTCCAGCACACCCCACGTTTAATTCCTTTTCTGTCTCCAGGTTGCCATAGAAAGAACATGATTAATTAAGCAGCACCCACACAGGTTGTTTAAAAAAGGAATGATTTTTCAAAACAAAGTAATGCCCCAGTGGTTTGTCAGAGAGAGAGAGGGAAGAAAGCTTTAATAAGCAGAATGCTGTTTAATAAATCATAATTATTTTTGTGGGCAAACGTGTCAGCTCAGTGACGGCACCCAATTAAACATACAATCATGTTGACTTTGCCCTTCATACTCACAGAGCCGACCATGCCCCTGTGGGTTGACAAGATGTCCCCAGGTTCTTGTGGGCAAATATTATCACCTTTCTTTCCCCTGAGTTTTTGATTTGATGTCCTTGAGGAGTTATTCGCAGACTTTGGTGTGTGTCAGAATCTCCTGAGGACTTGTTGTAAAGGTGAGATGGGAGCTCGCTGCAAACATCCCGGTCCCACCAGACCCTGGGCCTACGGGTGGACCCAGTGTCTGTAGTTTGAATGAGCTCTCTGGGTATTACATGCATATGTCCCCAGGTGAGCCTTTTTCAGGCTGCGTGACCAGCGGAACCAGAGACCGCCGTAGTGACCTTCTGTGTGGCTGGCGCTCTTCTCATTCAAGGTGTGCAAGAGCTGGAATTGAACTGGGGGCAGGTTCGGATTACCCCAAGTCACCCACCTCTGAGCAGAACTGTTGCAGCCACAGGGATGTCGGGTGGAGCAGTGGTTTGGCAAAATCCACCCAGCCCTTAACATGCTTTGGGCCCGTGAGGGCACCGGAGAAACAGCGAAGGAAAGACAGAAGCTTTCCCTCCTGAAGCCCACAGTCCAGGGATGGGAGGCAAAAGCCAACACTCATCTTCCAGAGCTGCTGGGCCGTGGAGCGGGCAGCTCATTCTGTAGGAGGCCCAGGCAGGCTTCCTGGAAGAGGAAGCACTTCACTGACTCTTGGAGAAAGATATTAAGTTAAGCATATATTTAAGGAGTATTTTCTGAGTGTTTGGCCCTGTGGTAGGAGGCACTGGTTCAATATGGACCAAGCCATTCAGATCCTTACCTTCACGGAGCTTATATTTTTTAGCATGGGAGAGAGACAGAAAACCTAAAAACAGTGAAACAAGTTCAGATGGGGCTGAGTGCTATGGAGAAAATGGAGCAAGTGATGACCCACCCGGGCCAGGGTGGATGGGATTGGCTTTGGAGCCCACCAGACAAGGGGAAAGGGCGTTTTGGGACCTCAGATGATGGAATGAACTGGGCATGTATGGGGGACAGAAAGTGTCATGTGACCCAGCAGTCCCCTCCTAGGCATAAACCCCAGAGAGACGAAAACCCGTGTCTCTGCTGCAGCAAGATTCATGGTACCTAAAGGTGAGACAACCCAAATGTCCAGCAACAGACACGGATGAACAAAATGTGGCCCATCCACGTGGTAGAATATTATTCAGCCATGGACAGGAATGGAGCTCTGACACCTGATACGTGATGAACCTTGAAAACAGGACACTCAGTCAAAGAAGCCAGCCACGAACAGCCACATACTGTATGGCTGCATGTCTATGGAATGTCTAGAATAGAGACAGCCATAGGGACGGAAAGCAGGTCAGTGTTGCTTGGGACTGGCAGAGAGCGGGGCATGGGGGTGGTAGCTAACGGGCATGGTGATGAAGCACTCGTCTAAAATGGACTGGTGGTGTGTGCGGGGGTCTGTGAATATGCTGACAGCCACTGGCTTGGTGCACTGGCTGGCATGCGAATGAGATTCCAGTAGAGCTGTTTCAAGAGAAGGGTAGTGCGGCCGGGGCAGAGGGCTGGTGCAGGGAGGGAGGCCACGTGCTGTGGTCAGGCTTCCCAGGCTGTGGCAGGAGAGAGCGGGAGGATCTGGAAAGGGCAGGTGTAGGGAGGGCTGGGGCGTACAGATCTGTGTGGGGTGTGGGTGCTGGGCACGGCAGCTGTGGTCTCCCTGGGGTGGTCATGGGGCTGGCCTGGGGAGGGTTTTCTGCAGAGGAGCTGCAGGGAGGCTGGAAACCATTCCTCTTCTCCCTCCACTCCACCTTGACTCATTCACTCAAGAACACGCAAAGACTTCTTTGCTTTTTTCAGGCAGGCCCTGGCTGCGTCGGTGGAGGGAGGGCTCCTCTGCCTGGATCCTAACTGGACCCCAGGATGCTGAAATCCCAGACTTCCTGAGCCCTGAATTTGCCAAGATTTGTATTGTATTAAAAACAACAACCAACTGAGCAACAAAAAAACCCAGACTCGTGTTCTGATGAAGGACGGGACTCATACTCGTTTTAGATCTTGCAAGAGGAAAGGCCTAAGGAAAAAGAAACTGGACATGACCCACATTCTGATTCCTCACAGATACCAATGGCCAGCTTTTGGTGCCTTCTCATTGCATTTTTCTTCTGTGCAAAGAAAAGGACCTTAGTGTATATGCGCACACACACACACACACACACACTCACACACAGAGTTTGGAATTATTCTTTGTGCACCTAATGTTATATTGTATGCATTTTCCTACCTTGGTGAAAATCCTTTGGAAAGGACAGGTGGCCACACGGTCATTTCTTTATTTTTGTATCACTGTGTCCTTGGAATGATGCTAATTTTTACATTATAAATAATTATGCTGATGTGCATTAACCCAATTAATACCCTTGGATACAACTCTTTATCTGTGTGTCTGGTGGTTTCCTAGGATGAATTCTCTCTGAAATGAAGTCACAAGGTCAAAAGTCAGGAATGGGGCGTGTACTCAGTGCCCATACGGATGTTCTCTAGACATGTCCACCAAGACTCCCCAGAATCACAGCATGGCCCGTGTGTGCTTAAGCTCTCAGTGCAGGTGCCTCAGGGGCCTCCTGGTGCCTTCCTGGGAAGGGCTGGGCTTGGGAAGGGCATCTGGGAAGATGCCTGGTCTGGCCTGTGGCCCACACCTGTCGCCTGTGCAGTTATCCACCCCTGGAATCTGACCCTGCCTGCCTCATTCTGAAGTCCATGCTGTTAAGTGGCTGTTAAGTGCTGTTAAGGCCCAGAGTCAGTCCTCTGGGCCTCAGTTTTCTCGTCTGTTCAGAGGGATGACTGATACCTACCAGGCACAGAGTAGGAACTCAATGGCTGTTGCATATTATTAATTGTATTAGCAAATTAAAATAGCAATGCAGAGAGGGTGGGGCTGCTGAGTGAGCTGGGGGTCCCAGGGCTGGTGGGGGAAGGCTGTGTGGCCTGGCGTGCTGGTTTCCAGGGCCCCTCTAGGCACCGCAGCAGGATGCAGATCCAGATCCATCTGCTGGGAAGTCTCCAGGAAGCTTGGCTCTGCCCAGGTGGCTTGGGAACCTTGCAGGGCTGAGCCCCAGGGGGCTGAGCCAGGCTGGGGAAGGAAGGTCTGACAACATTTAATTTTCTCCTTGAAATCTGCCTCTAGCTTAATCCTCCTCAAGTGTGAAGACAAATGCACCATTAAGGCACCAAACAGGGAGGTGGAGTGGCTTTTTAATAATTTGCGATGAGTGTTAAGGGTGAGAGGAGGCGGGGCTGGGACTGCCACCCCTGGGAAGCTGCAGCAGCAGGCTTTGGCCAAGTCGTGTCCTCTGGTCTCAGAAACCTCGCCATCTGGCCTTTTGCTTTGGTCAGCTGCTGCTTCTGCCCACACCTGTGACCCATGGTGGTCCATGGCTGGGGGAGTGTATTAGGTGCTACACACTTTTAAATAACCAGATCTTATGAGAACTCACTTCCTGTACAGTGCAAAGGAGGGTGGCACTAAACCATTCATGAGAACTCCATCCCCGTGACCTCCCCCCAGGCCCCACCGCCAACACTGGGGAATACAGTGAGGCTTGGGTGGGGACAGAGTCAAACCATATCAAGGAGGAGGAGGTGTGGCACTGGGTGGGGATCAGGGGCCCCTGTGGACCTCCCACTCCCTCCGATCCTTCCCCTTCCAGGACAGTCCTGGGGCTTGGTCCTCTCTCATGAGCTCACTGGGGGCCGAACGGACCTGGAGGACCCTGAGCTTCATTAATTATGAGTTGTTTTTGCCAAGGACATTTCATCTGTGACATCTTTGCTTTGGTGTAAACAGACCGGTCTTCTCTCTACCTCATGGAGAGTGATGTATGCAATGTATGTTCCATAAAATGCTTCCAAGGGAGAGAGAAAGAGAATGTGATCCAATTATACAAAATATGTTGGCAGACTCCTATTGATCCTTCAAAACCCTAATGCAGTATTGCCTCCTCCATGTAGACTTTCTTGATTACCCTGACAGAGTTACAGAGTTACTCCCATCTTCCCCTACCCGTGCTGTGCTGCACACACATTTCTGCTTCAGGGGAGGTCTCAGGGAGCTTTTATTTATGGTGGGAACTGTGGGTACTGTGATCGTGGCTATAGTCATGGCTCCTGGATGCCTGCGTCCAGCCCACTGGACTGTGAACTGTGAGCGAAGGGACCAAGTCCTCTTCATCTTTGTGTGCTGTACCCAGCCCTGCTCTTGGCTCAGAGCAGACCGGAATCGTTCTCTGTTGAATGCAAAGGAGCACTGAGAACAGCATTTTGCGAAATCCGAAGCATGACAGAAATGTTTACTGCATCACCTCATTGAACTCTTCCTCTGGCTTCTCCTCTCTCTGTTGTTCTGAACCAGCATGGCACGGCCAACGCTTGATGATGGCTGCAGTCCTGGGAAGGGGCTGGGACCGGGGCTCACTGCTGCTCACTTTGTGGTTCAGGCCCAGCTGGGGGTTGGGGGTGATTTCCACTTGAGCTCCAGTGTGGTTGCTGCTAGACTGGGCTGGAGCTGGTGCACGGGGGCTGCATGGATGTCTCTATCCGCACCCTGTGAGCTGGCCCACCAGGCTGTGCAGACATCTCTCTCTCTCCTCTTGTGCTCTCGGGGCCCCTGTGGTGGTTCTCTGCTGTGGACCAGTTGGGGCTTCCTTCCAGCGTGGTGTCCGTACAGCAGTGGGACTGCTGCCATGAGGCCTGTGCTGTGGCGAGGGGGTTCCTGCAGAGAAGGCAGAGGCTGTGTGGCCTTTTGGGTCCCAGCCTTGGAAGCCACAGAGTATCACTTCCACTGTGAACCTGTCAGAAGCCTGTCTGGGTTCAAGGGGAGGCAACAAAGGCCCTGTCTCTCACTGAGAGCAATGTCAAAGCACTTGGGGCTGTGTTTGAACTCCGCCACCGTGAGAAAACGTGGCTCCGGAGGGTCTGGACCCCCAAAGCAGCCTCTATAGCCTGGGGGCCTCTGATCTCCAGGGATGGCTTTCCTTGCTGCTGGGAGGGCTGGAAGCTGCAATGCCACCACTGAGGGAGTGTCTATGGTGGCAGGCACCAGGCATGCATTACCTTTTCTGCTCCCAGACCTGGGAGGTGGCCTCACTGAGCCCCTTTGGGACTGAGGCTTGGAGAGGTATGCAGCCAGCCTGAGGTCACAAAGCCCAAGGAGCAGAGCCTGGATTGGAACCTGGGCCTGTCTGACCTCAAGCCTGGCCTTGCTGGACCTCTGCGTGTCCTTCCAGGGCAGGAGCTGATGGAGCCCTGTTGAACTGCAGTGTGTGCCCCATAGCTCACGGTCAGTGCCGTTCCGTTTGCTCGAGGGTTAAGTCCAGACGTCTGTGACGGCCGGGTGAGTGGGGGTTGGGGGGAATGTATGAGGGGACTCATCCGGAACAGGCGGCGGGCAGAGGGGCTGTTTTTTCCAGGCACACTAACACACGCCATGCAAGACAAAGAAAACCCCGGCCCCTTCCCCCGAGGCCACTAATCCAGACCGCCATCTGTCCCCAGCTTTCATAGGCCACCTCCCTCAGAGTCACCGCTGAGGTTAAGATGCAGTGGCCCTGCGGCGGCTCGGTGTGGAGCTGTCACTGTGCCAGAGCTCATGGGCAGACCCTGCTCCGTTGGTGGGGGATGGAAGGGGGGCACGCCTGCTCCCCAGGCCACATCTTCAAGCACCGCCGGGAAGCACCAGGGCGTGGCCTGTTTCTGTTTTTGTTTTTTCCCTTCTGGGTCTCCTCATCTCTGGGATCACACGCACAAATTGAATGATGCCTTGCTAGCAAGTGAGTTCCTCGATGCCGCCATGTGGCTGAAGGGCAGTGGGGCCATCCCTGATGGTGCCACCGCGGTAGCAGCTGTGACCAGCACCCCTCACATTTCATCCACACCAGCACACCTGCTCTTATGCACCTGTGGGTACTCTTATGCACCTGTGGGTACTCTTACGCACTTGTGGGTACTCTTATGCACTTGTGCGTGCTCACACACATGCAGGAGGCCCTGCGGGACAGGAAGGAACATCAGGCTTGAGCAATGCTGGGTTGGAACCCAGAGGCCAGCAGTGCTTCAGGCCTCTCGAGACCTGCCAGGATAGGCTCCAGCCTGGCTCCACACCCCCACTTGCAGCCTGAGGCCTGGCTGAGGTCTGTGTTTCCCTCGCATCTGTGCTTATCACCGCTGGCCCTGGGTTCCCCTTTCCTGTGCTCTGGCTCTGATCCTCTCTGCATTAACCGAGGCGAGGGAGCCGCTTTCTTCTCGACTTCTCCAGAAAACTGCTGAGCGCCTGCTCCAGAGCAGACGTAGCCCTCATCACGTCCTCCACAGCCTCCACAGCAGCCTGCAGGTTGTGATCCTGTGCTCTTCTGGGGCCTTGTGGGTGAGGTGGGCTTTCTTGAGATTTGGTGGAAGGTGGCAGGGGGCACGTTGCATCCCTTCCAGGCAGACACACCTGGCGCCCCTCTGTGTGGTGGCCTGGGGTGAAGAGTTCCCTCCAGCCCCATTGCCAGGGAGTCGTTTCCCAGCCTCACCCACCGCGCTGCTTCCTCCCTCCTTCCTCGCCTTTCACCCCTCTCTCCTGTTTCTTCTCCCCAGTCCCAAGAGCAGTGAAACCAAACCCTCTGGGTCCTCAGGCAGAGCGGCTAAACGCAGTTTTGTGGCTGTGGTGCCTGCTGTCCCCTCTTCCAAAATCTTCCTGTTGGGGTTTTCCTAGAGGAGGGCAGCTCCCTCCCTGGAGGTGCGGTGGGCTCAGGGTGCCGGGGAGGGCATGGACACCTGCTTTCTCCTTCTCTGGGGCTCCTCATCCAGCTGTGAGGCAGGGGGTGGCGGGAGCTGAGGATGACTGAACGGGAGCAAGCGGGAGCTCATGGGTGGCATTTCTTGGCCACAGTGTCCTTTGCCTGGGCTGCTGTGACAAAGGACTGCAGGCTGGGGGCTTCCACAGCAGAGGCTGATTCTTCACAGTCCTGGAGGCTGGAAGCTAAGACAAGATGTAGGCAGGGTTGGTTTTCTTCCGAGGCCCCGCTCCTTGGCTCGCAGATGCTGTCTTCTCCCGGCATCCTCGTATGTGCCTGTGTCCTAATCTCCTCTTCCTGTGAAGATACCAGTCACGTTGGGTCAGGGCCCATTCTGACCACCTTCTTTTAAAGGTCCTGTCTCCAAATAAATACAGACGCATCCTGGGGTGCAGGGTGTTAACTAGGGCTTCAACAGGTGGGTTTTGAGGGGACACAGTTCAACATGTAACAGTCACCTGCATGTGTCCGGTGCTGTGGGGAGGCCTAGAAGCAGAATCTCAGCAAGGGTGGATGAGGTGCGGATTCCCTCTCCAGTCTCTACTGAGCCTAAAACTTGGCATATTCCTTGCCTTCTGCGTCCTCTCTTGAAGATGAAGGTGATCGTCCTGCCTACACAGGCTCACGGTGAGAATTATGCAGAGGACATGGACTTGGCCTGGCCCCTGCATGGTGAGGAGTGGAGAAGGGGCCATCTCCAGGTCCAGCTGTGGGAGCTGAGGGCACTCAGGACCTGATCCACTCCTGGATCCACTTCAGGACCCGCAGCTTCTCTGTGGTCAGGGCTTGGGGCCTACGACTCTGTCCAGCTGCTCTGGGGCTGCTGTGGCCACAGGCATGTGCTGGGTGGCTGGGCCCACCCTCTGGGACCTTCAGTCCATGCGACCAGGGCCACCATCTAAAACAGGGGAGTGCCCCATGGTGTTCCTCCATGGCATCAGCAGCCGGGCTGGTGCCCCCTGGATGGACTGCATGGGATCCCAGTCCTGCTGGCCAGTCCAGGGCTGGAAGGGCCCATTCCCGTGGCCAGGCCGTCCCGTCCCTGCCCCGAGTGGACTTGCGTGAGGCCTGCCGCGCCTTGCTCTGCTTCGTGGCCTGGTCTGTGTTGAGGGGTCCCCGTGCACCCAGGCCCCTTTGATTTTGTTCCTCTTGCTATTCCCTGGGCCCTGTTCTGGGTCTGCCTGTGAGGGTGTCCTTTCTACTTTTGGGTATAGGGGTAGCTTGCCGTGCTCGGAACCCACAGGCAGGAGCCTCTCCTCCAAGGGTGGCCCCATCTCTGCATACCCTGTTTCCTCCCCCAGAACATCTCCTTCCCCCATAATTCCCACACAGTGAAAGCTTTCCAACTCTGCCATGCCATGACCCCCTAAAGAATGTCCCTGCCACCAGCTGACAGGAGCCCCTCTCCCTGGGAGGATCTCGGTGCCAATTTCTTAGCACCCGGGACTGAGAATCAAGAGGGTCTAAGGACTCCATCCTCTTCCCTTGCTCCAAGGGCTCTAGAACCTTTCCAGAAAGAGAGCCTCTGTCTTGTAAAGTTGGCCTGCCTTCCCAGGGAGAGTCCACGCTGGAGAGCACCCAGGCTTCCAGCACAGATCGTCTGAATTTCCTCCTTCCGGAGCTTGCCTGGAATCCCTCCTGTCATGATCTGGACCAAACCTTACTTGGCTCATGCCCAGGGCATAGAGGGCTGAGGTCACTCCGAGGCTGAAAAAGGGCCTAAGAGCTTCTGTCACGGTCGTGGGTGTTCCAGGGTCGTGGGTGTTAGATCTGCATGGTGTTCCGTGGTCAAGTCTTCGAGTCTCTGGGCAGGAGCAGTGTCATGTGCTCATGTATGAAGGAGATGAAGATGGTCCAGTCTTCCAGTGTCTGGGCAGGAGCAGTGTCATGCTCGTGTATGAAGGAGATGAAGATGGTCAAGTCTTCGAGTGTCTGGGCAGGAGCAGTGTGGTGTGCTCATGTATGAAGGAGATGAAGATGGTCAAGTCTTCGAGTCTCTGGGCAGGAGCAGTGTCATGTGCTCATGTATGAAGGAGATGAAGATGGTCAAGTCTTCGAGTCTCTGGGCAGGAGCAGTGTCATGTGCTCATGTATGAAGGAGATGAAGTTGGTCAAGTCTTCGAGTCTCTGGGCAGGAGCAGTGTCATGTGCTCATGTATGAAGGAGATGAAGATGGTCAAGTCTTCCAGTGTCTGGGCAGGAGTAGTGTCATGTGCTCATGTATGAAGGAGATGAAGATGGTCAAGTCTTTGAGTCTCTGGGCCGGAGCAGTGTCTGGAGCAGTGTCATGTGCTCATGTATGAAGGAGATGAAGATGGTCAAGTCTTCTAGTCGCTGGGCAGGAGCAGTGTCATGTGCTCATGTATGAAGGAGATGAAGATGGTCAAGTCTTCCAGTGTCTGGGCAGGACTAGTGTCATGTGCTCATGTATGAAGGAGATGAAGATGGTCAAGTCTTTGAGTCTCTGGGCCGGAGCAGTGTCTGAAGCAGTGTCATTTGCTCATGCATGAAGGAGATGAAGATGGTCAAGTCTTCGAGTCTCTGGGCAGGAGCAGTGTCATGTGCTCATGTATGAAGGAGATGAAGATGGTCAAGTCTTCCAGTGTCTGGGCAGGAGTAGTGTCATGTGCTCATGTATGAAGGAGATGAAGATGGTCAAGTCTTTGAGTCTCTGGGCCGGAGCAGTGTCTGGAGCAGTGTCATGTGCTCATGTATGAAGGAGATGAAGATGGTCAAGTCTTCGAGTCTCTGGGCAGGAGCAGTGTCATGTGCTCATGTATGAAGGAGATGAAGATGGTCAAGTCTTTGAGTCTCTGGGCAGGAGCAGTGTGATGTGCTCATGTATGATGGAGATGAAGATGGTAAAGTCTTCGAGTGTCTGGGCAGGAGCAGTGTGGTGTGCTCATGTATGAAGGAGATGAAGATGGTCAAGCCTTCGAGTCTCTGGGCAGGAGCAGTGTCATGTGCTCTTGTATGAAGGAGATGAAGACACCCAGTGCATTGGTCAGGGTTCTCCAGAGAAACAGAGCCAGTAGGAAGTGTGTGTCTAGATCTCTATCTGTATCTATATCCATATCCATATCCATATCCATATCTGTATCTGTCTATATCTAGAGATTTTAATGTATATATTTTCATATCTATGACAGAGGTTTGTTATAAGGAACTGGCTCACATAAAGATGGAGGCTGGCAGGTCCAGAATCTGCAAAGCCAATGTCCCAGTTTGATCTGAAGGCTGGCAGGCTGCTGTAGAGCCTGGAAGAGCTGATGCTCCAGGTTGAAGGCTGTCAGCAAGAGAATTCTCTTTTAATTGGGGGGAGGGTCAGCTTTGTCTTCTATTCAGACCTTTAACTGATTGGATGAGGCTGGCCTGCATTGTGGAGGGCAATGTGCTTCACTCAGTCTTCTGATGTATACATTAATCTCATTCAAATACACCCCTGCAGAAATACCCAGAATAATGTTTGACCAAATATCTGGGCACCCCATGGCCCAGTCAAGTTGGCACATGAAATTAACCATCACACCTGGTAATACCATCCACCCATCCACCCATCACTCATCCGTTTGTCTGCATCTGTCCATCCATCCATCCATCCATTCATCCATCCATCCATCCATCCACTCATTTGTTCATTCACTTAGCAAATGTTTATGGAACTCTACACTGTGTGGTGCACTGGGGACCCCCAGATGAACGGGGCAGCCTACTGAAGCAGAAAGTGGACCATCCTGCACCAGGGGCCAGGCAGCATCCGGTGGGGACACAGAGGAGAGGGTCGTTCTTTTTGTGGGGTAAGATTTGGGAAGACTTCATGATGGAGGTGGCCTTTGCACTTTAGGAATGAATGTGACTGCCATGGTGTGGGTGGTCAGCAGAGGAGGCATTCCAGACTGAGGGCACGAGGACAAGGATATAAGTGTGGCATCTGGGGGGATTGGGAGAGACCCAGGCTCTCGGGGTGGGGATGAGACTGGGGTGGGGCTTGGGCTGGATCATGGAGGGTCACTCACAGGGTGCACTTGGGTGCTGCTGGAGATGCAGATGTCCTGGCCCATCCTGGAGCTGTGTTCTGACAAGGGCCCCGTGATTGCTGAGGATGCTGACATCTGGGCAGCGGAGCTGAGATGACGGAGTTGCGGATGGCTTCTGCGGAGGGTGGTGGGAGAGTCACTGTCTTGCATAGCTTGGGGCACAGCGTGGAGCAGGATTGGGGGAATGGAGGCTGCGGGCCCTGGGGGAAGCATGGGCTGTGGGAGTAGCCTAGGGGAGCAGTGGGGAGGCCTGGGCTTTGGCAGGATGGATGAGGGGAAAGCTGCCTGGTGGCCAGGAGGAAGGGGGACACCCCAGTGACCCTGTGGCCTTTTCCTGGGGAGGCTGCTGAGGTCTGAGCCAGCCCAGTGCCTGTTCCCTGTGGGCTCTGCTCCTGGTGCTGCCAGACTCCTAGGACCCAGGGCCCGGCGCCTGGACGCCGGAGAGCGCTAGTTAGCGAGCAAGGCATGGTATGCCAGCCTCATTATGTCACCCCCCACGGCAGCCCAGGATGGCGGATTTATTCTTTTCATCATCTCTACAGCCCCCTGGGGTTCTGGACCCAAGCTCTTAATTCGCTTTCCTGCCAAGCCTCGTGGTCCGTGACCTTTAGACTCCCGCTCAGCTCCTACATTTCAATCTGAGCCCTCGGTGCTGGGGCTTTGCATAATGTGGGGGCTCCTGCCCGCGCCAGCTGTGCCATTTCTGTGAGGGATGCCACACTGTGTCGATGCGTGCCCCTCCCGCACCCTGCTGGGAGCTGCCCTGGGCCCCCTCAGTAGGCAGCGACACTGTGGGTCCCACTCTGTGGACAGGGATGCCATGGGGGTGCCCAGGGCACCCGGTTCAATTCTGCCCAACAGACTGTCATGTGTCAGCCTCTGGGGGCCGAGCATGGTCTCAAAGTCAAGATTTGGTAAGGCACTGGGGGACCCCCACCCTTGGGGAGTGTTTGGTCCCATAGAGACACTGCTGCACTGTCAGAGACAAGGTGTCAGTGATGGGCGCAGTGTAGGATGGCCATCACCAGAGCTCCCTGCTCCTCTGCACTAGGAACCTCCCAGAGGCTTTCTGGGGCATGGGTCAGCTGAGCCCAGGAGTCAGGCTTCGGCACCCGCATGTTCAACTACTGCCTTCCTGATGGAGGAGGCTGGGCTGGGCACAGGCGAGTCCCCAAGGTACCCGAGGGAGGCCAGGTACTGTCACTGCAGGCAGCAGGAACGGCACGGCAGAGGGAGCCTTCCAGAGCAGGGGGAGGCGTCGGCCAGCCCTGAGAACTAGGAAGGGTGGTGTGGGACCCAGACACCAACTGTGGACTATGCCTGCAGAAGCCACGGTGGGGACAGGAGCACATCCAGGGTGTCATCATGATGACGTCTCCTGGCCACCGCTGAGCACCTGCTCCAGGGCAGACGTAGCCCTCATCACGTCCTCCACAGCCTCCACAGCAGCCCGCAGGTTGCCATCCTGTTTCCATCCAGGGGCCCGGACACTGGGCCACAGTGCAGTACAGACCCTCGCTGGGCTCAGGGTGAGCAGACACTTGCTGGGTTCAGGGTGAGCAGACACTGGCAGCTGTGGTGGTGGGTGGACGGGGTGGGTGCTGGGACGAGGACTCAGGAATGAGGCTGGCGGTCACCGTGGAGTGCAGCGCTTCTCAGGTGGGACGTTCTAAGGTCCCCAGGTAATACTGGCCTGGTCCCCCGTCTGATGCTGCAGGGTGGACTTCTGAGTGTCAGAGCCAGGCCATCCTGCATCTGAGTCCTGTCTCTGGCTCTGCCCACCTGGGCCTCAGGCGAGCCTGTACTCCTGCACGCCTCAGTTTTCCTGTCTGTAAAATGGGTGCCGTGGTGCAAACATCAGAGGGTGGTGGGGAGGAGTCTGAGGTTTGCACTTGTAATACACTGTCCTGTCCGCTATCCCATCCCCTTCTCTGGTCTCAGTTTCCGCATCTGTAAAAGGAGGCTGTTGGGCTCAGGAGCAAGATGGAAAGGGGGTGGGGGAGGACCGTATCCCCGAGCCTCTCCAGGGAGCCCATGCATCTGTGCAGGCATAGGGGTTAATGGACCACCCACTCCCACCGAGCCCTTGATCCTGGCAGCCCCATCTCCCCAGGTGCTGGAGTTACTAGGACAAGGACCTTGATCCCCCACCAGAAAGATGCTTGGGATTTGGGCTGTCATCACAGTGGCAGGTTCTTCCCTCGCCCTGAAATGTATTGATTCTTTTGATACCTTGATTTCGAGATGTGCTGGGTCTGAGCTGCCTGGGGCCGAGAATAGTAGCGTGGGCTTTGCAGTTGTGGGGACACTGCCTTCTCCACCCTCCAGCTGCCAGCAGGCCTGTTCTGCTGCTGCAGAAGCAAGGGTGCTGAGTTCTCCCAGAAGTTTCCAGTCATTGCCATGCTATTGGTCTTTCATTACTTTTAGGAAGGAAGTATTACTTTGAATTGCATCCTGTGCTGTGCAAGGGTTGTTGGCCCAAGGACTTCCAGGAACACTCTGTGGCCCAGTGACCCAGCATGGTGGCCTCTCTGGGGTATCACTGGGCGGCCGACGTGGCCACATAGCCCAGGGCTGGGAGGCTGATGCTCTCGCCCTTGGGTCCCTGAGCTTGGAGGAGATCCAGCTTCAGTTCCAGTCCTGGGCTCTGCAGGTCTAGGCGGCCTCCCTGGCCATTGTCCTCTAGGATCTGTCTCCTTGGCCAGCTCCCAGCAGCTCACGTAGGCTTCTGTCTTTGCTGTCACGGTGCCTGGCATACAGTAAGAGCTTAGCACATGCTTGGAGGACTCTGCTGTTCTTAGGCCCTGACAGCGCAGCCTGCCACCCTCTCCAGGAGCCTGATGATGGCTGCCCCAGGCTGTGCCCCTCCAGGCAGCCTGTCCACGGCTGCTGCAGTTCAGGGGACAGACTCAGGGGCAGGCAGTGCTGGGGCCAGGAGGCCGGGGAAGGCCTCGCCGAGGAGACAGGGGCTAGGCTGGGCCTGAAGTCTTGTGGAGTGCGTGGCAGGGGAACTTAGGCCTGGGGAAGGCAGAGCAGGAGCGAGTTGGGCACAGGGTGGAAACTGAGGCTGAGCATCTGGAGCTGGGCTCTGCGTTGCATCCCGTGAGGGTCTGAACTCTGTGTCTATCTGGCGTTCTCCAGTGATTTCCCCTCCTGGAGCCTCGGTGTCCTTGCCGGTGAATGGTACTAACAGCAGATAGGCGGGAGGTGGCGAGCACACAGCACTGTGCCGGCTTGCATGAGGGCGCCTTGTGCAGCCGCACCAGTTAGTACCCCACCCTTCTGCTGCCCGCGCCAGGCTCAGCTGAGGCAGGGAAACTGGGCGTGGCCTCATCGCCAGGACCCTCCTTCTTAGGCAGCCTCTACCTTCATCCCCACAGCAGATCTTTGGGGCAGGAACTGGTAAGACCCTCATTTTCTAGAGCAAGAAATGGAGGCTCAGAGAGGCATGGCCACTGGCCTGAGGTCACACAGAGGGTCCAATCCTGGTCCCCTTAGCCTTGAGTGACTGTGTCTTGACTGTAGGCTACCCAGGTTTCTGCGACTGCAGAGAACACAGAGCGGGTGGATGGGGAGCCCCCAGAGGTGATTAGCGGGGAGGTGTTTGTGGCCTGGCCCCTGAGGGGTGGCTTCCTGGGAAGGGGGTGATAGGCACTAGGGTAGAGCGCCCTGTGTACTTGGGGCCCATTCTGGCTGTTTGTGTGGCCGTTGAGAGGCCAGGCCTTGATTGTCAGAGGGGACTGATTGTGCTGCCTGAGTCTATCCATGCCCACTCTGATGAGCACTTAGTGGGCAGAGAGGCTTGGAAGAGCAGGCGAGTGCTGGTTCCGTTTGCTGCAAAGGTGAGATGCCTCCCTTCTGGATTCCCGGGCAGCTTATCGTGGCAGGCGATGTTGCTAGCGCTGCAATTCCATTTAGACAGGTGTGAGCACCCGTGAAACTCTAGGTGCGAGTGTAAGGGTTGCCAAGCCTTGAAAGAGTCTCCACGCACTCATAAATCTTTACTAGATGCTGAAGATGGAGCAGAAAACAAAAAAGTTGAAAATCCCTGCCTGCTGGCATTCTAGTGGGGAGGAGGCATGTAATAGCTTCTGATGGGTAAACACGTGCCTGTTGGCCTTCAGACACTTGCACGTATGGACGTTCATGTGGGTACCTATACCTGCACAGAAATGCATTCATGTATGTGAGTGTGAAAAGGAGAAAATAAATACAGAAGGGGAATATGAAGTGTCTGGAAATGGAGGAGCTTGGCGTTTTAGGTAGGGTGGCCAGAGGAGGTCTCACTGCAGGTGACTTTTGAGAGATTCTGGGAGGGAAGTGAGGGCAGGAGCCACGTGGGTATCTGAGGCCTGAGCATTCCAGGCAGCAGAACGGCCAGTGCAGGGGCCCTGGGGCAGGAGTGTGTTGCCAGGCTGAGGACTGGGAGTGTGTCTATTGGCAGCAGGAGAGTGAGGGGAGTCTGAGAGTCACGGGAGAAAAGACAGGAGGTGCTGGGGCAGGAGGGGTTGATGGCGTAGGTGAGGGGCATCGGAGAGAATATTCTCTGCCGCTGTGCTGTGTTGCTGCCTAGTAGAGCCACTGTTACCGGTTTCTTACCATGGTTTTATTATTTATTAATTATTTTTTGAGGTGGAGTCTCGCTCTGTCACCCAGGCTGGAGTGCAGTGGCACAATCTCGGCTCACTACAACTTCTGCCTCCTGGGTTTAAGCGATTCTCCTTCCTCAGCCTCCTGAGTAGCTGGGACTACAGGCACGTGCCACCATGCCTGGCTAATTTTTGTATTTTATTAGAGACAGGGTTTCACCATGTTGGCCAGGCTGGTCTCGAACTCCTCACCTCAGGTGATCTGCCCACTTCGGCCTCCCAAAGTGCTGGGATTGCAGGCCTGAGCCACCATGCCCAGTCATTTTTATTGTTTTAATGCTGTCTCATCTCACAGGAGAAACTTCTGTTATTTTCCAGATGGAGACCTGGCCTTGGGGGAGTCCCAGGGCTCTGCTGAGCCCACCTGGGAAAGACTGGTCGGGTGGGGCTCTGAGGCAGCCATCCTGAGATGCTGGGCCTCTGTGCCAGCGCACATGGTCACTGGCAGCTATTTTTAGTTCCTGGCAGTGGTGCAGGAGGAGTTTGGGGCCTCAAGTCCGGCCGAGAACAGAAATTGGAATGTGAAGTTTCTGACAAGCAGCAGATAACATGGGCAATTTTCATCTTCTTCTTTAGTAAATCCAACTTTAACAAAATTGATTGCAATAAAAATAGACAGCCTTTTCAAGATGCCCAGGAAAACCTCCTAAGCCAAAGGGATTCCTGCTGAAAACAATCTTAACTTGTTATTTGAAGAAAGGCTTTATGCTCCTGGTGGCCTTCTGGTCTGTGTCCGCTGGGCTGCTGTTTTTAGAAGAGACCCCTCTTGGCTGCTGGTCTCAGGTGGCCACAGTGACCCACAGTGGCTCCTCCCAAGGGGACCCTGTTCACATCCTTCTCAATATAGTTGCAGCCAGGGAGTGAACCCTGGGCCGCAAGACTAGGCACTGACTCTAGCATTTAATACTTTTATTTATCTATCTATTTATTTATTTATTCAGCATCTTTTGAAAAGGACCTATTATGGACCAGGTATTGAGCTTGCTGCAACGGGTGCCTTATTGAGGAAAGCAGACGGGATTCTATGTCCTGAAATGTTAAGTCTTATGTTTCAGCCTCTCTGGGCCTCTGTTATCCCATCTATAAAGTGGGAATAATAATACCCAGTGGGGAGGGCCATGAGTTTACGTCAGATCCTGATTGACAAAGCTCTTTGGAACAGGCAGAACGATGGGCCCAAGGAGGGGAGTTTCGTTTTCTCCTTCTGCTTGACATACTCTATTGTGGATGTTTTTTAGAGTGTGATTTCTCTAGGATTTGTACCATGATCCATCTGAAATGTGTGTGCCGTTTTCCTTTTGCTTCTAAA
Organism: Homo sapiens; assembly: GCF_000001405.40. Lineage (NCBI taxonomy): Eukaryota > Metazoa > Chordata > Mammalia > Primates > Hominidae > Homo > Homo sapiens. The sequence continues at coordinate 7,237,929 of NC_000004.12, forward strand.
TTAGAGAACTATCAAGGAGCATGGTGCCAGAGTGCTCAGGAGTTCTTGGGATACCAGTGGACTGTGGGCCAGGGGTGCTGTTGGATGGCTGTCATCTGCAATGTGAAGTGCATCTTCTTTCGGAAACAATGTTCTTTCCGATGCGCTGGCAAGAGGGAGACAGCATTCTATTTGACTCATGGTGGGAATGAAGAGGCCACGTTTGCAGAGGCCGAATGACATGACTGTAATCCAACTCTTCCATGAACCAGATGTACTCAAAAGAATAAACAATGATTTTATTAATTTTGGATGCTGGTGCTTGAGGAAAAACAGATTTAATTAGATTTAATTAGAAGAGGCTGGGGAGGTAGAGGGAGTCTGGGGGGGGTTGCTGGTACTGCATACAGCTTTGTGTGTTGCTAATGATGCTTTTTGCTGTGCAGAAAGTCAAATCCAGACTGAGGCTGTTGTTAAATTTTTTTTAAGGTATAGCAGCCATGCTGCTGGTAGGGCTCCTAGGTCCTTGCCTAGCTAGGAAGATGGCTGGTAGCAGCCTTAAGCCAGACAGTTCTCACTGGTCACTGGGTGGCGCTGTGAGCTCAGAGCAGCTTGGTTGCTCTCAGGAGTGAGGGGCCTGTGTGCGTGTGCTCACGTGTGTGCATATATGTGTGTGCCTGTGTGTGTGTGCAAGTGGCATCAGTGGGGATGGTGGAAGCCAGGCCTGCACCCTCACGTGGTTGTGTTTGTGTTAATCTGTGGTGTGATTAGGAGCGTGAGCTGCTGCCCTGCGTGTGTCTGGGTTTGAATCCAGCTCCTCCTGTCACTAGCTTGGTGCTTCTGTTTTCGCCTCTGCTCCCTCTCTGGAGTCTGTGGCTGACCCCTGTCCGCCAGCTCCTGGTGCACACGGCCTCCCTGGGTTGGGCTGGGCCAGTGAGCCCTCTGAGGTCTGTCCCGGCCATGTGGCTGTGGCACTCTTTACCACTGCTGGCCTGTCACCCCCATCACCCCTGTGCCCTCGCTGCAGCCTCTTCATCTGGGCCATCCGTGGCTGCATCTGCCCCAGCAGCTCCACCACTGGGAGCACTAGGCATGGCCCACGTCCCTGTGGAGTTCAGCAGGGAGCTGGGCACAGCACTGGACTCAGCAGGAGACTCCCCCGTCCTCTTGGCCTCTGTGGCTCCTTCCTGTGCTCCCCAGAGGCTCCTTCAAAGTCCCTGTCCCTCCTTCCTCCCCACTGCCCTCTGCTCCTGCCACTCTCTGCAGAAGGTTCCTTTGTGCCCAGGATGCTGCTATCAGTTGAAGGGGGACCTCCTCCTCACTCACGGGCTGCCCGTGGCTATGTTGGCAGCTTCTGAGCTTCTGCAGAAAGGCTGGGGCCCAGCACCGAGGGATCTGGGGCAGGGCTGTGGCCGGGAGGGCCCCCGACCTCCTTTGGACTGCCAGGAGCAGCTCCCCTGCTGGTCTCTATACCTGGTTGGAGTCCCCGTGGCCGGGACAGTGGCTCCAATAACCACGCTCAGCGGCCCTCCTCTTCCTCTCTCTCTTGCTTTCCTGGAGGGCTTCAGTTTTCTTTTTTGAATCTTCCTGGTCCCAGACCCTTCCCTGGGTGAAAGCTACTGTCACCAGGCTGCTGACTGCTGACTGTGAGCCTGGGATCTGGAGAAGGGCCTTAGGGAGGGCTGGTTTGTTTGCTAAAACAGCCCCTGGGGAGCTGGGGCTGGGCCCGGCTGGGTCGCTGGGCGAGTCTCGCACTTGGCCCCCAGGATAGGCCTCTTATGGGTCATTTCCTTCTTGTAAAGCAAAAAGCAGGGGTTCTGGCCGAAAAGTTCTGAAAAGACCACTTTTGCCCTTTCGGATGTTAGGGAAGTGAATAAAAGAGAAAAGAACTAACTCTTTGATTTCTTTATCTTTGAAGATAAAAGCCCAAGAATTTGTCAATGAGGGTGAACAGCCCAGAGCTGCCTTCATCTTTGTTGAAACTGCTTTGGGGAAGGTGGACGTTGTTCCTGGAAGGGTCGGAATCTTGTGCCGTCTGTTTGGCGAGCACAGCCCTGAGTGTCTCGTGGTGGCTTCTTGTCTGTGGGGAGCACAGGAAAGCTCTGCTCTCCACAGAAGGGAATCTGAGCTTCCTCACTGTAGACCCGGTTTCTAATTTCAGCTCTTGCCCTTCAAAGCTGGGGCCTGGGAGAGTCCACCTGACGTTGTTGGGCCTCCGTGTTCTGGGCTGTGATGACCCCGGCCCCACGGGGCTGTCGTGATCCCCGAAGGAGATGGTGTCAGGGGAGCTTGCTGCAGGGGCAGAGAACAAAACACCAGGTACCTGCGGGTGTTGCTTGCACGTACCACCTTGTCACCTCCTCCGGAAGAAGAGAGAAGCTGAGAACCCTGCTGAGCTTTGTTCTTATCAGGTTTTACTTCTGTAAAAAATGTTTCACCAGCAAATTACCTCGATGAGTCCTTCCTGGGGATTTGTAATTTGTTTGATACGTAACGCGGGGCCATCCAGGGTGTCAGCTGGAATGAAAGATACACTCTAATTTGCCGGGGAGCTTGGAGGCTGGAGTGATGATAATTAGAAGTGATTATCTTCCTCTGATTCTGCCGAACGTTTCCCCGTCCTCGTGGTGGAGGTGGGAACTGCGCAATGCTGGGAAAGGTTGTGACTGCCCTGAGGCCCAGCCGCCCTGAGAGCTTGGTCCTGTCCTTGTTTTCTGGGCTGGGCTGTGTCTGCATGTTGAAGGGCTGTCTTTGAAAATGGCCTTCACTTTCTAGCCCCGGATCCTGTTGGAATCCTGAAGCTGCAACTTGTAAACCTCCCCCTGAAGGGGCAGTGAGAGTGACCATGACAGTGACAGTAAGAGCAACTGCCCGCTGTGGTGCTGTCTCCAAAACACCCTGAGAGTAGGGCTGGTGGCTGAAGTCGGGTGGTTTACACCCCGGTCGACCTTCATTTGCAGTTGCCAGATAAAACATAGGATTCTCAGCTCAATTTGAATTTTAGATAAGCAACAAATAATTTATTATTATTATTATTATTTTTTGAGGCAGAGTCTCATTCTTGTTGCCCAGGCTGGAGTGCAATGGCACGATCTCGGCTCACTGCAACCTCTGCCTCCCGGGATCAAGAGATTCTCCTGCCTCAGCCTCCCGAGTAGCTGGGATTACAGGCTTGTGCCACCATGCCTGGCTAAATTTTTTTTGTATTTTTAGTAGAGACAGGGTTTCACCATGTTGGCCAGGCTGGTTTCGAACTCTTGACCTCACATGATCTGCCTGCCTTGGCCTCCCAAAGTGCTGGGATTACAGGCATGAGCCACCTCACTAAAGGCCCCCATTTCCTGGGGGGCCGGTGGGGCTTGGCTGGTGGGCAGAGGACACCCAGTGTTTTAAGGTCCCTGCTTGTCCAGGCCTCACTGCCCTCTGTGTCCCTGGTTAGTGCTGTGGAGAAGGGGTGGGACATGGGCCCCGGTTGTTGTGTGGTCCAGCATGAACGCTCCCAGTGGCCCTATAGACCTCCTTTCTCCTCCTTTTCCTCACCTGGACGTGGAATGAGGGTCCAGCCTGAGTCCCTCCTCTTCACTCAGTTTTTTACTTACTGTGCACTCTTCCATGTCAGGCACTGTGAGAGGCCTGGTGCATGGTTGTGATGGCGTCAGATGATGCCCCTCCCTGCCCTTCTGGGGTGCATGGTTTGGTTGGAGGAGGCAATTTGCAGTGAGAAACAAAAGAATCCACAGGAGACGCACTGAGAACTCTGACAGTTGCCAGCACACGATGCCATTCCGTAGTCTCTCCCTGGTTAAGGTGGTTTTCATTTTCTTTTCCGTTCCGATTCTGGGTGCTTCTGAGTGCCTCACATCCGTTTGCTGAAAGTGCTGCAGAGCGACTGAGTGAGCACTTGGGGAAATGAGCAAACATCTGTGTGCGTGTGTGTGTGGCCTTGCTGGGCGCTGGGATGCTTGCTCCGCAGGCTGTTTAGCTGACGGTGTTGAGCGTCTACTCCGTGCCTGGCAGTGGGAGTGCAGGGACAGGTGGAGTTCACAGCATCCCTGGCTGCAGCTGAGTGCAGCTTGACTGTTGGGGGTACCGGGCAGAGGCTGCCGTTTGACTGGCGAGGAAGCTACCTACCTCTCTGTTATTACATCACCTAGGCAGCTTCAGGACCCTCAGACCCACCCTGGCTGCCGCACTGATTCGGTAGGGCCTTCCTCCTGCTGTGGCTGGTCCTTAGGAAAGCGGCTGCGTGAGAGTCACATGAGTGTTCCCTCGGAGCCTTTCAGAGCCCTGTTGTCTTCTTCTTTTTTTAAAAGACAGGGTCTCATTCTGTCATCCAAGAGTGCAGTGGTATGATCACAAATCACTGCAGCCTTGAACTCCTAGGCTCAAGGGATTATCCAACTCAGCCTCCTGAGTAGCTGCAACTACAGGCATGCACCACCACGCCTGGATGATTTTTTTTTTAAATTTTATTTTTGTAGAGTTGGGGTCTCACTATGTTGCCCAGGCTGGTCTCAAACTCCTAGGCTCAAGCAGTCCTCCCACCCCGGCCTCCCAAAGTGCTGGGATTATAGTGTGAGCCACTGCACTGGTCTTCTGAATCAATCCCTGAATCTTTAGCTCACTGCGTCATCCCCAAGCCCGTCTCTTCCCCTTCCTCTCCACCTTGGCTGGACACCTGGGCTATCATGTCCTTTGCTCTCTCTTTCTGGAGTGAATTTCTCCCTATTCATCCTGCTTTCCCAAGCCCGCCCACACTTCCAGGCCCAATTCAAATGTTAGCTTTTGGGTGAAGCTTTCCCAGCCCCCTCCAAAGTGGCTTTCCCCTGGTCCAGACTCCGTGGCCATTACTTCCCCCAGGATTTGAGCTGATGCTCGGTCAGTCTTATACCAGAGTTAGCTGCAAACATGTCTATGAGCGCCCCAGCTTGTCGCCTGCAGTGGGCAGGGATCACACCTTACCATTCCCAAGTTGCCGTCACAATCGCTTGGCCCAGGGCTCAGCACCGGGAAAACGCTGGTTGGATGGGAGGCACTGGGGCGCCCATGGTGGGCTAGCAGTGACACATGCTGGTGAGTTTCCAGAGGACGGTCAGCCCTGGTCCTCCTTGAGTGCGTCATTGGCTGCAGGGCCCCTGGGGGTTGAGGGTTGGCTCGGCGCCCTGGTGAGGTGCTGACCCCACCCCACAGGCTTTCTTTCTCCATGAGGGATCTGAGTTCCCCCTCCCCATCCACGCACAAGCTCTGGGGGATTGCACTTAGTTGTCACGTGGGATGTTCTGGTCTCGCCAGCATTGAGATGCTCTCTGAGCTATAGAAATGGCAAGGGCTGGATTTAGGAGGTAGGTTTTGGATTTTGGGCAAAGAAGGGGCTAGGGTTGAGGAGATCTTGGCCATTCTCCTCCCTGCTAGGCTAAGCTGAGAACCGAGGTTCAGAGAAAGTGGTGTGATTTGTCCCCTGCGTGATGGTCTCCAAGACCACCCCTAGGAGTGGTGATTTGCTAGGGGAACTCCCAGGCCTTGGCAGTGAGAGGAGAGAGACAAGGCCAGACCAGCTGAGGGAAAGGTGCGGGGAGTGAAGGCTGGAGGAGCCCGGGCTCCAGCTTCCAGAACCCTCTCCCGGCAGAGCCACACGGCACAGGCCTGATTCCTCTGGCATCTCATGATGACACCCGTGAAACACCGTCTATCAGGGAAGGAACTGGCTGCACAGGCTCCCTCGCCAGACACACACCAAAACTCCAGACTCTCAGAAGGCCAGCGGGTGGTCGTTGGCATGAATCATGTGGTTTGCACAAACAGCAAAGGCACACTGAGCCCTGCTTCTCAGTTAGGGCGTGGGGATCCCCCCCCACAAACCCAAGTTCGCAGACGCCAGGCAAGCAGGTAGCTTCCCTGCGAGGGCAGGCCGGCCTCTGGGTCAGCACCTCACCAGGGCACCAGGCCAAACCCTTCCCTGCTCTCTGTCTTCACATGCATTCCCCTCTCCCTGGCACGCAGCAGGCCTGGCCCGATGGTGGGATTCCGGTGGAGCTGGGTGTGCACCAGGTGGACCGGGAGGGCCATGGCCAGAAGGAAATGCTCGCCCTGTTCTTGGTGTTGAGTCGTCTCCTCTGCTCAGCGGAGTCACCTCTGTCTCTTTGCCCCTATTTGTCGTTGACTCACTGCAGCCTTTCCTGCATGGAACGGGAAAGAGGGTCCCCACTTCTGAAGCACATAGGAAGGGGCGGCTCCCCTGGGAACAGGGGCTGTGCTCCTCCCAGCCTCCAGAACCTGCCAATCTCCGTTCTTGGAGCTGACAACTCCCAGCTTGGCTAAACCCCAGCAGCACTGCGAAGGCTTCTCCACTTGGAACAAGCTTGGGGGGTGAGTTTCTCCAGCTCATGCACTCCCCCCGAGTGGTTATTTATCCCCAAAGTCATTCCGAAGATTCATGGGTAAGGGCTTTCAGCGGCCTCCTATTCCCCGCAGATGCCAGCCTGCCTGGTGGAACGCGGCGCTGCTCCTGCAGGAGTGGACGGCGTTCCATCTTCGCCACCACACCCGCTGCTCCGTCCCTGCCCCTCGGTCGCTGTTGCATATTAAGTGCAGGGTGCCCGGCAGGCCTGCCAAGGCCTTTTCAGGGCCCATGTGTTCTCAGGGGAGATGAAAAGCGTGAAGCAGGCGTGGTGTGGGTTGGCCTTGGCACTGCACCCCTGGTTCCAAGCACTGAGGGCCCCCTGGAATCCCCCTGGGAAGACTGAAGGCCCAGCAGACCCCACTCTGTGCGGTTGCCCCTACTCTGACACTCTCACCCATTCCTACCCTGACTCCCACCTACCTCCCCCAACTCTTGTTTAAACAATTAGGGGTGAACTGTTTTCGGCCATTGGGAAAAGGAGGCTGCAGCCGGGACAGGCTGCTCAGCAGCTTTTGTTCTGCTCAAGAGCAGGGTTTTCAGAATCTTGGTGAGGGAGTGTGTGCTTAATATGCCAGTCAGCGAGGCTGGACCTGAGTACCCAGCCCAGCCCGCCGCCCCTTCCTTGGCCAATTGGCTGAGAAGTGGGCAGTTGGAAGGGGGGTGGCTGGAGGGGGGTGGAGTAAGCCACCATGGGAACCCAAGGTGGCCGCCTACCTGGGCCCAGTGAGCTCAGAGTTCAGCAAGCGTGGATGGGGCCGAGGGTCCTGTCTCCTGGCAAACCAATGGGGTGTGGACAGTGAGAGTGGGCGGGAGGCTGGGCCGCTTCTTCCCCCTTCCCCCTGGAAGCTGCAGGAGCCTGGATGCAGGTCCCTTCTGGTCCCAGTCACCTCCCTACCCTCCCCAGCTGGTTACCTCCTCCAACAGGGTCTCTTTGGGTAGAAAACAGGCAAAGCCACAGTGGTCCACCCCCCACCCCGGCTTGGCTTACCTGGACCTGGTGCGCCATGGATGTGGACATGCGGTTCTCATCCCTGCTGCACACCGGAGGTGGCCTGGAGCTCCTTGCTCCTCCGGGATGCCCGTTTCAGGACTGATATGGAATTTTTCTGGTGGAACAATTAGGTTAGCACAGTCTGATGTAATTTCTTTCTGAAATAACTTGGGCTTTAGAGTCAGAAAGACCTGGATTCCACTCTGGCTCTTGCTAGTTGCGTGGCCTCGGATGATTCCTCAGGGTCTTTGGTTTCTCCATCTGTGAAGTGGGACCAATGTTAGTGCCTCCCAGTGCAAGGTCGTGGTGAAGATTTCAAATGTGCACAGACGCGAGAGTGTCAGCCATTGCTATTGGTGGTGGTGGTGTTATGGTCGCCCCCAGCTCCAGTGCCCAGAGCGGAGCCTGATGTGGGGCAAGCGCTTGGTGAGTGTAGAACTGAAATCAGTGACCCTCTGCTGGGTGGAGAGATGAGTCCCAGCCTGGGGTTTAGGGACATGGGTGCTGTCCCTGCCGTGAGGAGTGAAGGGCAGGCAGGACAACTCCCCCTTTACAGATGAGGAAACTGACTTTCAGAGATGGCAACTGACTTGTTCAGGGTTGCCCAGCTGGGCTCAAGTGCTAAGAGTAAATGCAATGTTGCATGTCACAGACTGGCGGCGTTTGGTACCCAGCCTTGCCGTGATACTCCCGGGGTGCATTTTGCCTTGATGCCTGGTTCTGTCAGTCAGAAAGGGATTGTGCCAAATCCCTGGGTATCTGGGAATTCCCTGAGACTCCAGTTTAAGGGGGCTTCATGCAACTTAGCAGTCATTCCACACTATGCAATTTCAGTCCTGGGTGAGTACTGACAGCAGCCACAGCCGTGCAGAAAATGCACACGTGAGTGCTGCATCATTCTATGGCCTGGGTCCTCTGTGTCCCAACACATGTTCCCCTGGATTCTGGGTACCTGGTCACATCCATGTAAGGAACCCCCATCCACCTGTGCCCTTTGGCACTCTGACCAAACACATCCGGATCCCTCCAGGGTGTTATTATGGCTTAAATGAACCCACAGATCTCACCCAGGGCTTAAATGAACCCGCAGATCTCACCCGGGGCTTAAATGAACCCACACATCTCACTCGGGGCTTAAATGAACCCACACATCTCACCTGGGGCTTAAATGAACCCACACGTCTCACCTGGGGCTTAAATGAACCCACACATCTCACCTGGGGCTTAAATGAACCCACAGATCTCACTCAGGGCTTAAATGAACCACAGATCTTGTCTGTGGCTCAAAGCCAAAGTGTTGGTGCCAGGGACTGGGGTTTCTGTTCCCATGTTGCCTTGGGCCTTTGCTGCTCTAATCCAAAGGAGCAGTGATGGGAAGAGCCAGGTAGCATCTGGAGGGAGATGGGGCTGGGGAATCTGCACTCTGAGATCCGAGCCTTCCCTTCCCTGGTGAGAGATGCTCCTCATGAGCTGTGAGCGTGCGCTTTGGATGTGGAGTGTGCACACGATGGCCATGATGAGGGCCTGGAACTCTTTCGCCGTGACTCGGCTGTGCCTTCCACCAGCAACTCTCCACCTCCCCACAGCCTCCTGCCATCTCTGGAGGCACAGTCCTCCCTCCGTCCAGGCTCTACCCGCTTGCCTCCTCCTCCAGGGTCCCCTTCCTTATTCCCCAGCTAGAAGTGGGTTCCTCTCCCTCCTGGCCCTCTGTGCCTTTACAGGGGCTCAGGAAGTGTCTGCATAACAAGCCAAGGTGAGAAGGCCAGTGAGATGTTTGGTGAGGGGAGCAGTGGGCCTACCTGACCTGATTAGGCCTTCACATGTCCACAGTTGCTTTCTGAGCCCAGGGGTCACCAACAAGACCCCAGGTGTGGCAGGTAGGAGCACGGGAGTGTGGTGTGGCCTGAGTACAGAATTAGGAAGGCTTCAACCACCCATGATGTGTTTTCATTGCAGCCCAATGTGACTAAGAATTACATACTGTAAACGGATGTTTCTATCTTTAATTTTTTTTTTTTTGCCTTTATTGGAGGCTTTACTGTTTCTGGGTAATGAAATCCATTATCTGGTTTTCAGTGGAATACTTAGAAGAGAAAATTATTGGAATGAATAAACAATGCAATATTTGTACCTAAACATTCCTTTAAAATATAATGAAAAACATTTTGTCAACACTTGCAGGGTTTTGGTTGTTTGGCCAACCATAAACGGCATCGTAAAACAAAGCAAAGAAGCAAGTTTGTTAATCTTCATGAGGACTATTCCTGTGCGTTTTCTGTGGAGGATTTGGAACATAAACAGGGCGTGTTAGGGTTGCTGGAGGGACGGGAGGGGCAGCGCTTTTTGTTTTGGTGGATGTCAAAGCCAAGGCTACGAGAGTGCTGGAGGTGGGCAGCGGGGCGCGGCCTGGGGGACCTGGCGACCCTGGCGAGGGGCCTGCTTCTTTGCTGAGCCCCAGCTCCTCATCTTTGAACTGGGGATGCAGGTGATGTTTCCTGGGGAAGCCGCCTTGGAGGACCACTGCGTGGTCAGATAAGCTGGTGGGTGGGAAAGTGCTGAGCAGAGGCGGAAGGCCTGCACCCTGGTGACAGCTCCCACTCAGATCCTAGGAGGGCGCGACTCTGTCCTGTCAGCAACGGGATCCCCCCAAACTCCTTACTCCATGTATGACAGGAAGAGTCCCTCTGGGGAAGGGACAGCCCTGGGAAGGGGTGTCAAGGGAGCAGGGTGTCTTCCCCACCTGAGAGCCGAGCCCCATCATACACACAGCCCCGGGGGCCATGGGTTTCATGAAAGGTCTGGCCGGGCCTGAGCCCGGATCCCAGCTTAGCCACCGACTGTGTGTGGCCCCCCTACCGAGGGAGGCTACACAACCCCAGGCTGCTCTCGGGAAAGCTGGTGATTCCATGATCGCATGGGGTCCTTGCGGGGCTCAGCTGAGAGGCTGTGTGTGGAGGGTGTTTTGTCAGTTGGAGAGTGCTCTACACACGCTAAGGTTCCAGGCCGGCAACTCCTTCTGCAGGTGTACAGGTCACCGTGGGGGGGCCCTGGGATGGATTCAGACATTATAATCACCACACCAGGTGCGTGTCCTAGCTGTGTGACTTTGGTCAAGTTACTTAACCTCTCTGGACCTCCAATTCCTCATCTGTAATAAAGAAGATGATGACCTTTCCGTGCCAGTGTCCTGTGAGAATTGAAGACAGAATCTGTGAAGTGCCTGGCCTGCCAAAAGCCTTCTGGAACAGTAGTGATGATCACTGTCATCGTGTGTGACCCTGGGCTGTGTGCCTGTCTTGTCTCATTCTCAGTTTTCTCATCTGTGAAAGGACAGAATTTGACTAGTCTATTTTTTAAGGTCCTTGTTCTTTATTCGATTTTATTCCTCTTTCCGGGTGTACACTACTTTTTTAGTAATTATAATATTTGAAGCCCAATGCTTTAATCAGACTTTGGCAAAAATAACTGATCACCTTAAGAAGACAAATGTTCCAGAGATTGGAGAATTCCATTCGTGGCCTGAGAAAGGCTGGCTTCTGTGTTAGGCCAGGGTATGAGGATAGCTCAGGGGGTGGGAACCCTGAGAGCTTGTGTCTGGCACTGTAGGGATGGGGACTTGATGAGCCATTGGATTAGGCCAGCAGGGTTTTAGCCAGAAGTATCATGGGCCCCTTGATTTTTACTGTAAGTCAGTTTGGCACTGGTATGTGGGATTATGCAGTTTGTATCAGTCAGGATAGGTAGATAGTGCTGCAGTAACAAACAGCCCCAAATCTCAGTGGCTTAAAAGAATCATATTCTATTATCTCATGGTTATATGGGTTAACTGGATCCCCTGAATAGTTCTTGCTTGCTTGTGTTCAGATGGTGGCTGGGACTGGAGTCCTTTGAGGCTCAACCGGGCTGGGTGTCCAAGCTGGTTTCTTCACTGACATTTTAAGTACCTGGGCTGGAATGGCTGGAAGAGCTTGGGACTGGCTGGTGTCACTCTCTCTCCTGCAGCCTCTTCATGTGGCTTGGGCTTCCTCACAGCATGGTGGTCCCAAGAGTGACTGTTCCAAGAGTGGAAGTGGAAAAAAAAGTGGAAGCCACCTATGTCTTAAGGCTGAAACCAGAAGCTGGCACAGTGTCCCTTCAGCTGTCTTCTGTGGGCCGAGAAGTTGCAGAGCAAGCCCAGGTTCAAGGGGAGGGGACATATTCACCTTTTGATGAGAGGAGTATCAGAGAATTTGTGGCCATCCTTACTGTGCCACTGTCATTTGTGAGGGCTTCTAGGGCGCCAGGTCCTTGTCTAGGGGCTTTTCTGTGTCACTTCATTCATGCCTCTGTGACATCCTGGTAGATGGGACTATCACAGTCCCCATTTTACAGATGAGGAACTAAAGGTGGACGGGGAAGTAACTTGCTCAAGCCCTCGCACAAAGCACGTGGTGGAGCTGGATTCAAACACAGAACTCCCTTCCCCTCCTGCGGTATTGACATGTGCAGTATAGACGACAAGAAAAAAGATGCCAGGACCCGCAGGTTTCCTCTCTCTGGTAAAAGCTGGATTTATCCACTCAGATTTGCTCTATGTGGCCCCTGAGCAGGGCCCACGGTGCGTGTGAGCATGCCCTCAGCAGGCTGAGGCAGGAGTGAGTCTTCTCTAAGAAAGAGGGGTAGGCTGGACGCGGTGGCTCGTGCTTGTAATCCTAACACTTTGGGAGGCCGAGGCGGGTGAATCACTTGAGGCCAGGAGTTTGAGACCAGTCTGGCCAACATGGTGAAACCCCATCTCTACTAAAAATACAAAAATTAGCCAGGTGTGGTGGCATGCACCTGTTGTCCCAGCTTCTCAGGAGGCTGAGGCAGGAAAATCACTTGAACCCGGGAGGCGGAGGTTGCAGTGACCTGAGATCGCGCCACTGCCCTCCAGCCTGGGTGATTGAGCGAGGGCTCTGTCTAAAAAGAAAGAAAGAAAGAAAGAAAGAAAGAAGGTGAAGGCCTGCTTCCATCAGCAATTCTCCCACCACCTGGGCCTCTTTGTCTTTGAAGGTTTCTTTTCTGCAGGCTGCTCTATGCGTCATTTAAAAAACCCCCACGGATCCCCTTTAACGGGAAACACGCTGGCTCTTCTGGTGTGGTTTCAAGTCAGCCAGCTTATTCCAGAGACATTTCGTTGTGAGTATTAATAAAAACAACATGCATTTTTGTATGTTTCCATAGAGACTTTCCAAGATTTATGTCCCTGAGACATATCGTTGGATCCTGTGGAATAACTACGTTCCCAGCGTCCCGTGATATTCTGCAGGTCTCCCCGGCTGAGAGGCAGATGTTGAGGCCATTTGTGTATGAACAAGAAAAGGACAGACTCAACCGGCCTTGGGGTCTTTCATGTATTCGGGGAGTGCGAGGTGTCAGGGTACAAAGAGGCGAGGCCGAGGAACAGCTGGGCAGGCAGCGCTTTTGCGGCTGCAGTTGGGGCTGCTTGAAAGTGGACTGTGTCTGCCAAGAACAGTGGGTTCCCTTTCACTTTGTTACTTAATAGGAGAAACCCAGGCTTTCGCTGAAGGCGAGAAGAACGGGGCCTTTTAATATGGACTCGTTGCCGGAACCGCCACGACACCAGGGCAGGCTGGCCAGTGGGCGCAGGGCCAGCCACCAGAGGCAACGAGGAATTCTGGTGAGGACGCTGGAGTGGGCATTAGGAGGGTAGAATTCTTGTCCCTGTCTGCCACCAAAGACTGGGTGACTTGGGCTAAGACAGAGCTCTGTGGGTCCCAGTATCCTTGTCTGTAAAATGGGTGCATTGGGATAATAGCCTTTGATTTGCAGGTGACTGAAGCCCAATTCAAAGTAGCATGAGAAGAAAAGAGGACTATATATGACTTTGCATCATGGAAAGTTTCAAGGGTAGTGGCCAGCTTCAGGTGTGGCTTGTTCCAGGGGCTCAAACAATGCCTTCTGAGCTCTGCCTCTTTTCTTGCTCTCTGGTCTCTGCTAAGGGATTTGCTCTGGAGGTAGTAAGGAGTCATCATAAAATTTTATTAGGGAATTGAACAAATTTTTTAAATTAAAACAAATATACATACGAATATTCAAAACGTGGAGAGAGGGTTGGGGGGACCAGGACTGATTTTCACCTTGTCCAGTTGTTAGAACATCTCACATTGTAGTGTACAGGAGGGCTCACTGTAAGCCGTAATGTGCTGTTCTCAAGACTAGGAGTTATTGCAACATGATAGCAAGCAAGTACTGGATCAAGATGACCAGGATTCTGACCTTGGCTCTGACACTTTCACAGGTTCTGTGGCTCTGGGAGGGAGTGCGCTCCTGCCTAAGCCTCAGTGTCCCTTTGGGTAAATGGGTATGATAGGATCTGCCACACTCCCAGGCATCACGTCTGCATTCCAGGCAGGAAGAAGGGGATGGGGAGGTGAGAAGTCCTCCAGAGACAAGGTTTTTTAAAAAGCGATCCCAGAACCCCCACCATGTGACTTTGCTTATGTCTTGTTGGTCGCAGCTGGATCACATGGCCACCTCTACAGCTCCTTTGGAGTCCAGGAAGCAGGTGTCTCAGCTGAGCACATTGCATCCGGGACAGAATTGGGTTTGGGTGGCAAGGAGAAAGGGGAAAGCAGGGACTGGGCATCCCACATTCTGGGGGCAGGACCTAATGATGACAGCGGCCAGTACTTATGACACACACCCCTCTGGCTGAGCCTCCTCTAAACGTATGGTGCCAGTCATATCACTTGCAAGGTGGAAAAGGGTCTGGGAAGGCCTCGAGTCACTCAACTCCCTGACCCCTGCAGTACCACCCTCAGCAGTGAGCCCCTCACCCCTGGCCTGAGTCATGTTGCAGAGCTGAGATACTACCTGGCATCTGGGGGGCCTCAGCACTTGTGGAGGCTGGGGAGTCGCCAAGGAGGCCCGAGGCAGGAGAGTGGGAGGGCAGGGTCTTCCAGAGAGAGGGTGAGCAGGGGCTCTGGGGGAGGAAACTGCAGGAACTGAGGGGCCAGTGTGGCTGGGAGGGAGGGCATGCTGGGGCCAGGTGTGGGCAGGATGGGCCCGGGTGGGGCAGGGCAGAGCTCAGGGGCCGGCAGTGCATGGGTTTAGAGCAAACCGCAAGACTCTGGGGGCTGGCCAGGAGGGTGGTCCGTGCTTCTCACCCCCTTCTCTTTTTTTGGAATGTTCCTATGATGGTTGAACTTTTTCATTGAACATGTGTTACTTTTATAACACAAAAGAAATAATAGAGTGATTTGACTTTTGAAAATAAAGGCTCTACATACTTCCCCAAATGTCTTTGCACCAGACAGCGACTCTTTATTAGCTCCACCTTCACAAGCCCTGAGTGACCGTGCAATTCATCACCCAAACCAGGATGCTTCTGAGAGGGGCTGGGGGTGCGGGAGGGATTGGCATTGTGCCGGTCTGACAGGCGTCAGCCAGGACTGTTGCAGGCATGGAGGGCCCTTCCTCACCTAAACCCCAAACAGATGAGGCTTCTAAAAATTATTATAGATGAAAATCTCCAACCAGCCTGGTTCCTCATGAGTGGCAATCCAAAATCATTATTGCATTCCGTTTAGAAAAAATTGAAACTGTCGAATGGAAAATCCCCCTTAGCTGGCTGGGTACGTGGCGTTATCTCTGTTCCCCAGATGGAGCCTCAGGAAGCTGCATGACTGTCCCAGCTCAGAGCCAGCATTTGGGACAGAGGCCACAGCTTGGACCCCTGACACTGCCTGGACTCAGCCCCTGAATCCCCCAGCTGGGCTCAGCCCCCCATGGCTGGTTTTTCCTAATTCAAGAGGCACCTGGAGGATCAAGGGTGTCCTGGTGATCACAAAGCCTGGCCGTCCCGGCCTTTGAGGTCTCCTGAGCAGCCGGGCTAAGGATGCCAGGTCTTATCGCCATCCCTGTCTCAGACTCCCTTGTCCCCAGGAGCCCTCCCAACAAGGTTTGCTGCAGGGACAACCTGAGCCTCGCCGGGGAGGAGAGACCCTGGGGCAGCTCTGGGGTCCAGGGCCCCAAGGCTCCATCCTGAATCTGTGGCCCTGTGTCCCTGCCTGCCTCTGGTCCATTGCCTATGACATATTCAGTTTATTCTGAGCAGTGACACGGGCCGTCCCCCTGTTCTCATTAGGGATCTGTAGCTCATTCCAGGCCCAGCGAAGGCACTACAGAAGAGGGATGGTGTTCCCTGCAGGGGTGCACGAGGACCCCTCTGGTGCCTGCCTTTGTTCCCCCACTGAGTGCCGGGGCGGAGGAGGTGTCCAGGGGGCAGGTGGCCAGGGCGCCCCCAGCTCCCTCCCAGATGAGGTGGTGTCATAGGAAGGATTCAGGGGCCCACAGGGTCACTGGGGAGGAGGTGGCATGAGCCAGGCTGTGAAGGCAGTGCTCTATGGTGAGAGGTGCCCAGCTCCTGAGGGGCCAGGGAGGATGTGCTGGCAAGGCAGCCCCTCCAGGTGGGCAGGAGGCCCCTGCCTTGCAGGAGGGTACACGCACTGAATCCACCTCCTGAAGAAGTCACGGGATTCCGTGGATGGAATTTGCCTCTTCCTGCAGCTAGGTGCTGGTTCCTTGTGACCCGGGTCCCAGGCAGCTTTGTTCTCCAGGGTAAGAGTTATATGAAAAAAATCTCAGCATTGCTCTTCATCAGAGAAATCCAAATCAAAACCACAATAAGATATCATCTCACCCCAGTCAGAATGGCTAGTATTAAAAAGACAAAAAGTAACAGATGTTGGCATGGATGCAGAGAAGAGGGAACTCTTAGGCACCGTTGGTGGGAATGTAAATTAGTTCAGCCACTGTGGAAAACAGTATGGGGATTTCTCAAAGTGCTAAAAATAGAACAATCATTAGCTCCAGCAATGCTACTATTGAGCATCTACCCGAAGGAAAGGATCAGTGCATCAAAAATATACCTATTCGTATGTGTATTGCAGCACTGTTCACAGCAGCAAAGATATAGAATCAAACTAAGTGTCCATCCATGATGAATGGATAAAGGAAATGTGGTCTAGACACACCATGGAATACTATTCTGCCATAAAAAAGTATGAAAGCATATCTTTTGCAGCAACATAGATGGAGCTGGAAATCATTATCTTAAGTGAAACAAGCAAGGTACAGAGAGTCAGATATAGCATGATCTCACTCATAAGTGGGTACTAAGAAGTGTGTGTCCATGGACTTATGAGTGTGGAGTGATAGACAGTGGAGACTCGGATGGGTGGCAGGAGCATGATGACAAGTTGGTCAATGGGTATAATGTACATTATTTGGGTGATGGATACACCCACTATACCATCTATGTGTATAACAAAATTGCACATGTGCCCTATAAATCTGTACAAATAAAAAGGAAAAAAAGAGGGGCGGGCTGACACCCAGGGCCTTGGGAATTCCATGGACGTGACTTTGGATGCTCTGAGCAGTGCTGGCTGTATGGGCTTGGGCCGGTGACTGGGCCTGCTTGGACCTCGGGTTCTGCATCAGGAGGATTCTAATAACAGTGACTGTGCAGTGCTGTTGAGAGCAGAGTCTCTCACATCTCCATGCACACAGCCCCCGGGGACCTGTCAGAGTGCAGATCTGACTCAGCAGGTTTGGGCCGGCTGTGTTCCCATGAGGTCCCAGGGCATCCGATGCTACATCTGCAGCCCAAGCATGGGCAACGGGGAGAGCATGGGTGGGAGGTGTCTGCTGTGCACAGATGAGTATGTGAGCATGTGTGTGAGCATGAGTGTGTGAGAGTGAGTGTGTGAGCGTGCGTGAGAGAGTGTGACAGAGTCCAGAAGGCAGGAATTGGCTTTCTCAAGCCTTTTCAGGCTTCCATTCACCCACCCATTCACTCAGCAAGGCACTGAGCGGTCAGGTCAGGTTCCTGCCCTAGCGGAGGTGACAGTCCCATGCAGAAGAAGGCAAGTGTAACCAGTGCTTCCCGGGCAGTTTCCGTGGGCCTTGGGAGAATCTAACAGGTGGCTAAGCAGGGAGAGCTTCCTGGAGGAGGCGGCTTTCATCTGGGACCTAAAGGGAGATCCTTGTTCATCTTCATATTGTGCCGTAGTTCCTGGCAGACGCAGGAGCCTCAGTATGAATGGGCTCAGTGAAATAGAACTGAAGTGAGTTGGAGCGAATTGTCAGGGAGTGTGGGAGGCAGGAATGGGAGATGGCGTTGGAGAGAGGGTGTGCTGGGGAGGCGGCTGTGATGGGGGTCCAGCCCTTCTGAGTGGATGGATTGCTTGAGCCTGAAGCCTGATGCCTTCTCCCTGTCCACGTGGTCCAGAGACAGGCCTGAGTTCCGGGGCTCAAGAAGCTGGTTAGCCTCGTCTTCTCAGGCTTGGATCAGAGGTCAGGCGGGGGCCGGCTCCTGGGGAGCTTCTGCTCACAGCCATAACTGAGAAACCATCTGTTCCAATCTTTCATCTAACTAGGCCTGTGGTGTTATCTGTCCACCTGCCACAGACAGGCCAGGGCATGCCCTGGGCAGAGCGGCTGTGCAGTGGGGCCACTGGAGCCCCGGGGTTGGAGCGTGGGGACCCGGGGTTGGTGCGTGGGGACCCGGGGCTGGAGCGTGGGGCCCCGGGGCTGGAGCGTGGGGACCCGGGGCTGGAGCGTGGGGCCCCGGGGCTGGAGCGTGGGGACCCGGGGCTGGAGCGTGGGGCCCTGGGGCTGGAGCGTGGGGACCCGGGATTGGTGCATGGGGACCCTGGGCTGGAGTGTGGGGTCCTAGGTCTGGCCCCACTGGGGCTGGCCTTGCTGGGCAGGTCGTGCTGTCTCTCCAGGTCTCTGCCTCCTCACTTGCCTAGGGTCTACAAACTCGGACCTCTTCAGGTGCCAGGAGGCCATGGGTGTCTGGGGCAAGTGTCCTGAAGAACAGCCCTGGGGCAGGGAGAGGCTCTTGAGAGTGGGGAGAGCGTGCCTGGTGAGCACATGCCCGCTCAGAGGGGACAGCACTTCTTTGCTCCAGCCAGGGCCGCCACGAGGGACCAGGGAGTGGCATTTCCAGATCTTTTGATTATTCTAGAGAATCTGGAAGTCTGTATTGTAGGGGGCTTTCCTGGTTTTAAATGTTGACAACCAATTAAAAATTAAAAAACAAAAAACAAAACACCATGTGTGACAAATAAAAGCCACCTCTGGCCGAGACTTGGCTCCTCAGATGGCAGTTTGCAGCCTCTGGGCAGGAACTCTAAACTGTGGGGATATATTCAGTCATTCATTCACTCATTCATTTATTCATTGAATACCCACAAATGCAAAGGCCCTTGCTAGGAACTGGGGGATTACAGAGCTGAACTGGAAATGGATTATGCCCTCCGGCTCGGAGCCCGGGAGGCAGGAAAACCCCAAATCTCGGATGCGAACGTAATGTGGTTACCATCAATAGTGGGGGAGCTGTGACAGCTAAGCCTGGCAGAAATCAGCTGCGTCTCGCATGATGGGGGGTTGGGACTATGGGGGTGTCGGGAAAGGGGGCGTCCAGCATGAGCAGACATGCTGGGGGCAGAGTGTGAGGTCTGTTGGGGGAAGAGTGGGGAGCTCGGTCTGGCAGAGCCGGATAGGGCTGGATGGGTTTGGGATCCAAGTGAATTGAATCTCCAGGCAGAGTGTGGGCACCGGCCCCAGCCACCCATTCCTAGCATCCTTTGGATGTAGGTGTCATCGGTAGAGACTCGGGGGTCATTAATTTATGGCTCCTGGGCATTCACTGGTGATTTGAGAAGCTCAATAGGAACTTCTCAGTATTTCTAGAACAGGACAAGTTTTGCTATTTTAACATCTGGGAGACCTGTGGGGCAGGAGAGAGAGAAGGGATATTATTAGAATGTGTGAATCTTGGCCGGGCTCCCTCGGGCCCTGGAGTGGGCAGGTGGCCAGAGGACAGAAGTGATATTTCACACAGATGGTGGCCTCTCCAGGCCTCTGCAAACCAGCAGGACGGATCGGCGGTGAGGTGAGGCTCGTGTGCCTGGCGCCAGGAGTGCCCACCAAGAACCTTAAATGGGTGAGGGGGCTGGTTTTGCTCAGCACCGACCTTGGGGAAGGCTGTGTGAGGGCAGGGAGACCCAGGCCTGGGGGTGGTGGGGGTGGGGAACTCCCCGGGGCTCCAAGAGAAACCAGTGTAAGTATGGACCCTGAGAGGCGGCAGGGCAGGGAGAGCCTCTCCGCATCGCGATGGTCACAGTGGCTCTTCCAGGCAGGGAGCCCGGCCAAGATTCGCACATTTTAATAATGCCCCTTCTCCCTCTCCTGCCCCACAGGTCTCCCAGATGTTCAAATAGCTTGTGTCCTGCACACTGACTGAGAGTGTGTCCTTGACAAGTCCCTTCACCTCCCTGAGCTCCAGGCTTGTCACCCGTAAAAGGTGGTGACAGGAAGAGAAGTGCACATGTGGGAAGCTCCCGAAAGGTGCCATGTGCTCTACCCCATGTGTGCCCACTCTCCTCTGGCCTCCCCCAGCCCCTTGTCCTTCTCTGCCTGCTCTGTGCCCTGGAGGTGAGTCCACAGCTTGCTTACCTGGCCTCCCTGGCCCTGGCCTCCCATTGGGTTCAGTCAACGAGAGGCGCCGACAGGAGATGGGAGGAAGGCGAGGATGGGGGATGGGTTCCTGCAACTTTCTCTTTGAGGTCTGGGGTTGCTGTGTTTGCTGCTTTCCTCTGTCCACAGCTCCACTGGCCAGCCCTGGCCCATGGCTACAGCTCTCACCCGCCCAGGTACCTCTGCTCTGTCCTCTTCCTCCTTCAGTGTTGGGGGAGTGGTGGCTTCCAGCAGGGGCGGAGTGCTTCCGCTGTGTCCCCTGCTGACTCCTTGGCTCTGTCCACACCTCTGTGATTATCCCTTTCTTTTTAAAAAAATTTTTTTTTAAAATTATACTTTAAGTTCTGGGGCATATGTGCAGAACGTGCAGGTTTGTTACGTAGGTACACATATGCCATGGTGGTTTGCTGCACCCATCAACTTGTCATCTACATCAGGTGTTTCTCCTAGTGCTATCCCTTCCCTAACACCACACCCACCGACAGGCCCCGGTGTGTGATGTTCCCCTCTCTGTCCATGTGTTCTCATTGTTCAGCTCCCATTTATGAGTGAGAACATGCGGTGTTTGGTTTTCTGATCTTGTGATAGTTTGCTGAGAATGATGGTTTCTAGCTTCATCCATGTCCTGCAAAGGACATGAACTCATTCCTTTTTTATGGCTGCATAGTATCCCATGGTGTATATGTGCCACATTTTCTTTATCCAGTCTATCACTGATGGGCATTTGGGCTGGTTCCAAGTCTTTGCTATTGTGAACAGTGCTGCAATAAATCTATGTGTTCATGTGTCTTTATAGTAGAATGATTTATAATCCTTTGGGTATATACCCAGTAATGGGATTGCTGGGTCAAATGGTATTTCTAGTTCTAGATCCTTGAGAAATAGCCACACTGTCTTCCACAATGGTTGAACTAATTTACACTCCCGCCAACGGTGGGAAACATCCTCTCCAGCATGTTTCCTGACATTTTAATGATGGCCATTCTAACTGGCCTGAGATGGTATCTCATTGTGGTTTTGATCTGCATTTCTCTGATGACCAGTGATGATGAGCATTTTTTTCATACGTTTGTTGGCTGCATAAGTGTCTTCTTTTGAGAAGTGTCTGTTCATATCCTTCTCCCACTTTTTGATGGGGTTGTTTGTTTTTTTCTTATAAATGTGTTTAAGTTCTTTGTAGATTCTGGATATTAGCCCTTTGTCAGATGGATAGATTGCAAAAATTTTCTCCTATTCCGTAGGTTGCCTGTTCACTCTGATGATAGTTTCTTTTGCTGTGTAGAAGCTCTTTCGTTTAATTAGATCCCTTTTCTCTGTTTTGGCTTTTGTTGCCACCGTTTCTTTAAATTCTATTAACCATGTGGTTTCTTGTGCAGAGCCTGGCTGACACAGATGTATCTCATTTAATCCTTACCATACTCAATTAAAAAGTGATGCAATCATCCTCATTTTACAGACGTGGAAGCTGAGGTCCGCAGAGTTCAATTCCATGACTGGGGGATTTGAACCCAGGTTGTGGGACTCAGGATCTCCTCAGAACCCACATTCTCAAGCACAGATAGAATCACGGGGCTCACAGGGGTTGTACTCTGTACTCGTAGGCCCAGGGTATGTGGCAGGTGTTTGAGAAATGGTTGCTGTGCTGAGGGCGCTCTTCCTGGTGAGAGCACTGTGCTTTCCCTGGAACAGGAGCTGTCCCTGACGTCAGGCCCAGGGGTGGCCCTTGGTGTGGCCCCTCCCAGGAGCCCTCTTGCTCCTCATGCCCTGTCCAGGCCAGCCCATCCTTTGATGTAGCAGTACCCGCCTCCCCTCCTGCCTCCCGCCCTACCTTGGCTGTGCCCGAGGAGGAGGTGGTCATAGGCCCCACGCTGTCTTCCATTTCCTGTTTCTCTTCTAGTCATCATCTCATTCACACATCACATGCCCTTGGGGTTCACAGCATCTCCCCATCTTACAGATGAGGACCTGAGACTCTGAGAGGAGAAGTCGGCCCCCTGCACTGCTGTGGATGAGGTGGAGGACTGGAGATTTGCTCATGCGTGGAGCTGACGCCAAAGCCTGTGTGTTCACCATTGGGCCACCCAGCCTGTTGGGCAGGACAGAGTTTCCTCTGACAGCCCAGGCTGGTGCAGGCAGGGGCTGAGGGTGATTTGGGGGAATGACAGAAGCTCCTGCATCTGCGCTGCTGCTGCCCACCATACCCCTCTCACTCCCCTCTCCTGCCCTCCCAGGCTTGGGTTGGAGAAAGGCAGAATAGAGACACCTTCTCCCCTTTTCCCTTTCAGAACTCGGCAGCCAAGTGAGAACCCATGTGTGGGAACTTTTCTTTTCCCTGTGGGTGTCAGGGGACTGGGCATCCAAAGAATGGGTAGGAGGCAGCTGCTCTGGATGCCCAGAGCCTTCTGGCCAGTTGCCCCCTGAGGGGCTGGATTTCCTCCTCTCTGTGGCCACTCAAAGGGGTCTGCTGTGTGGGTTTATCATAGGAGGGTCAGAGGAGCCACACTTACTCTCTGCCTGGGCTCCTCTATCTGCCTCCAAGCCTCCTCCCACCTCCCCCCTCCCAGGAATGTTGAGCAACAAATTGCTATGATTGATCCATCAATGGATTGACTGATGGGCTGGTCTAGGAGTCACTCAACAAACATGTCATTTGCTTTACTGACTCTGGGCCAGTGGGCTTTTAACAGTTGTTTGTGGAATGAATGAATGAATGAGTGAACGGGAGCTGTGGTTACTACCCCAAATGATCATGGGCTGTGTTGGAGGTGACATGCCAAATATGGGAACGTAAACCAGGTAGGAAAGCTCTCTGCCTCTTAAGAGACACACACAGAGAGTTAAGGGGCAGCTTCAGGGGAAGGAAAGTCAGTGGCAACTCAGGGTGGTAAGGAGGGCAGAACCAGAGAGACTTCCTGGAGGAGGTGGCATTTCAGCAGGGCCTTGAAGGCCCACTAGCGCTGGAGACACAGTGGTGAAAGCCGGGAAGACATGGTGTGACCCTCTTCCTCCTGCTGCTGCTCGTGTTCTTACAACCTCCCCCGAGCAGGGTCTGTGAGCCCTTTCACAATGGGGACACCGAGGCTCAGAGAGGTGGAGAGTCATCCTTGAGGCGCTCATAGCACTGAACTTAGTTGATCACGGATCCCTGTTTTGTTGTTGTTTTTACCTTAGAGCACTCGTCAACATCTGTCGGATGATGCTTGGGAAAAGCCATCTCAGAGAATTGAAGTTCTAACTTATGGTCATGCTGGCTTTCCCCTGTATGGTCAGACACTGTGATGGGTGCTGGAACCAGCCTGGGAATTCTCTTGCTTTCTGTCCCCTTATGACCTTGTATAATTGGCAAATGTCAACAGCTCTGTCGTCTAACATTACATTTTGGCAGGCAGGCGTTTGATCCAGCTTGTGGAGGCCAGAGGGGCTGGTGATTCTCTCGAGAGAATTTGGAGACCCTTCAAAGGGAAGAGACGGGTCTCCCAGAGCAGCCCAGACAGGGCTCTGCGACGGCCATAAATGTGTCATATTTAGCTCTGTGGTCAGGCAGACGGTGTTGCTTCATTAGTAAATGTGCTGTTTGTCTGCCATGCCTGCGTGGCCAAGGCATGAGATTATATTTACTGAATGCAAATCATGCCATGGACATTTATTTCTCTGCCTTGCTGTTTACTCCTTCCTTTCTCTCCAGCCCAGATTTATGAAACATATGGATCCTCTCTTTAAACAATCCCTCAAAAGCCCTGGCTTGCAAATTAGTTCCTTGAATGATCAGCTGTACATATCCTGCATTTAATAAATTCAGTTATTAAGGAAGCTGCAATTGATTATTCAATTACAGCAGATCGGGAATCAGGCTGCTCGGCAAGCTGCCTGAGGCACTGGATTGAGTACTAATAAAAGGAAAAAACACCTCGGGACCGGCCTTTCCACCAACATTCCCTGCTGGTGAGAGAGCTCAGAGGCTGTGCCCTGGGCTTTGCCTGGGGAAGGGGCCCTGTGGGCATGGTCCCTGATGCCTTCTGACTGTAAAGAAATTAGTGAGCCAGATGACCGAGGATCCTTTCCATGTGATTTGTGTCGACTGGGAAATTTGCATTATGTATGAAATTTGCCATTTGCATTTCATTCTAAGGAAAACCCTGAACAATATTGATAAATACATTTTATGTGTATACAAAATAGATTTGAGCAAGATATGGGGGTTCTGGGTGTGGAAGTGTGTGTGATGAAATTAGCTTTGTAAACATGGCATTCATACAGGGGGAAGATAATGGAGGTGGCAAAAGGTCTCAGCAGAAATGAAAGATCTGATCTGCCCATCTACCCATCCATTCTCCCACCCACCCACCCATCTATGCATCCATCTATCCATCCATCCACCCACCCACCCATCCACCAACACATCCATCGATTCATCCATCCACCCACCTATCCATCCACCCACCTATCCATCTATCCACCCACCCATCCATCCATCCAACCACCTATCCATCCATCCATCCATCTATCCATCCATCCATCCATCCATCCACCCACCTATCCATCTATCCATCCATCCATCCATCCATCCATCCATCCATCCATCCATCCATCCATCCATCCATGGCCTATTCCTGTAGGCCACTGCTTAAGCACTGGGATAGTGTGGTAACAAGACAGACATAGGCCCCTGTCCTCTCAGAGCTTCCAGTGTAGTGTGGAGGACACCAGATGAGAAGCAAATCAACAAATATGATTCCCAGGTAATTGCTGGTAGCAATAGGTTCTATTAGGGAAATATATACAAGATGATCGGCAAGAAGCTGACTGGGGCACTTTGGTGAGGGGTTCAAGGAGGGCCTCTGAGGAGGGGGCTGGGAGTGTGCAGCCATCCTGCTGAGGGTTCCCATGGGGAACACTGGGCACACTGACACGACCTCCACACAGCCCTCAGCAGGGACTCCCTTTCCATGCCTCCTGGGTCTTGTGTGCCTTCCAGCCAGGATTTAGGCACTGCTTTTTCTTTAGGCTGTGTCTGGTGAAGGTGGAGGGACTCAGGACACAGCCCAGACATTCTTGGGAAAATCACCGCAGGGCTCAGACGGCCAATGTGGGACCTCGTGGTCCAGGTTTGAGGAGCTCTGGGAGTCCTACGACTGAGGTCTCTGCCCAGTTTGGTCTCAGGGACTCATCCTAACAGTTTATATGCCTGCCTTCTGCTTCCCGACTGCTGCAGAGGAAAGAACAGGGGCTTTGGAACCAGAGACCTGCGATTAAATCTGGAATCATGTCACCCCAGTGAGCCTTGGTGTCTTTACCTGTGAAATTACCACCCTCCATTCCTCATGGGCAAATGCAGGTGTGGGAAGTAACCAGATTGTTTTAAATACTCAATAAATGACGGTTGTATTAGTAATAAGAGGACTTTGAGTCATTGTTGAAATCTGTAGAGAGGTCACCTGGTGTAATGGAAGGAAAATGGACTGAGAGTTGGGAGGCTGAGGAGTCCCGGTCCCCTCCCTGGTTTCCCTGAACTCACCTGTGAAAAAGCCCAGCCTGGAGGAGCAGGAAGGACCTTGTCAAAGAAAGCACCCGTCATTCTGGTTCTGTGATGCTGGTGGCACAGGCTGGGCAGGACGCTGGCCGGGTGTTCATCATCGTCTGCCTCATTGTCCTGGGAAGGAGCCGGGCGTGTCCGACCTGATTGCGAACCTGCTGTGTGTGTGAACTTGGTGTGGAGTTCCCACGGACTCCTTCCTGGCTCCAGGTTCTCCTGCATTTGGCCAAGAAGCCTTGTTCAGCAGCTGGCTTCAGCTAAGCCCGTGGTCTCTGCTGCCTGTATGTCAAAGTGGCTGGGGCACAGGGCTGTCCAGCAAGGCTGCTGACTCTCCTGGGGACTGCTGCTTGGCAGGCTCCTCCTCCATGCTGGTGTGGGGCTGGCAAGACTCCACTGTGGACACCCACCTCATGGTGTCTCAAAACAGCCAGGGCTGGGCAAGTGCCTTCATGGTCAAGTTCCACCCCGACGTGGACACTGGTTCATCCACGGAGCTTGCTGGGCACCATGGACCTTGGTGCGTCTCGTTCCCACCGTGGGCCGTGGTGTTGGCAAGCTGGTGAACTTCATTCATTCACTCACTCACTCATTCACTCACTGACTCATTCATTCACTCCCTCTCCTCACATGTCCTGAGGATCCAGTGTGTGCCAGGCCGAGTGCCAGGTCCTGAGGTCACAGAGGCCCCCCTCCCTTTGGATGGGGGAGCAGAGAAGTAGAGAGACAGTGACCACACAGGGTCACTGCGCTGAGGTTACGGGAAGCAGTGGAGACTGCGGGACTCAGAGGTGAAATCCCTAAGTCCCCTGCCTAAGAGATGTGATTGGCTGGGGGCAGGTTCTGGCAGATGTCAGTCATCAGAGGGCAGGTATTTCTCCAGCAAAGCGAGAAGAGAACAGACCTGGCTCTGTGCAGCCCATGTCCCGCACCTCCCTCAGCACCTGGGTGCCTGTCTGTGCAGTGAGGGGTTGGATGCCCTGATCTCCTAGACCCTGGCCCTCTCCTGCTTGTCCAGGGGCATGGGATGAGTGACTGCAGGTGTGGGCATCTGTCCCCTAGCTGGCCTGGCCTTAGGTGTCCCCCAAAGCACCAAGCTGCCACCACCACTGCCTGGACCCCGTCGAGTGTCTCCCGACCACCGGCTATCCACAGGAAATCACAGGTGGGCACTCAGCCCCTGGTCTGGGAAGGCTTCTCCGTGGAGTGATGGTGAGGTGATGTCCTTCTCGGGAAGGTGCTGTGTGGCCCGTTTAATTGAGGGTGCTGTTCTTCTCCTGTGATTGAAACTAGGCGGAGCTCTTGCCGGCCCTGGGGCATTGGGTGCTGGGAGCAGGCAGGGGCTGGCCTCCCTATGGAAAGCCCCTCACCATGCCTGGGTCTGCTCTCTGCAGTCCTGACCCCCACTCCCTTCCAGCTGCAGGCCAGACCCTGAGGGTGCAGGGGAGATGCACCCTCTCCGTGCAGCCCTGCTGCTGGCTGGAGCCAGAGGCCCCCGGCGATGTCCAGTCCTGCCCTCACCCTGCCATGCCAGACCCCAGCCTGAAGCTGCTCATTCCCCTGCGGTGCCCGCCTCATGCCATCATTCCCGCCTGGCCGCTCCTCCAGCATTGCTGTCCCTCAGAATCCT